>NC_000016.10:73653409-73956439 GCF_000001405.40 Homo sapiens | reverse complement strand
TCCTGCCTTTTCCTATTAAAGAAAAACATTTAACAGGGTTGGTTTATGTAATTTTGAGCAAGAAGCAGTGCAGTTGTGGCTAAGATGTCTATTTGATATTTAGGGAAGAATTTGATGCTTTAATAAGGGAATCCTCCGTCTCCCTCATCCATCATCCACCATCCTCATCCATCCAAACACCACTGTAAATTTGTCAGAGCCTTTTCCATATTCAGTACTTGTATAAATAATGGCTGCTGTGCTTTGAAAAAAGGGAAATGTACGTTTTCCAGCTATGTTATATATCTGATCACAGTCATGGAGACATCTCATAGTTTTTGTTTTGCATTGCTCGGCCTCGGTGCATATAATTTAAGCCCCAGAGCCAGAGGACATTTTTGTGTGTCGACTCTTATTGTGGTTAGTACTTGCCAAAATGAAATTGGTTTCTTTTTTTGCGGGGAGGGTGGGTGCGGCGGTGCAGAGGGGAGCGTTCCTACAGCAGAGGAAACACAGCTCCTGCTCCATTACTACGCTTTTATCATTGCCCATCGCTTCTCCTTCTCTCCTTTGCTATCTTAGGGATTATGCGGGTTCTCTGCAATATTCTGAAATTAATCAAAGCAAGCAAAACCCCATGCCTTATTATCCATCACGGGAAGAGAGTGGTTTCCACAATCCAGACGGCTTTGTGATGTTGTCCAGTTGTGTAACTAGAATTTTATTATCTTTTAAAAGAAGCTTCTGGTTTTTATACAATGAAATCTTTTCATGTTTAACTTGTACGAGCGATGGATCGCTCCATGTGAGTATGACAAAGGATATGAATTTAACCAATAGGCTGTTTCTCTTATTTAAATAAGAAACTGATCTGTGAACAATGTCTATTTCTTTCTTTGATTTTTAGCATAGCAGAACAGCTGTATGTCCCTAATGTAGTTTGGGTCATAAAAGCTTTCTATGCAATGAGATAGGAACAAACTTACAGGATGCTTATCTGGACCTTGTGTTCTATCTCATCTTTTTATAATCATGCTCTACAAATTATTGTTTCCCACTAAATTGGTGGCCATTGTACAGATTGCAGACACTTAGTTTGATTGAAAGTAATAAAAGGAGATTATCCACTGAGTTGGTTGAGTGAAGGTTCTGATATGACCCACTGCCTAGAGTGAAAAGAATTAATCTTATAAACCCGACTCACTTCTGCCATGCTTTGAAAAACCGCCAGGAATGCATTAGACCCTTTTTGTCTTTAGTCCACTGAAAGCTAAAGGTGGGTGGGGCAGACCTGATGTAGAAACCAAATAGGCCATGGCCTGAGTGTTATGCTTTGAGTGGCATCTTGAACTGTGGTGGGGTCTTTTTTTCTTGCTCCCTGAATGATGCATTTCTATCACGACAATCTTGGGGGAGAAGGAGTGTAGTTTTTATTTAGTAGGTGTATATATATTATTCTTTGTGCCAGGCACTGTTTTATATTCTAGGTTTAGAATCAAAACTTATTTTTGTATGTTATCATGAAATAGAATATTATTATGCCAACTTGAAGAGTGTGGAAACAGGTATAAGGAAGTATAGTGCAGGGTCCTACAGCAAATAGGTAGATGACCTGAGATTCAAATCCAAGCTATCCCCACACCCCCATCAAAGCACTTTCTTGTAAATATCATATTCTCCTGCCTACTCTAAGAGAGCAAGGAGGAAACGTTATCTCCAGGAGACCAGGGTGAGATTATGCAGCATGCCCAACTCCAGGCTGGGACATGGAGGCTCTCAGGGGGAAGAAAATGAATGAATGAGCTCCTGATGAAGGGAGAACCTTCTGTCCTTTTAAGGAAATAGCATTGTGGGCTTAGAAGACAAGCTTTGGAGCCAGTCGAACTTGAAAGCATAGGCATCCTGACTCTCCCCTTAATTGATTTTGTGACTGAAAGCAACATTACTAACCTCTTTGAGTCTCTGTTGCTGTCTCCTTAATAAGCCTCTCAGGTTGTTGGGAACCTGCGGGAAGATGGCCTGTGACTACTGGATGGCAGACACTAGCATGGCGGGCTGTCCAAAGACAGGATGTGCTGCCTGGAGTGGGAGGTTGGAGGTTGAGAATGGTATTTGGCACCAGGAAAAAGGCAGAGCAAGTCACAAGGAGCAGCTTCCCACATCTCACACTGGAAGAATCTTAAGGCACCTAAACCACATGACAATTCCCAACCTAGAGGCAACAAGTAGTGGGACATAGTAGGACGTCAAACCTACCTCCATGACTTTTGGATCCTAGAGAGAGAACTCTTTCCCCAGAGCTACTTTCAGGATAAGCTTCAGGCAGAAATGGTAGCATCAACTCTGGTCTTTATTTTAACTATGTAATTTTCAGTGAGTGTCTGAAACATCATAGAATGCTCACATCCAGTCTTCTTTCCATTTATGGAGGCAGCCATGGGTTAATGAGGGAGGAAAGGGGAAAGCATCTCTTCTATCCATGTTTCTCTTTATATCTTGATTTCTGCCTGTTGTGGGGGCAAAAAGGAAACATTGTGCTGGAGCTGCTGATGGGAATCTAAATGACCACAGTCACTACGGAAAGCAGGACGGAAGTTTCTCAAAACATTCAAAACAGAGCTACTATATGATCCAGCAATCCCACTACTGGGTGTATATCCAAAGAAAATGAAATCAGTATGTTGAAGAGAGATGTGTGCACTTCCTTGTTCATTGCAGGATTTTTCACAGTAGCCAAGACATGGAATCAAACTAAGTGTCCCTCAGTGGGTAAATTAATCCAGAAGGTATGGATATATATGTACACACCATACTTTCTGTATGTATATATACTTTCTATATGTATGTGTGTATATATATATACACACACACATACATACACACACAATGAAATAGTATTCAGGTTTAAAAAAGAAAGAAATCCTGTGATTTGTGACAACATGGATGAACCTGGAAGACAAATACCTCAGTACCCCACTTATATGTGGAATCTAAAAAAATTGAACTCATTGGAGCATAGAATGGTGCCTACTTGCAGGTTGGAGAGATGGTCAAAGAACATAAAATTTCAGTTAGGAGGAATAAGTTCAAGAGGTGTATTGTACAACATGGTGACTATATTAATAATCATGTGTCTTATTTTGAAAATTGCTGAGAGTGGATTTTAGTGCTCCCACCACACAAATGGTATGTGAGGTAATGTATATGTTAGCTTAGTTGAGTCATTCTGCAATGAATATGTATTTCAAAACAACATGTTGTACATAATAAATACACAAGATGTTGTCTATGTTAAAAACCCATCGGACTGGAAATAGTTCCTTTCACTGAAACTCTTCAGATCATTTTGTTTGAGGGTGTTTTCCTTTGATCTCCAGCCTTTTATTGTTGATGTTTTGGTTGTTGATTGTAGCAATTCATTTTCTCAAAGCTGCCCCTTTTTCAATCTTGAAATCTGATCGGATAAAACGAAGGAGGGAAAAGGAAAGAGTAAGAGGTAAGGAGGTCAAGAGGATAAATGAAGTGGGATCAGGCTGGGAGGGAATCTGGATGGCTGTTATTCTGCAGGTTAGCATGCTAAGGGCTGTTTTGTGGCTTGAACTGAACAACTGGCACCTCTGGAAACCTGGTCTATGTTGTGTGTGTGTGTGTGTGTGTGTGTGTGTGCGTGTGTACACTCAGAATTCAATGTTAGTTTCTTCCTACCTTACTAGTATTCAGGGTTGCCTTTATTAACCACTAGTGGAATCAAATGACACATTCACAGTATCTTGTCTATGTGGTTCCAAAGTCAGCAAGACTGATCTTACATTTTTTGACATTGCTATTCAGGTCACTTCAACCTAAAGAAACTGAGTCTACCACTGCCTCTCTGGCAGAGAAATCATGTGCTCTCTCTAACCCAGGTCTTTAGATGTAAAAGAACTGGTAACTGGGAGGTCAAGGGCTCAATCTGTTTTTGTTTCTTGGTAAGTCTAAAAGGTTTATTGTCTAGTGTCTGCACAAACCCGGGGGTGGGGAGGGTTGGGATTATGAGTGGAGAGAGTGATTCAGTACCCTCTTTTTTTTTTTTTTTTTTTTGAGACAGAGTCTCACTCTGTTGCCCAGGCTGGAGGGCAGTGGTGCGATCTCAGCTCACTGCAACGTCCACCTCCTGGGTTCAAGCGATTCTTGTGCCTCAGCCTCCCAAGTACAGGTGCCCACCACTATGCCCAGTTAATTTTTGTATTTTTAGTAGAGACAGGGTTTCACCATGTTGGCCAGGCTGGTCTCGAACTCCTGACCCAAGTGATTCACCTGCCTTGGCCTCCCAAAGTGCTGGGATTACAGGTGTGAGCCACCATGCCCAGCCTCAGTGCCCTCTTGATTTCTGAATTTTTATGTTATGGGGGTTGCCTCTTTCTGTCCCTATGACATGGCTCTTGGGGTGTAGGTGTGATGTGAATGCTCTGTAGCGTCCCTTGGGCATCTGGCTAGGGTTTTGCCTGACAGCCATGAAAGCATGCTAGCTGCATGAAGTCCTCATCTGTTCCTTCCATTCTTATCCTTTCCGAGGGAAGGAATGAAGGAAGGACTGAGGGGGAAAGTCCCTGGAGTCAGGCTGTGGCCTTTCTCCCCCAGCTTCCCCCTTGCCTTTTGTCTTAGCCAGAGTCAAGCTACTAGTCTGCAAGTTGTTCTGCAGATGGCTCAGCAGCAGACATCCAGCTGGGCTGACTTCACCCACAGAGTGTCTGTGTTTGTGTTTGACAGCCAAGACAGGGAGCAGGAAAGCTGTTTTCATTGGGATCAGGCTTGGTTGTTTCTCCAAAGGCAGTGGGTTGAACGGCTCTGCTGCTTTCTGGAGCCGTGAGGCCATGAAGAGAAGTTTGGATGAAGGACAGATGTATTATCTAGGAAGGAGTCCTGGCTCTTCTTCCAAAACATGTTCAGTCATTGCCTGTTCCAGCAAATGAAACGAGTCCCCCAAGCTGTGTTTATGTAGAGACCATTCCTGGGAGAGGGAAAAAAACCTCTGACATTAATCCTCCTTTGCTCCGAAGCAAGTAACAGGTGTCAGTTGATACCCATTTTATTTTATTTTTGAGACAGTCAAAGTCTGTCACCAAGGCTGGAGTGCAGTGGCGTGATCATGGCTCACTGTAACCTCAGCCTCCCAGGTTCATGTGATTCTCGTGGCTCAGTCTCCTGAGTAGCTGGAATTACAGGCATGTGCCACCACACCCAGCTAATTTTTCTATTTTTAGCAGAGATGTGGTTTTGCCATGTTGACCAGGCTGGTCTCGAACTCCTGGCCTTAAGTGATCCTCCTGCCTCAGCCTCCCAAAGTGTTGGGATTACAGGTGTAAGTCACTGTACCCGGCCGATACCCATTTTATAGATGAGGAAATAGAGGCATTGAGGAGTGAAGCAAGTCAGTGCTTCTCAAATTTAAACGTATTCATGAAATGCCTAGGAATTTTGTTAAGATGTAGCAGTCTGACCAACATGGTGAAGCCCTGTTTCTACTAAAAAAAAAAAAATTACAAAATTAGCTGGGCATGGTAGCTCATGCCTATCATCCCCGCTACTTGGGAGGCTGAGGCAGGAGAATCGCCTGAACCTGGGAGGTGGAGGTTGCAGTGAGCCGTTATTGCGCCATTGCACTCCAGCCTGGGCAACAACAGCAAAACTCTGTCTAAAAAAAAAAAAAAAAAAAAAAAGCAGCAGTCTGGAGGGAGGTCTGGGACTCTCTTTCTTTCTTTTTTTTTTTTTTTGAGATGGAGTCTCGCTCTGTTGCCCAGGCTGGAGTGCAGTGGCGCCATGTCCCCTCACTGCCTCACTGCAAGCTCCGCCTCCTGGGTTCACGCCATTCTCCTGCCTCAGCCTCCCGAGTAGCTGGGACTCCAGGCGTCCGCCACCACGCCCGGCTAATTTTTTTGTATTTTTAGTAGAGGCGGGGTTTCACTGTGTTCGCCAGGATGGTCTCAATCTCCTGACCTCATGACCGCCCACCTCAGCCTCCCAAAGCGCTGGGATTACAGGCATGAGCCACCACGCCCGGCCTGCCTGCGACTCTATTTCTAACATGCTCCATGGTGGTACTGATGCTGCCAATCTGTGACCCATATTGGGAGTTTCTAAGATGTGGATCATCTAGGCACACAGTGCATTAGTGAGCAATGTATTAGATAACAGTACTTCCCCATAGCCTCAGGAAGCAGAACCATGTTGTTTTCTCCGTGAGGCTATATCTAAATTGTTTCAGAACAGTTAACCTATGAAGCATACCATTTACTGGTTGTTCTGACTATATGGCATAAAACAACCAGAGTGACAGGTTTGAGTTTTAGCAGAATTAGCAAGTTAGACTGGTTTCACGCACCCATAATGATAGCCTGCTTTAGATAGCAGAGGCATAAGAAATGGTATCCAAGCATCAGAAACTCAGCAGTGCTTAGAACAGAAGGCACATACCAGCTTATAAATTCTTGTTTCATTCCAACTAAAGCCCATAAATTGTGTGTGTGTGTTTGTGTTTGTAGGTCCAATGTTACTCTGTTTCTAACTGCACTTCTGTTGTCTATTTCCTTATAACATGTAATCGGAGAAGAGCTGGCAAAAGGCAATCTTTCCCATGTGCTCCTACTCACAAAGATTTCACAATTTGATGATGACTCACACATCTGCATGGAAAAATATGCTACTACCCTCAGCTGCAGTAGTTTATGCCTTTCGCTCATCTAGAATGATTACCCAGAAGTATGTAATAGTCACCTAATGGGGAGCAGGTGTGAGAAGAAACAGTCATTTTGAACAAAGGGAATGGACGTACATTGCAGCATGAAGGATTTAGGTTAGACATCCACTCGCGGGGAGAATTCTCTTCTGTCAGCAAGAGCAGTGAAACACTGGGATACGGGATGAAAGCAGAGTTGTGGCACATTCTCAGGGCATTTGAAAAGAAAAGGCCAGGTGGTTTGATTTCAATGCTTTCTGAACTGCTCCTCTCAGAGGGAGGCGAATGAATTCTGTGATGGCTGAGGATCATTTTCAGTTCTGTGATTCATGAGCTCCGAGTTCTGGGGACATCTGATTAAAAACCAAGTCAAAGAGCCGCATATTCCAGAGGTCCTTTCTGATCATCCTGATTGATACCGGGATTTCATTTTTGGCATGGTGAGGGTGGCCAATAAGTATTTGTTAAGACCAATTTTGTATAATGTCTTTTTCTTTGGATGATTTTTTACCTGCATCTTCAATGGTCATAGAAATGGTCTTTCCTAGGGGTTTAAAACGTATTGCAAGTAGAGTATCATCTGGAATACTCAAGAGATCCAAAAAGCCATCAGACATTCTTTCTCTCCGTATTATTTGGAATCGTCCAACTTTTAACAGGCTGTACAATTGTCCTTTATTTTCCTTTCTAATTGGAATTTCAACTAGGAATGCCTGTAGGTATTGAATGCCCTCACTTCAAATGACTTGCTGCACTAGGCAATGATAAAGGATGCCCATACATTGGCCCAAAATTGCTACACTGCCATCATTTTTGGTACGATACCATATTAAAACCTATGTCTTGAGAGACAGTGACAGTGCCTAAAAATAATGGAGATGAGATTTTCCCAGCTTTTCGGAGGATCCTGAAAATAAAATACTACTTGCCTTCTAAGTGACGAATGATATCTTCTTATAAACAGCATCGTAAGATCACACACACATACACATACCCACGAAAATCACATAAAGATGAGAAATGGGCATTTGAGTTTCTAGTGAATATTTTCTAGATCCATGGGTGAGCAGCAGTGGATGTGCAGTGAAATTCACAGCAGGCAGATGGGAACGTGGAGAAATTCTACAAACCTTTGGGAGCCAGACAGCTCCAACCTCAAGAAGGTAAGTAATCTTCCAGCTTCTCAAAGCAACAATAAGGAAGGTGGAAACAAGAAGATGGGGAACTTTCTAATCAGCAATGACAGGCCTACATTTTCAAGATTGTTGTGTGTGGGGATTTATGTACCCAGATTCCATACCTTTTTCCTATTGTTCTCTCTGTTCCTACCACAGAATCAATCCCGCCATGAGCTGAGTAATCTATCAGTCAGGATCTCGAGGAGAAAACTTTATTCTGTCGTGGTGATCGTTCTTGGTTATTAAATCCAAGTTAGCTAAAACTAAGCCAACACAACAATTTTTTCTCATCCTCTCATCTGATTACTAGACCAGTGAGATGGATTAGTATTTGGAAAGAAAGATGAAAACTTCGTCCCTAGAACATTTTTCTTATTCCACAAAGTCCCAGCAATTTGGACTTCATGGATCATTAAATTTCAAAATGTTGCCAATTAAAATTTTTCCAAGAAAGATGTGTCCCAGTGAAAAAACAAAACGCAGAAAGCAAACAGAAAATAAATCAACCGTCACATATTGTAATCATCCCTTCATAAAAGAGATTTGAATACTGAAAGTATAGGGAGGAGATAATCTTAGAATAAACAATTATTTGTCTGCATGTTAAACAAATTTAACTTGGTGAAGGCTGGTGAAAGTTTCATCATGGACCAGCCCTGGCCAACTGATTGGGATTTGGGAACTCCTTCCACAAAATCAGCTGCTTTTTGAGAAGTCCATTTGCTTGAGGGGTTGGGGTGATTTCTGAAGATCCCTGGGACTTCGTTGGTGGTCTTTGCTGATGAGACAGATATGCTATCAGAACCTAGAAACATTGGAATATTTTTACAAAACTGTCCTCATAAGTGAAAGTTCACATCATTTTGACTGAGCCATGCTTGAAGAATTTCCCAGTACCTAGTTTATTTTTTTTATTGTTTCCCTAAGATGTAGTGATTCTATGACCCTTGAAAAGGTAAGAAAGATCGGGAGGCTGAGGCAGGAGAATTGCTTTAACCTGGGAGGCAGAGGTTGCAGTGAGCTGAGATTGCGCTGTTGCACTCCAGCCTGGGCAACAAGAGCGAAATCCAGTCTCAAAAAAAAATGATATATATATATATGTGTATATATATATATATACACATATATATATATATACATATATATATATACGTATATATATATATACATATATATATATACATATATATATATGACAAAAAATTATATATATATATGACAAAAAATTATATATATATACATATATGACAAAACCTGCTTTTTTGAGGAAGTCACATTACATTGAATCTCAACTTCTTTTTTCTGTTGTTATAAACATGAGATGACTTAGCGATTTCACTGCAGAAACTTACGCATCACAATGCTTGAAATCAGAGATCTTCCTATTCCTATTTTATAACTCCAAGTGTTAATTCATAACTCCTCTTACTACTGTGTAATGTGTAAAGCTTTCTGAACCATGAGGACTTGGTTGAGAGGAAATGAAATGAATACCAATACTTGAAAACTGAAAACAAGTTATGAATGCCTAGGCTAGTCCAAGCTTTGTGTGCATACCTTCCATTTTATACTGCACTTATGTATAATAGTCCAATTTTTCTCCTAGATTTTGTGTTTGGAAACAAATGCTGGGGATGAGGTAAGCGTCCCAGGACCAACCTCCATGTCAGTGTTACAACCATTTGTAGAAATTGTTCTACGTAAGAAAGACTGAGCCTGACTTGGTAGGAATCGCATAGCATGGTACAGGAGGGGAGACTTGAAGAATATTTTATAGGGAAGTGGGGGTAGGGAAGGGCCCGGGGAAGGGATTCAAGTTGAAACGCAGATGTCTGAGAGAGGGTATAACAGAACCCAGGAGTGGAAAATTGAGGAAGATGACAGAGTTGAAAGGTACAACAGTAATTCAGATAAAACTTTATGGATTTCCTTCCAGCATTATATGGATTGCAGTTGGAGCGAAGTCATTGGTTTTGTGTGTAATGGGTTCCATAGCCGTTAGGAGATGCCAGATGTGTGTGTGTATTGTGTTCTTTGGATAGACAGTGCTAATGAGAGCCTGCACGTGTTCACTTTCCTACATTTGCGATCAGCTACAGCTTTACGGGGTGCAGGCCTCATAAGGGCCTCTTCTGGGTTCACTGCAATGGGGACTCTCCTATTGTTGTGCTGTGATAATTTGGCAAAGAAGATGATGGTTAAGGCATTTGCTGACTTAAATATTACATAGGCATTACTCAGAGAAAGCCTGCTCCACTTTCAGGCTGGGAACCCTGGAAACTGTTTTGTCTTTCTTGATTCAACCTTTATAGTGTGTACTGCATTGGCTTAAAGGAAAATTAAAAAGGTCAAGCATCGTTGAGTTGACCTTAAAGGAGTAGACAATTAATCTAAAGATCACAGTGTAGTCCTTTTATTAAGCTCATTTTTGTTTGCTTTTGTTTTTTGGGCCAGGTATTCTAAGGCATTAAAATACTTGGGTCTTGGTAATACTGTTTCTTTTCTCCACTCGTGTTAATACAGATATTAAGTCTAATAGTATCTACTTAGCATAAACAAGAAGATAAAAATGATTTCTATGATTGAAATGTTTGTTATTTAGCATTAAGCATCTTCCTACTCCCATGCGTTTTGCATTTTAATCCACTCAGTGCTTGGTTTGGGGATTGCTAGATTAGTTTTAATCCCCTGTCTAATAGTGGAGTAGTGGTGAGATTTATTGCACAGGCAGGGTTTGGCTCTTGGATTTAAGAGGGCTCACGTGCACTCTTCATGCATATTAAATTTGGGAAACCACCGGTTCAGTATAAAAGGTTGGGGAGACATCCTTTATCTCAGAATGGTTCTCTTTAGGCACACAAAGTGCAGGCGGCATTTATTACATTATTGAAAAGAAAATTGATTACAAGTGTTTCTCTCTTTTGGGTTCAGACTAATGTTCTCAGAATCTGTTCTTTTTTTTTCCTTTTTCCTCTTAAAAATGTGCTCCACCATCATTTCAAAGCATTCTGCCTGTTTTCTTTATTTCTTGGGAAGCCAGCTCCGAGGGAAAGATAAATACCTTATTAGGTAATGGGTTCTTCCCAAGAAAAATGGCAAGGGTTGAGTACTTCCCAACCAGGGGAATAAATATTTTCAGAAACCACATAAAAATAGGTTAGTTCACTGTTCCTGGGGAACCTAATAATAGCCAAAATTTCTGCATACTGATGGAAAAACGTTTTGTTTTGAAGATTGGAGGTTTATTATTATTTCAACATTTTCTATGTTTCACATGATGTGAAAATAAAAAATGTAAGATTCTTGTTAACGGAAAACTTAAAATCAGAATACCGTGGCTTTTTTTGTGTGATGAATGAGTAAAAGAAATGCTAGAGCACAACTTTTGTGTTAGTGTAAATTTTCTTCCTTTGTTCCTCTGAAGTAATTTCACTTTAGGGAAAAGAATGGGGTGCATTATGTAGTAACTGATAAATAGACAGGTGCTGGGAACGACTTGGGTTATGAGGTGGAAATTCAGATATTTATGATGTCAAAATACCATCCAATCTTTTGAATGAATCTTACCCACAGAACTTGAACTTGCATGTGATGAATTTAACCTGCGACCCAAGAAATCTTATTTAGTTTGTATTTCAAGGCTGTTTTTCTCCCCATTAAGGTCTGATCCTCTTATGCAAGTAGTCATTAGTCTCCCAATAAAAACAAAGAGGTGCTTAAATGAAGGAAAAACAGCTCAGCTTAAAGAGCTATAATTTATTTATTTTTCCTCACAGTATTCTTTTTTGAATTTTTTTTTTTTTTAATTTTACTTTAAGTTCTGGGATACATGTGCTGAAAGTGTAGATTTGTTACATAGGTATATATGTGCCATGGTGGTTTGATGCACCTATCAACCCACCATCTAGGTTTTAAGCCCGCATGCATTATGCATTTGTTCTAATGCTCTCCCTCCCCTTTCCCCCTATCCCCCAACAGGCCCTGGTGTGTGATATTCCCCTCCCTGTGTCCATGGTCTAGAACTAGAAACACTGTTTGTCCCAGCAATCCCATTACTGGGTATATAGCCAAAGAGCCATACTTTAAATTAACAAAACAATGTTTCCTCTTTATGATTTGACAATTCAAAAGAGCCTTCTGTGTTCTTTAATTTTTCTTTCAAACTTTGGCTTTTGGTCGTGTTTCCAAATTTATATTTATTAAATCTGTTCGGTGCTAGCTGTGAATATAAGTAACTCAAAGTCAGTGTAATCGATTTCCTTGAGAGAAAAGAACAAGAAATAAACACATTCTCTTGGAATGTTACTAATGCTATGATTTGAAATGCCGCTGAACGTGACTTTTAATATATACAGTTAATAATCTAAATAAATGGACTTTATAGTAATTTCACAAAATTTGGACCCCAGTCTGGCTTTTTAACATCTCTAAGTATCAGGTGTAAATAAGCTGTTGAATTGGATATTCTCTAAGGTACCTTTGGGCTTCAAGGTTCTGTGATCCTATGAGCTCATGTCAGACAGAAAGCTACAAACCTATTAACTTTCTGTTTTGAAAACTCAGCCAAGTTAAGTTTTGAAATATTGCCTTCATATTGAATAAAACATTAATATAATAATACTTTCTTTTGCATTTCATTCCCCAGCCAAATGCCAGCTCTACGAGGACAGGAACATTGTCTGTCTTGTTCGTTGTTGCTTTCCCAGAGCTTGGACTAGGTCTGTGACATGTCACATTTAATAAGTGAAAAAAATTAATGGATGGATTGCTCTACAGAGAAGAGATATTCAAGTCACTTCTGAATAAGTTCTCAGACAACAACTTCTTGTGTATAGTCGTGTACCACATGATGTTTACTTCAACAGCAGACTGCTATGTGATGGTGGTTCTGTAAGATTATATCGGAACTGAAAAATTCCTATTACCTAGTGATGTCTTAGCCATCCTAAAGTCATAGGGTAGTGCATTACCTTTTCTATGTTTAGATAAACAAATACCATTGTTTTACAGTTGCCTACAGAATTCAGTATAGTGACACACTCAACAGGGTTATAGTATAGGAGCAATAGGCTATACCATATAGCCTAGGTGTATAGTAGGCTGTACCATCTAGGTTTGTATAAGTACATGTTCACACGATGACAAAATTGCCTAATGACTAATTCCTCAGAACATACTCGTATCTGTAAGCAATGTATGACTATGTTCTGTAGAATTAGGGAATGCAGCTGGGTGGGGTGGCTCACGCCTGTAATCCCAGCACGTTGGGAGGCCGAGGTGGGCGGATCACCTGAGGTCGAGAGTTCGAGACCAGCCTGACCAACATGGAGAAACTCCGTCTCTACTAAAAATACAGAATTAGCCGGGTGTGGTGGCGCATGCCTATAATCCCAGCTACTTGGGAGGCTGAGGCAGGAGAATCACTTGAACCCCGGAGGCAGAGGTTGCGGTGAGCCAAGATTGCGCCATTGCACTCCAGCCTGGGCAACAAGAGCGAAACTCTGTCTCAAAAAAAAAAAAAAATTAAGGGAATGTGTTCTTTTAAACAGTAAGGAATGAAATTCGTGGTCAGCCAGAGTATAAACAAGGTTATGGAAGTAGAGTGGGGAGGAAGGGTTTGAATCTGGGAGTCAAAATTGGGTACAGTATATTTCCATAATGTATATGTGTATATATGTATATATATAATAACATTATACATTATATGAAGCGTATATGTATATATAAATAAAATGTAATGAAATCACAGAGATAAGGCAGCAAAATGAACATTTTAGACATTCTTGAGAAAACATTTTAGATGGCTATTTCTGTTTAAAAATAACATAAATATACCATAGAGCAGCACTTTTCAAATTTAAGGTGCATGTGGATCACCTGGGTATCTTATGAAAATGCAGAATCTGATTTGGTAAGTTTTGTGGGGGCGGCACAAGAGTCTGCGTTTTTAAAAAATTCCCAAATGATGCTAATATAGCCGGTCCATGACCACATTTAGAATAGCAAGTCTTGGCCAGCTGCAGTGGCTCGCGCCTGTAATCCCAGCACTTTGGGAGGCTGAGGCGAGCGAATCACCTGAGGTTGAGAGTCAAGACCAGCCTCACCAACATGGAGAAACCCCGTCTCCACTAAAAATACAAAATTAGCCGGTTGTGGTGGCGCATGCCTATAATCCCAGCTACTTGGGAGGCTGAGGCAGGAGAATCGCTTGAACCCGAGAGGCGGAGGTTGCGGTACGCCGAGATTGCACCATTGCACTCCAGCCTGGGCAACAAGAGTGAAACTCTATCTCAAAACAAACAAACAAACAAACAAACAAACAGAATAGCAAGGCTCTAGGAAACTTACAAAGTGCCATTTATGTATGCTTTCATTAAAATCAACGAGAAAATCCCATCACCATTTCAAAGCCATATGAAACACATCTCCTCCAAGAACCTTTCGTCTATAAATCACCGAAATATTTACTGTGCATCTGCTATTCAAGATCAGTAACTATGCTAGTTTCTTTGTCTATTTTAATTCTTATGCTGTATTATAGTTAGAGGGCATCTGTTTGTTATTCACCATGAACTCTTTTAGAGCAGGGATTGTATCTTAAATAATTACTTGTCTAATCTCAAAGTTCATAATTTTTTGGCAGCACCGGGAATATAACTTGCTGTACTAGAGCTATAACACACTATGAAGTATGAAAAGAGCACTTTTTAAAATTGTGAAACATGCATATAAAAGAATATAAAATTATGTATATGTGGAACTTAAATATGACTAATACAACAAATACCCATGTATCCATTTTATTTATGTGTGTACACTCTTCCCTGTCCCCTGGAGGTGGCCATTATCTTTCACTAATTCTTCCTTTGATTTTATATAAATTTGTATAATACATATATGTATCCATAAACAATGTATGACTTGGTTTTGCATGGTTTTTTGCACTTTATATAAATAAAATTACGCTTTTCCGCACTACCTACAGAGGTGTCCATACAGCGTTGTTCTGGATTCCCGTCGTAACTTAAAGGGAAACTTTCGCAATGTCTGGAGCCCCTGATGTCCTGCAAATGAAGGAGGAGGATGTCCTTCAGTTCCTTGCAGCAGGAACCCACTTAGGTGGCACCAAACTTGACTTCCAGATGGAACAGTACATCTATAAAAGGAAAAGTGATGGCATCTACATCATAAATCTGAAGAGGACCTGGGAGAAGCTTCCGTTGGCAGCTCGTGCCATTGTTGCCATTGAAAACCCTGGTGATGTCAGTGTTATATCCTCCTGGAATACTGGCCAGAGGGCCATGCTGAAGTTTGCTGCTGCCACTGGAGCCACTCCAATTGCTGACCGCTTTACTCCTGGAACCTTCACTAACTAGATCCAGGCAGCCTTCCCGGAGCCACCGCTTCTTGTGCTTACTGAACCCAGGGCTGACCACCAGCCTCTCACGGAGGCATCTTATGTTAACCTACCTACCATTGCTCTGTGTAACACAGATTCTCCTCTGTGCTGTGTGGACATTGCCATCCCATGCAACAACAAGGGAGCTCACTCAGTGGGTTTGATGTGGTAGATGCCGGCTCGGGAAGTTTTGCGCATGCGTGACACCATTTCCCATGAACACCCCTGGGAGGTCATGCCTCAGCTCTGCTTCTACAGAGATCCTGAAGAGATTGAAAAAGAAGAGCAGGCTGCTGCTGAAAAGGCAGTGACCAAGGAGGAATTTCAGGGTGAATGGACTGCTCCAGCTCCTGAGTTCACTGCTACTCAGCCTGAGGTTACAGACTGGTCTGAAGGTGTGCAGGTGCCCTCTGTGCCTATTCAGCAGTTCCCTACTGAAGACTGGAGCACTCACCCTGCCACGGAAGACTGGTCTGCAGCTCCCACTGCTCAGGCCACTGAATGGGTAGGAGCAACCACTGAATGGTCTTAAGCTGTCCCTGCATGGGCTCTTAAGCAACATGGAAAAATGGTTGATGGAAAATAAACATCAGTTTCTCAAATAAATAAATAAATAAGTAAAATTACATGGCATGTATTCTTCTGTAAAGTGCTTCATTTTTTAACAATATATTTTTGAGATTCATTGATGTTGCTGCATGCAGCTAATAATTCACTCAAGTTAATTGCTGTATGTTATTCCATTTTATTAATAGACCACAATTTATCCCTTCTACTGTTAATAGTCATTTGGATTTTTTTGTTATTCATACCAAAATACTCCTGTACATGTCTTTTGGTTACATACGCAAGGGTTTCTCTAAGGCACATGTAGAAATGAGCTCCTACATCATAGAGTCTGGACACCAACTTTACTAGATAATGCCAAACTTTTTTTTTTTTTCCCTAAGATGGTTGCACTACTTAACATTCATACTAGCAGAAGAGAGTTTCCTATTCTTTTAAAAAATTAATTTTGGTAAACATATGCATAACATACAATTTACCATCTTAACCATTTAAGTGTGGAGTTGAGTAATATTAAGTATATTCACATTGTTGTTTAACTAGTCTCTAGAACTTCTTCCTCCTATGAGACCAAAAGTCTATACCCATAAGATGATAACTCTCCCTTTCTTCCTGCTGCCTGCCCCTGGCAACTGCCATTCTACTTTTTGCTTCAATTAATTTAATTACTGTAAATACCTCATATAAGTAGAATCATGGTATTTGTCTTTTCGTGACAGTTTTATAGGTTTCATTCGTGTTATAGCATATGTAAGAATTTCCTTTTTTAAGGCTGAATAATATTCCATTGTATGTATCTACCATGTTTTGTTTATCCATTCATCCATTGACTTGGTTCTTCTGATACTTGGGTGCTTCCACTTTTAGCTGTTACAAATAATGCTACTGTGAACATGGATGACCAATATCTCTTTCAGATTGTACTTTCAGTTCTTTTAGATATATATCCAGAAGTGGAGTTGCTGGATCCTATGCTAACTCTATTTTTTTGAGGAACTGCCATAACCATCTACCATAGTGGCTTCACCATTTTACATTTCCACTAACAGTGCACAGGGGTTGTAAATTTTTCATATTCTTTTTGATGGTAGCCATTCTGATGGGTGTAAGGTGATAACTCGTTGTTTTGATTTGCATTTTTCTAATGATTAATAATATTGAACATCTTTTCAATAATTGTGTGTCTTCTTCGGAGAAATGTCTATTTAACTCCTTTGCCCATTTAAAAATCAGGTTGTGTGGGTTTTGTTGTTGTTGTGGAGTTACAGAGTCCTTTATTCTGAATATTAACCCCTTAACATATAGGTGATTTGTAAATATTTTCTCCCATTTGGTAGGTTGTCTTTCACTCTGTTGTGTCCTTTGTACAGATGTTTTATATTTTGATGTAATCCAATTTATCTACCTTGACTTTCGTTGCTTGTGCTTTTGGTATCATATTTAATCATTGCCCAATCCAATTTTATGAAGTTTTCCTTTCTGTTTTTTTCTAAGAGTTTTATGGTTTGAGGTCTTATAATTCATTTCGAATTTTGTCTATGTTGTAAAGTAATGCTCTAACTTAATTTTTTTTGCATGTGGATTTCTAGTTTTTCTAACACCACTTGTTGAAAAAACTATTCTTTCACCATTGAATGGATTTAGCATCCTTGTCAAAAATCATTTGATTGTATATGCAAGAGTTTATTTCTGAGCATTCTATTCTATCTCATTGGTCTATATGTCTCTTTATGCCAAGACCACACTGTTTTGATAACCATAGCTCTCTAGCAAGTTTTGAAATCAGAAAGTGTGAAACCTCCAATGTTGCTCTTCTTCTTAAAGATTGTTTTGGTTGGCCGGGCATGGTGGCTTATGCCTGTAATCCCAGCACTTTGGGAGGCCCATGCAGGCAGATCATGAGGTCAAGAGATCGAGACCATCCTGGCCAACATGGAGAAACCCTGTCTCTACTAAAAATACAAAAATTAGCTGGGTACGGTGGCACGTGCCTGTAGCCCCAGCTGCTTGGGAGGCTGTGGCAGAAGAATTGATTGAACCTGGGAGCAGAGGTTGCAGTGAGCTGACTGCACTCCAGCTTGGCAACAGAGTGAGACTCCGTCTCAAAAAAAAAAAAAAAAAAAAAAAAAAAAGATTGTTTTGGCTATTCAGGGTTTTGAGACCCTGAGTATAAATTTTAGGTGGTTTTTGTATTTCTGAAAAAAATACGCCATTGGGATTTTGGTAGGAAGTATATTGACCCTGTAGATTGTTTTAACAATATTAAGTCTTAACAATCCGTGAACGCGGGATGACTTTCCATTTATTTGTGTTGTCTTTAATTTCTTTCAGCAGTGCCTTTGAGTTTTCAGTGTATAAGTCCTCTGCTTCCTTGGTTAAATTCATTCCTAAGTATTTTGCTCTTTTTGATGCTACTGTATATAAAATTGTTTTCTTAATTTCCTTTTCTGATTGTTCAACTGTTTATAGAAACACAACTGATTTTTGTGTGTTGATTTTATATCCTGCAACTTTGAAGTTAACTAGTTCTAACAGTTTGTATGTGTAGGCACATGTGCACACGTGAAGTTAACTAGTTCTAACAGTTTGTATGTGTAGGCATGTGTGCACACGTGTAATCTTTAGGGTATTCTACATATAAGATCATGTTGTCTGCAAGCAGGGACAATTTTCTTTCCTTTCCAATTTGGATGCCTTTTATTTTTTTTTCTTGCTCAGTTGCTCTGGCTAGGAGTTCTAATATACAACATAACACTTCTATTAATATGTTGAGTAGAAGTGGCAAAACTGAGCATCCTCATCTTGGTCTTGATCTTAGAGGAAAAAAAGTTCAGTCTTTCATCACTGAGTATGTTAGCTATGAGCTTTTCATACATGAACTTTATTATATTGAGATAGTTTCCTTATATCCAGAGTTTATTGAATATTTTTATCTTGAAAGGATGTTGCATTTTGTCAGATTTTTTTTCACATTGAGCTGGTCATATGTTTTTTCCCATCATTACGTCAATGCTTCATATGTTCTACCCAGTTCCTAGTTGTATATAGTAGAGGGAAGCACAAGTCTGATAACAAGCATTCTACATGGCTGGAAGCCTCTAGATGTTGATTTTTTTCCAAATATCTTTAAAAATGTCTACTCACTGTTAATGATTAACATCTTGGATTCAGTTTTTTAACCAAGTATACTTGGTTATAGTTCAGTTACATGTACATGTCTTTTGGTTACATACGCAAGGGTTTCTCTAAGGCATATGTAGAAATGAGCTCCTACATCATAGAGTTTGGACACCAACTTTACTAGATAATGCCAAACTTTTTTTTTTTTCTAAGATGGCTGCACTACTTAACATTCATACTAGCAGAAGAGAGTTTCCTATTCTTTTAAAAAATTAATTTTGGTAAACATATGCATAACATACAATTTACCATCTTAACCATTTAAGTGTGGAGTTCAGTAATATTAAGTATATTCACATTGTTGTGCAACTATTCTCTAGAAATTCTTCCTCCTATGAGACCAAAAGTCTATACCCATAAGATGATAACTCTCCCTTTCTTCCTTGGTTATATTTCTATCATCATCTGTTTTGTATTTCTCTTGCTATTTCCTTTCTCCTTTTACCTTCCTTCCTTGCCTTATCTTCTGATTGTTTGAACTTTGTTGTTGCTGTCCATTTGTGTAGTTAAATAATATCTTAATCTTCTCTCCAAGTCATTGTTCTTACAACTCTTATCTTGTTCCTCAAAAGTCATGTACAATCATTGTCAAAATAGTTTAATTCTACCTTTTGTTGTTAGTACCACAGTTTATACATCATCATCATCGGTATGAATACTTTTATGGACATTATTTGTTTGCATTTACGTTCATGTTTCTTTTTATTTGCTTACCATTTATTTTTGTATCTCAAGCCTCCTTTCTGGGGTTATTTTCCTTCTTCTTGAAGGGCATACTTTTTTTTTTTTTTTCTTTTGAAACGGAGTCTCGCTCTGTCACCTGGGCTGGAGCGCAGCTCACTGCAACCTCCACCTCCCAGGTTCAAGCAATTCTCCTGCCTCAGCCTCCCGAGTAGCTGGGACTACAGGCATGTGCCAACACGCCCGGCTAATTTTTTGTATTTTTAGTAGAGATGGGGTTTCACCGTGTTAGCCAGGATGGTCTTGATCTCCTGACCTCGTGATCCACCCGCCTTGGCCTCCCAAAGTGCTGGGTTTACAGGCGTGAGCCACTGCACCCGGCTGGGCATACTTTTTTGATAGGAGAATTATCACGTTTTACTGAAACATACTAAAAAAGACATTGACAAATGGAAGTGTGGTTCTTGGATTTAAAAAATCAGTACTTTACAGATTCTTAAAAATATTTAAGTTGATGTATGAATTCAGTACAATCCCAATTAGAATCACAATCATTTTTTCAATACAAGTTAAAAAAATGTAAATTAAAAAAATGTCCAGCTTTTATTTAAAGTTTAGGGGTACATGTGCAGGATGTACAGGTTTGTTACATGGGTAAACATGTGCCATGGTGGTTTGCTGCACAGATCATCCCATCACCTAGGTATTAAGCCCAGCATCCATTAGCTATTCTTTCAGATGCTCTCCCTCCTCCCACCCCCCAACCCTTTGACAGACCCAAGTGTGTGCTTTTCCCCCACCACGTATGTACTTGTGGTTTCGTCATTCAGCTTCCACTTATAAGTGAGAACATGCGGTATGTGATTTTCTTTTCCTGCATTAGTTTGCTGAGGATAATGGCTTCCAGCTCCATCCATGTCCCTCCAAAGGACATGATCACACTCCTTGTTATGACTGCATAGCATTCCATGATGTATATGTATCACATTTTCTTTATCCAGTCTATCATTGATGGGCATTTAGGTTGACTCCATATCTTTGCTATTGTGAATAGCGCTGCAGGAAACATGTGTGCATGTATCTTTGTAATACGATGATTTATGTTCCTTTGGGTATATACCCAGTAATGGGATTGCTGGGTCAAATGGTATTTCTGCCTCTAGGTTTTCAAGGAATCACCACACTGTCTTCTATAATGGTTGAACTAATTTACACTGTCACCAACAGTGTAAAAGCATTCATTTTTCTCCATGACCTTGCCAGCATCTGTTGTTTTTTGACTTTTTGGTAATATCCATCCTGACCGACGTGAGATGGTATCTCATTGTGGTTTTGATTTGCATTTCTGTAATGATCAGTGATGTTTGAGCTTTTTTTTCACATGTTTAGCCACATGTATGTCATCTTTTGAGAACTGTCTGTTCATGTCCTTTGCCCACTTTTTAATGGTGTTGTTTTTTTTCTTGTAAATTTAAGTTCTTTGTAGATTCTAGATATTACACCTTTGTCAGATGGATAGATTGAAAAAATTTTCTCCCATTCTGTAGGTTGTCTGTTTTCTCTGAGTTTCTTTTGCTGTGCGGAAGCTCTTTGGTTTAGTTAGATCCCATTTGCCAATTTTTGCTTTTGTTGCAATTGCTTTTGATGTCTTTGTCATGAAATCTTTGCCCGTGCCTATGTCCTGAATGGTATTGCCTAGATTTTCTTCTAGGGTATTTATAGTTTGAGGTTTTACATTTAAGGTTTTAATCCATCTTGAGTTAATTTTTGTATAAGGTGTAAGGAAGGGGTTCAGTTTCAATCTTCTGCCTATGGCTAGCCAGTTCAGCACCATTTATTAAATAGGGAATCCTTTCCCCATTGCTTGTTTTTGCCAGGTTTGTTGAATTTCAGATGGTTGTAGGTGTGTAGTCTTATTTCTGAGTTCTCTGTTCTGTTCCCTTGGTCTATGTGTCTGTAACCAGTACCATGCTGTTTTGGTTACTGTAGCCTTATAGTATAGTTTGAAGTCAGGTAGCATGATCCCTCCATCTTTGTTCTTTTTTCTTAGGATTGTCTTGGCTATATGGGCTATTATTTTTATTCCATATGAATTTTAAAATAGTTTTTTTCTCATTCTGTGAAGAATGTCAATGGTAGTTTAATGGGAATAGCATTGAATCTATAAATTACTTAGGGCAGTATGACCATTGTTACGATACAGATTCTTCCTATCCGTGAGCATGGAATGTTTTTCCATTTGTTTGTATCATCTCTGATTTCTTTCATCAGTGGTTTATAGTTCTCCTCGAAGAGGTCCTTCACTTCCTTTCTTAGCTGTATTCCTAGCTGTATTTTATTCTTTTCGTGGCAATTATGAATGGGAGTTCATTCATGATTTGGCTCTGGGCTTGCCTGTTGTTGGTGTATAGGAATGCTAGCAATTTTCGCACATTGATTTTTGTATCCTGAGATTTTGCTGAAGTTGCTTATCAGCCTAAGAAGCTATTGGTTTGAGACAATGGGGTTTCCTAGATATCAGATCATGTTATTTGCTCACTAAGATAGTTTGACTTTCTTCCTATTTGAATACCCTTTATTTCTTTCTCTTGCCTGACTGAAGGGCATACTTTTAGAAGTTCCTTATACAGGCCAGGCGTAGTGGCTCATGCCTGTAATCCGAGCACTTTGGGAGGCCGAGGCGGGTGGATCATGAGGTCAGGAGTTCGAGACCAGCTTGGCCAAGATGGTTAAACCCCGTCTCTACTAAAAATACAAAAATCAGCCGGGCGCAGTGGCGGGTGCCTGTAATCCCAGTTACTTGGGAGACTGAGGCAGGAGAATCACTTGAACCCAGGAGACGGAGGTTGCAGTGTGCACTCCAGCCTGGGCGACAAAACAAGACTCCGTCTCAAAATAATAATAATAATAATAATAATAATAATAATAATAATAATAATTGTTTCATTACTTTGAAACATTATTCTCTTTATCTCTTATGGGTATTGAGAAGTCAGTAAATTCTAAATGTTCTTTTATTAGTTTTCTAGTGTTCTTGATGGTTTCTCTTAAGGTATTCTTTTTGGTATTCTGCAGTTTCACTACATTGTACTTAGGTGCGGGTTTCTTACTTATCTGGCTTGGAATATGCTATAATTCTAGAATCACTGGAATCAAGCTTTTCATTAGTTCTTAAAAATTCACAGCCTTTATCTTTTTAAATTTCCTCTCCTGCAGTTTCTCTATTTTCTTTCACTGGTATTCCACGTAGATATAGTTTAGACCCAATTATTCTGTCCTTTATACCTCTTAACATTTCTCTTATGTTCTCCATCTCTTTGTTTTCAAATTCTTGATAATGTCTTCATGTGAATTTTCCATTTCATAAATTCTCTCTTCAGCCACAATGAATCTGCTATTTAACCCAACCATTAAGTACTCTATTTCAACAGCTACACACACACACACACACACACACACACACACACACACACACACACATACATATACACACATTTAGGTTTGGGGGTACTTGTGCAGGTTTATTATATGGATAAATTGTGTATTGCGGGGGTTTGGTGTACAGATTATTTCATCACCCAGAGCCTGACAGGTAGTTTTTCTGCCCTCATCTTCCTCTCTCCCTTCACCCTCAAGTAAGCCCTGGTGTCTGTCGTTACCTTCTTAGTGTCCATGTGTACTCGACGTTTAGCTCCTAATGAGTGAGAACATGCAGTGTTTGGTTTTCTGTTCCTGTGTAAATTCACTTAGGATAGTAGCCTCTAGCTGTATCCATGTTGCTGCAAATGACATGATTTCATTATTTTTTATGGCTGTGTGGTAGTCCATGGTGTATATGTACCACATTTTCTGTATCCGGTCTACCATTAATGAGAATCTAGGTTGATTCCATGTCTTCACTATTGTGAATAGTGCTCAAAAGCTATATTTTAATGTTGAGAGTTCCATTTTTTTCCCAAATTTCTGTTAATTGCTGATACTCTCTTGTTGCTTTTTTTGGTCATTGTAACTGTGCTCTTACTTCTTTAAGCATTTTTGCCCACAGATGCTGTCTTCTGTGTCTGAAAGTGCAGTGTTTACATTATTTGAGTGTCTATAACTTTTACATGTGTTGTGTCTGTGGCTCTCATTCATAATGTCTTGCCTCCTATAATAATATGCTTATTGATATCTTATTGTGATATCTACCTTTTAATCTTAATCATTGAGAGTTCTCCAGACCTAATTCATAGATATACTTCTTCAGAAAAGAAGTAGTTCTTATTTCTGTAGCCAAGAGATGCCTCTAATCTGGTTCCAATTTTGGGGTTCTTAGTTGAGGGCAAAAGTCTCAGGCCTAACTTCTTTCCTTGTTGGCCCAAGTCTCAATGTCTTGACTGGGTGCTTCAGCTGGCATTGCTTTCAGAGTAACATTGTCCCTCCTCATTATATGTTGCTGTGGCCTCAGCTTAAGGTTTTTGGTGGAGAGAGTGAAGTCTTGGATCTTTTGAGACCCTCTCTATGACTTGTTAGATCAATGAAGCCTTAAGAATGTCCTACTCAGGCCAGGCGCAGTGGCTCACGCCTGTAATCCCAGAACTTTGGGAGGCCGAGGCAGGTGAATCATGAGGTCAGGAGATTGAGACCATCCTGGCTAACATGGTGAAACCCCGTTTCTACTAAAATTACAAAAAATTAGCCTGGCATGGTGGCGGGCACCTGTAGTCCCAGCTACTCGGGAGGCTGAGGCAGGAGAATGGCATGAACCCGGGAGGCGGAGCTGGCAGTGAGCCAAGATCGTGCCACTGCACTCCAGCCTGGGCGACAGAGCAAGACTCTTTCTCAAAAAAAAAAAATGTCCCTCTCAGAATATAGTAGTTGTGAGTTATGGACCCCCTCAGTGCTTTTGGATAGCCATAATGCTAAAAGGAGATGTCATATGGTTTCTTTTTAAAATATTACTTTAAAAACAAATTATTGCTAGTATAAAGAAATCCATAAAATTTTAAAAGCTCAACTAGTTTATCTCTAAATTTTTTGGAATTTCTCTGTACATAATCATATATCTTGCTAATAATGACAAGGGTTTTTTTTCAATCCTTATAACTTTTAATTCATTTTATTTTCTTACTGTAGTGACTAGAACCTCCAATACAATGATTAATAGAAGATGTGATAGTGGTCATCCTTGTTTTTTGTCTTCAAAGGAATGCTTTCTGTGTTTCACTACTAAGTATAATGTTTGATGCAATGTGTATTTGTGAGTATGTTTACAGTGCAATGAATTCTTGGAGAGAGCTTCGTAAGATTTAAATTTGATCTTGAAAATTGAGTAGGTTGATATGTCGTAGCCCTATGGCATGCCCTAACTAGATTATATTGGTTACCCAAAGAAAAGGTTGGAAGGGTTCATAAAATTTTTAATCCTGTGTTTGCACATTCTTCATTCATGCATATATCTGAGCATAGCAAAGCTAAACCTATCATTTTTGTTTCCCAGTTCCTCTATAATTAATATATACATGGCCTTTCTGGGTGTATAATTCTAACCTCAGGTAAAATTAGTTGTGCAGTAGAGCTCAAACATTGATGAAGTTAGTATCTTTCAGAGAGGAACAGTGATGGAGTGTGGTTTATCAAATTTTCTTTTCTTTTAGCAAAGTTTCTTTTTCTCAGTTACCTTGATCAGGAAGAGATACAGCCAGCCTTTAGCAATAAGAACCTCATCAGCTCTTGAATTCTGTGAGCCTGAGACAGATTCTGCAGGAAATGTGTATTTTTTTTTTTAAAGCTTTCAACCCACCTACATTCTAGAATACATTTTTCTACCTTCCACAAGCTACCACATAGTTCTCTATGCTACCAAGCCCTTGTTCCCCACCAACTGTTGACTGGATGAATGTGGGCACTGACCTAAACGTGCTTTTTTCCTGAACGTTAGGAATTAGAACCCAGGTAAAGCTAGACATTTTGTCTTCAAGCAAGTGAACCTGAACCATGTAAACTCAGTAGCTACGTCACGGTCATCTGCTCCTACTATGGGAACTGTGGAGAAGACAGAATTCATAGAGAAGTTAAGCAATGGGCAGAAAGGGCTACCAGTGTCCCTTACCATGTTCCTCTTCCTCATTTCAATTCCTTTCTGAACCTACCAGCCTTACACCGTTCAGGTTCCATGAGACACCCCCATGTCCTTATATTGACTTTTCTTTTCTTTGTGAAGGCCTTAGGGGGCCACTGACTTTTTTATCTAATATACCTGAATTTAACTCCTAGTTTTACTGCATGTCACCTGTGTGGTCCTGAGAAAGTTACTTAACCCCTCTCAACTTCTGTATCTGTAAAATGGGGATAGTGACTTCTACTTTGCAAAGTTCTTGTGAAGATTTGAGCTAATGGATGTAGAACAACTAGGTGAGGGTAGATTTTCTTTTTTTCTTTCTTTTTTTTTTTTTTTTTTGAGATGGAATCTTGCTTTGTTGCCCAGGCTGGAGTGCAGTGGCGTGATCTCAGCTCACTGCGACGTCTGCCTCCCAGGTTCAAGTAATCCTCCTGCCTCAGACTGCCGAGTAGCTGAGACTACAGGTGCCTGCCACCACGCCTTTTTGTATTTTTCAGTAGAGACAGAATTTCATCATGTTGGCCAGGCTGGTCTCGAACTCCTGATCTCAGGTGATCCACCCGTCTCAGCCTCCCAAAGTGCTGGGATTACAGGCATGAGCCACTGCACCCAGCTGACTTTTAATAAATAACAGTTATTATTTTTAAAATGATTTTCCCGGTATGCTAGATCTGATAGTCATTGTTTACATTTCTCATGCATCCTATTCTTCCTTTTGTTGCTGCTGTTTGGATGTGTGCTCTGTCTTCCCATTAGATTGTGAGCTTCCTGACAGGATAGAGTTTAACATGTGCTTTTCTATACCCTATTGTGGAAACCTTCCCAGTATTTGTGTTCAATATATACTTATTAGATGGGATAAATACTTTGGGGATCTCTTGTCAGACTAAACCAGAAGAGTTGGTAGTAGACCACTTTACTTATTACTGATTACTGCTATCTTCATCAAGCTAGCCAAGTGCAAGCTCTGTCTTCTATTCCAGAAAGGACTGCTCTTAAGTGAACAATTTGGCCCCTTTGATAGGCAACTAAAGACTCTATATTATTTCAGTCTTAGTTTTTCAAATCAAATCCTATAAGGAAATTCAATATATGAAACAGATATAAGCAGAAACTTTATGGCTAAGCAGGAGAGAGAGGCCCTGAGCCCTATATCCGATTCTTAGGGTAGACACCAAGGCACCTTAGGGCTCTGTGGAAAACATTTTGAAAACCATTACTTTGGATTATCTAGAATAGTCTGCACAACAAATAGCTATCATGGGTTTTTACTGAATTTAAGAAATGTGAAACCAGAGGAGAAAGATACCATAACCCTTCCCAGAGCGATTATGAAGGTTTTAGAAAGCTTTAGGGGATCATGGTCAAGCCTGTTGTAATTGATCATGTGGGGACTTTTGGCCACTATTACAAGCAAGAGTGGTTTTGATGAGGTAGAATAGAAAATGTCCTGGCTTCGATATCAGAAGACATGGGTTTGAGTCCTGTTTCTTTTTCTTAGTGGCCATGTGACTTTAGGCAACTCTGCAACCTCGCTAAGTCTCACCTGTAAATTGGGAATAACGTCCCCATCTACTTCATAGATCTGTGAGCTCAAATGAGAAAGAGGTGAAATGGTTTTGGAATCTAAAAAATAGTACTAAATAAATACGAGACATTTTTAGTAGTAGGCTTCAAGGATTAAAGAGAAAAAATAGTTTATGTAATTAATGACTTCCCCTAAATTTCAGCTGTTTTCATCTTGTGATATGGGATGCACACATTCCTCATTATTTTCACCAAGATAAAAACTCAAGTAGCTTTAGTATCCATAAATGTCTTCTTACTGATCTGGAGTTTGTTTCTCCAAGTCGTCACAGTTTTTGAATAGTTTTCACATTAGCCAGACATTAAAAGCACATTGTAGGCTGGGCACGGTGGTTCATGCCTGTAATCCCAGCACTTTGGGAGGCCGAGGCAGGTGGATTACCTGAGGTCAGGAGTTCGAGACCAGCCTGGCCAACATGGTGAAACTCTGTCTCTACTAAAAATACAAAAATTAGCCAGGTGTGGTGGCGTGTGCCTGTAATCCCAGCTACTCGGGAAGCTGAGGCAGGAGAATTGCTTGAACTTGGGAGGTGGAGGTTGCAGTGAGCCGAGATCATGTCACTACACTCCAGCCTGGGCAACAGAGTGAGACTCTGTCTCAAAAACAAACAAACAAATAAAAAGACACATTGTGAACTTCCACTTCTGGAAAGATGAAATAGTCATTTTTATCTATTCATCCCACTAAGTTCAGCTAATTCTTTCTGTTATAAAGGTGGAAAGAAGAAGGTAGACTAGGTAGTGACCTTGGTATCCAAGAAAGGACACAGTGATCAGTCTCCTGGGTGTTTGCTGCTTTCCATGTATCCCGGACTGGGTATCAGAGAAGCTGGCAACCTGGAAATTTCAATGAGCACACACAAAAAAGGACCCAGGTAAAGCCTTTGCTCTCCAGCCAGAGGACCAGGGAAGGAATAGCCTAGCAGGATGGAAAACTTTGAGTCAGGATATTAGTTTGCTAGTGCTGCTGTAACAAAGTCCTGTGGACTGATTAACTTAGACTATGCAAGTTTATTGTCAGTTCCGGAGGCTGGATGTCTTATACCATCATGGTGTTGGCAGGTTTGTTACTTCTCAGGGTTGTGAGGAAGGGATCTTTCCAGATGTCTCTGTGGCTTATAGATGGCCATCTTCTACTACGTCTCTTCACACCATCTTTCCTCCATGCATGTCTGTGTCCAGATTTCCTCTGTTTATAGGGATGCCAGTTATGTTGGACTAGGGCCAACCCTCATGACCTCATTTTAACTGATGACTTCTGTAAAGACTCTATCTCCATATAAAGTCACGTCCTGAGTTTCTGGGGGTTAGGACTTAAATATGTGAGTCTGGGGATGACACAGTTCAACCTATGACAGATAGTACCTGCACTACTCTAGCCAAACATCACAGAAAAACTCTGATCTTATCCCATGCCCCACCAGCAAAGGCCGAGTAGAAAGCTTATTCTTCCATCTTGGCCAGGCTCTAATGAGGTATCCCAATCCATCCCAATCCACCATTTCCATTAGTGAAGACCATGTGGGGAGCTTGGACTCCCCGTTCCTCACTTCTCACTGTGATTGTGTCCCATCCTCTCCCAGGCAGGTGATATCAGTGGAAGCCTACTGGGAAGTCTAAACTCTTATTCACTCCCAGCAGTAACAAGAAATTCTCTGGATGTCAGTGGAGGTAAAGTAGAGAAGCTGGACTTCTACCATCATCTGGCAGTAAAGAGATAGCTTGACCCCTTACCCTGCTGGAGTGGTGTCAGAAGAGGCCTGTTAAAACAGATTTCAATAAGACACAGAGTCTTACAATGTCCAAAATGTTGAGGTATTAATAAAACAGTACTTCTTATACTAAGAACCAGGAAGATCTCAATGTAAATGAGAAAAGACAATCAACAGACACCACCACTGAGATGACACAGAGGTTAGAATTATCTGAAGCAGCCATCCTCAAAATGCTTCAACAAGCAATTATCAACATGCTTGAAACAAATGAAAATGGAGAAAGTCTCAGCAAAGAAAGCCTCAGCACAGAAAGAAAAGATATAAACAAGAAACAAAAGCTTTAGAACTGCAAAATACAATAATGGAAATTAAAAACTCAATGGATAGGCCACTAGCAGAACGAGGAGGAGAGAGGAAATAATCACTGATTCTGAAAATAGAGCAATAGAAATTAATCAACCTGAACAACAGAGAAGAGAGAGACTGAAAAGAAAATAAAAGGATATATGTGACTATAACAAAAGATCTATCATTCAGGTCATTGAAGTCCCAAAAGGAGAAGAGAAAAAAGATGGGGCTGAAAAAGTATTCAAAGATATAATAGTTGAAAATTTCCCAGATTTGGCAAAAGACCTGAACCTACAGACCCAAGAAGCTGAGTGAACCCTGGGGAGTAGAAACCCAAATACATCCACATCAACACACATCATTGTTGAACTTTTGAAAACGAAAGTCAAAGAAGAAACAATACATTATTTATGGAAAAAGCAATTCAAATTACAGTATTTTTTTCATCAAAACCTATGGAGCCCAGAATGAAGTGGCATGAGATTTTTCAAGACCTGAAAATAAAGAATAGTCAGCTCCAATTCTATTTACACTGAAAATATCCTTCAGGAATGAAGGAGAAATCAAGACAGTTTCAGACAAAGAAAAGCTAATGAAATTTGTTGCCAGCAGACCTATTCTAACAGAATAGATAAACGAATTTTTTTAATAGAAAGGAAATAAAAAAGAAGGAATCTTGGAATATCAGGAATGAGGAAATAACAACAGATTTCAATGTCTTGAATTTTCTAAACTAAGTGTGATATTTGAAGCAAAAACAAAATAGCACCGTCCAATATGTCTCAATGTATTAGGGATTTTTTTTTTTTTTTTTTACAAAGGAGAAGCTATAGGGATGATATAAAGCAACATGAGGTTTCTAAACATCACTAAACATACTGATGTTAGTATCAGTAGACTGCAATAAATTATGTATATACAGTTTAATACCTATAGCATATACTGAGAGCTGTCCAAACAGATACACTAATGAAAAACACAAACTAAAAAGAAATAAAAAACAAAGTCTGAAAATTGCTTAACTAACTCACAAGAAGGCAAGTAAAAGAAAACAAAGAAAAAATAACCCAGGTAAAACAATCAGAAAACAAAAAATAAAATGGCAGATTTAGGTCTTAACATATCAATAATTACATTAAATGTGAATAATCTGAGTACACAAGTAAAAATACAGAGATTGGCAGAATTGATTTAAAAAAAACCACATTGTCCAACTATATGTTCTCTAAAAGAAACTCATTCACATATGATATAGATAGGCTGAAAGTAAAAGGATGCAAAAAGATACACTATGCAAAAATAATCAAAAGGGAGCAAGAGTGGCTTAATTAATATCAGGTAAAGTAGATTTTAGGGCAAATAAAATTCAGAGACAGAGGGGCACATTGCATAATGATAAAAAGATCAGTCTGCCATGAAGATACAGTGATCCTAAATGTATATATACCAAACAACATAGCTGCAAACTGTGAAGCAAAAACTGATAGAATTGAAAGGAGAAATAGACATATCCATAATTAAAGTTGGAGACTTCACCCCTGTCACAACAATTAATATAACAACTATACAGAAGATGAGCAAAGATATATTAATAAAAGAAAGCAACAAAATCACTAACAGGAACTAATTGATATTATAGAACACTCCACCTAACAATAGCAGAATACTCATTCTTTTCGATGTTCAAGGCACATATGCCAAGATAGACCATATCTTGGGCCATAAAACAAATCTCAACCAACTTAAAATAATTGAAATAATAGTGTATAGTAATGCGTTCTCTGAATATGATAGACAATAGAATCAAACTAGAAATCAGTAATAGAAAGATAATGGAAATCTCCAAACACTTAGAAACTAAACAACATATTTGTAAATCCATTGGTAAAACAGGAAGTCTCAAGAAAAAGTAAAAAAACCCCATGAAATCAAATGAAACTAAAAGCATACCATATCAGAACTTGTGGGACATAGCTAAGGCAATGCTAAGAGGAAAAGTTATAGCACAAATGCTTATACTGGAAAGGAGGAAAAAATTCCAAATCAATAATTTAAGCTCCCACCTCAATAAACTGGAAGATAAAAATGAACTGAGGAAGTAGGAGGAAGGAAATAATAAAGATATGAGTAGAAATCAATGAAATAAAAAATAGTAAAATAGAGAAAATCAATAAAGAGCTGGTTCATTGAAAAGATCAATAACATTGACAAACCTAGCAATACTGATAAAAGAAAAAGAATACACAAATTAATATCAGGAATGAAACAGGATATCACTAGATGCTTGTAGACATCAAAAGAATAATAAAGAAGTATTACAAATAACTCTTTATACATAAATTCGATAAGAAACTACTAAAACTCACTATGAAACATAATTTGAGTAGTTCATTAATTCTTAAGAAAATTGAATTCATAGTTTAAAACCTTGTTAAAAAAATCTGGCCCCGATGGTTTCACTACATAATTCTACCAAATGTTTAAAGAATTAAACCCAATTCTGCATAATTATACAGAAAATAGAAGAGGAGGGTACACTTGCCAGTCTTACCAGTTCATTCTATGAAACTGATAGCGCCTGATAGCAAATCCAAAGACAGTGCCCCCTGCTCCAAAAAAAAAAAAAATTATAGATCAATAAAAAAACAAGTTTAAACTTTTGAAGGTGATGGATATGTTTATGGCATTGATTGTGGTGGTAGTTTCACTGGTGCATACTTACTGCAAACTCATAAATTTGTATGTGTTAAATATGTACATCTTTTTGTATGTCAATCATACCTTAATGAATTGCAACTGTCAGTCATTTGCTAGTTAGCTCTCAAAGCTTTCAGCCGCCATTCTCACCCGTCTGTGTTCTATGATTACGTATGGTCAGGGTGCCAGGACCTTGCAAGTGACTTCTCCCAAATTTCACCTGGCTTCTAGTTAGGTCCTACCAATTGGTGATCCTGGGGAGAGACTGGAAGACAGAATATAGGTAGGAGTTACTTTTTTTTAAATTTTTTTTTAATTTTCATTTACAGCTTCCATTGACATTTGTCCAGCAACAGCAGGCAGCTATAGAAGGCAGCGTGTGTGTGTGTGTGTGTGTGTGTGTGTGTGTGTGTGTGTGTGTGTGTTTATGTGTATGTGTGTGTGTCAGTTCCAGCACATACTGCCTGGAGCCTTTTTCTTGGTCTCAGTAGTACCCAGCAGTCTCAGCTTTAGTCAGGTTCTCCTCATAGTCCCAGCACGGCAGTTCAGCACTCTTCTGCACTTCTGGGCTCTGGTAATACAACCACCTCTACCTTCCACCTCTAGTCATGACCGTTGCATTATCTAGTTAGTTACTAGTCTTTGGGTTGCCTCACCACCCTTTTACTCATTCAGTCATTTTGAAAACTGTATGATCAATTCCCTGTATTAAGTTCTTCTGTTTGAAATTCCTAGAGTGTTTCTATTTTCTGACTTGACCCTGGCTAATGCATCAGTATTGGGTGAAACAGATCTAGTGCTCTGTGTTATGCGAATCACTCCATAGCGAAAAGGCAATATTCTTTCCATTTCTTGATCTCAAAGCTGAGCCATCGTTCCTAGAGGTTTTCTTTTGGCCCTCAGTCCCCTGGGATGGGAATGTCACGTCACATTGGCACACAGTTCTCTGTCTTGCAAGAGAGGGACGCTTGGATGCTGATACCATTATTTTTTTTTTCTAGAAATATCCACCTGAACAGGCTAAATAAAAACAAAGATACATTTGTCCACAGGCTCTCATACATTAAATCATTCTGAATTGGTGTTTCCTAGACAGTTTTTGATTGTATGTTCCTGGAAAAAAATGGGGAGATAAACATAGAGCTCAACTTCTTAGTTTTACCAAGGAAGCATGTTAAAAGGCAGAAACAGTAGTATCAGTTATCACAGTCATATTATTACCAAAAACACAGCTTAGTAAAAAAAAAATTATAGAAATGGATAGTATTTTAAATTTCGTATGCCATATAAAATCTCACCATTTGTCCTTAATTATTAAAAAAAATACCATGCTCTATTAATAATTTTCACTGGTCTGGTGTGTGGGAAATCCTGCTGGATAACTTAATGTTTATTCTGTAGCACATATAGAGTGCATCCTAGAAACATTTCTACTTGTAAGTTGATTGAAACAGCACTGTCCTAGAAAACTGATGCTTGTTAATTTGAAGATATGTGTCCTCTTTTTTTGTTTGTTTTTTGTTTGTTTGTTTGTTTTTTTAAGACAGAGTCTTCCTCTGTCACCAGGCTGGAGTGCAGTGGTGTGATCTCGGTTCACTGCAACCTCTGCCTCCCGGGTTCAAGTGATTCCCCTGCCTCAGCCCCCCAAGTAGCTGGGACTACAGGCGCATGCCACCATACCCGGCTAGTTTTTTGTATTTTAGTAGAGACCGGGTTTCTGGTCACGATCTCCTGACCTCGTGATCCACCCACCTTGGCCTCCCAAAGTGCTGGGATTACAGGTGTGAGCTACTGCGCCCAGCCATGTCCTCTTTTTTTAGAGTTGCTAAGCACAAGTTGAAGGTGGTGCTTTTATGAGACACTGAGAATCCGTGTCTCCAGGAATCTGTATTCATTAATGCCTAGGTGTAAAACTACAGTATAGAGTTGGGGAAAGGGAAATTCCAGAGTATTCTCTGAACACTCAGAGGTGGAAACTTTGGGAGTATCTGGAGAAAGTCCCCCTGACTCAGGTATTTGCTTCCTCATAATGGATTCCAAGTGACAACAGTGATATTCACCCAGGTAACTTTGCAGGCTCACAAGCCAGTGCAAAACATGTCAGGTGCTGTATGGTGATGGTACAACAGAGAGTTTGCAAGCACACCTGAGACTCTCCCTTTAAATCCTCTCAGATGTTCTTCTGGATGAGGGGCTTTGAAAAAGAAGCATAAGATGCTCTGTTGGCTTGTGGGGTAAGAGTAGGAACTTGGTTTGATTGATGTTGATGTGACTTCATTTACATCCACCGAGGTGAGCACTGAGCAGTGCTTGATTAATACATGGAATATACGGTATCAGGTAGATTTTGATGCATAACAAACTACCTCACAACATAGTAATATAAAACAATGAACATTTATTGTTTCTTCTACTTTTGTAAGTTAACTGGGCAATTCCTGTGCTCTGTGCTGGCTTGACTGGGGCTGGATGGCTCTACATGTCTGTGGCCTCCAGTAGAATGCCTGGAAATACTGAGTTTAATGGGATCTTTTTCCATGTGGTCTCATTTTCCAGGAGGCTAACCCATGATTTCACATGTGGTGGTTTCGGTGCCCAGCAGCAAGAGAGGGCAAGTATTTTTTGAGCCTCTGAATGCATCATGTTTGTTAATTTTCTGTTGACTGAAGCATCCATTGGTTTGCATGAGCTCATGTGACACAATGGATTCATCATCCAGATTCTCAGCATTGCTGTTAAGTTTCTAGGTGGTAGAGGTGGATTCCATCATTGGTAAGAAAATGTTTGTCTTCTCTGGCAAGCATCACTTGTGAGTCACCATTTTTAGTATTGCGCCATTTATGAAGCCATTGTCTTTCAGCTCGAAACCCAACCTTACATACCCCGCTTTGTGATTCCAGGGGCTAGAGCCCTGCAACCCCCATGTTTGCTTGGCCAGCAGGCTCCCTATGAAGCTCTGCCAATAGGGTCCACTAGAAGGATAGTGAAAGGTGGAGAGAAAAAAATGTCATGCCCTTATGGTCTGCTTTTTTTTGTGTGTGTGTATTTCCCATCAGCTTCTTTTTTTTTTCCCAGTGAGCCTCATTCCAGCATCATTTTGCCACTCTGTCTGTGGAAGTTTCTTCCCACAGTGGCAGTGGAATCCCATCTGAGGTTTTCCTGACATCTTCAGGACCAGCTTCATCATGTTGCATTCAGGTAGACCAGTGCCAGCCACCTAGCACTGCCTCCTCAGAGCCCCGAGTTGGGCTCCTTCTCCAAAACCCCTAGTTTTAATAATTCCAACCTCTTCTCTTTATTCTCCTAGTCATGGGGTGGTTGGCACTTACTTGAAATATTAGGGTTCTTTTTATCTTTTCGGTTAGCTGGTTAACAGTTCTTTCCACTCAGTTAACAATTCTTTATGTGAAATTTTCTGTTATGTTAACTGGTATAGTTTATGTTTTCTGACTGAGCCTTGACTAATTCAGGGAGGAAGAAGAAACAGGGAGGGGAAACTGGGTTGAAATATTCAAGGCGTCAGGGTGCGGTGGCTCATGCCTGTAATCCCAGCACTCTGGGAAGCCGAGGTGGGCGGATAACTGAGGTCTGGAGTTCGAGACCAGCCTGGGCAACATGGCAAAACCCTGTCTCTACCAAAAAACCAAAATATTAGCAGGGTGTGGTGGTGCGTGCCTGTAGTTCCAGCTACTGGGGGCTGAGGCAGTACAATCGCTTGAACCCAAAAGGCACAGGTTGCAGTGAGCCGAGTTGGTGCCACTGCACTCCAGCCTTGACGACAGAGTGAAGGTGTATCTTGGGGGGAAAATAAAATCAAGACATCACTGGTTTTCTGCCATCAGTTTCTTAATTCCAATGGCAAAGTATTGAAGACGTCACCTAACTCATTGTAGGAGGCTAGCATAACCTTGATAGCAAGACCCAACAAGGATGGTGTGAGAAAGGGAAAACAACAGCCTATCTCTCTCAGAAACACAGATGCAAAATCAAAAACAAGATGTTAGCAATTTGTATAAAGGTAACAATTTGTGTAAAGGATACTGTTTTATGACCTGGCCTAGTTCCTGGCATGCAATGTTGGTTTAACATTAGAAAATCAATTAATATATAATTAGTTATACATTATTGTTTAAAAGAGAAAAACATATAATAATTTAAATAGTTTCAGAAAAAGAATTTGATAAAATGTATTATAGCCAATGTAAGAGTTTTTAGCAAACTAGGAATAAAAAGAAACATCTTTTTATCTGATAACTAATATCTAAGAAAAACCTGCAAAAACCATCATTCTTAATGGCTAAACAGTAAAAGACTTTCCCTTTGAGATCAGAAAAAAGATAAATGTGTATCTATCGTCACTTGATTGAACACAGCACTGGAGGTCCTAGCCAGTGTGACACGGCAGGAAAAAGAAATAAAATGTATAGGATCATAGAGGAAGAAATGAAACTATCATTCTTCATAGATGATTATATTGTGAACGTAGAAAATCCAAAAGAATCAATTGAAAAATTAATTAAATTAGTAAAGACTCAGCAAGGTTGCTGAAAACACAATAAATATGGAAAAATAAACCACATTGCTATATATTAGTAACAAATAGAAAATAAATTTTTATGTATATACCATTTCTAAGTGTATCAAAAATATAAAGAACGTAGGAATAAGTCTAATCAAAGTTGTATAAAGCCTGTTATCTGAAAATCGAATTTTATTGAACAACTTTCAAGAGGATCTGAATATGTGGAGAAATATGGCATGTTCATGAATGATAACAGTTCTCCCAAAACTGATCTACAGGTTCAGTGCACTCTCAATCAAAATTCCAAATTGATACAAGAAATGTCGGTAGAAATGCAAAGGATGAAGTGTTGCCAGGAAGCTTTTAAAAGAAAATATGTTTGGGAACTTCCTTACCAGATGTCAAGATATATCACTGGACCACATTGATACAAGTGTAGAAATGGTATAGGTATAAACAGGCCGATGGAACAGAATAGAAAACTGAGAAATAGACCAACCTATGTTTATACATTTCATATATAGACTTGAGGGGAAAGGAGAAAACTTTAAGTAAATGATGCTAGGACAATTGGTGATCTGTATGAACAAAAAAGAAATTAGACCTCTACCTTATGGTATACAAAATAACCAATTCCAAGTGGAACAAAGCCCTAAAGATGTAATAGACAAAGCAATAAAGCTTTTATAAGATAATTATTCATGACCTCAGGATAGGGGAAATTTTCTTAACCAAGGCACAAAAACACTAACCATAAGGGATAGATGTAATAAATAGAACTACATTAAAATTAATAACTTAACATTCATCATAAGATACCGTAAAGAGAGTGAGAAGTAAAACCATCTCATGGGGAGAGATATTTGCAATATATTCAAGTGACAAATAAGTAGTATCCAGAAAATATAAAGAATTCTGGCAAAGGAATAAGAAAAAGACGAATCCAATAGACCCTTCACAAAAGGACAAACCCCACTGGCTAATAAACATATGAAAAAAATGCTTAACCCCACTGGTAATCAGGGTACTACAAATTAAAACCAGAAAGGGAGATCATTACGCACATTCATACTGAACATACATATTTTATGCTTTTCTGTATATGTGATATACTTCATGGTTAAAAAATGCATGAGTGTACCTCACGTATTTTTTATTTGTCTTGTAGTACCTAATATGGAAGTCACAGAATCCAGAGTGTGAACATGGAAGCTACAAAGTTGCTTCTTTTGAAATTTACTTTCTCACAAAAGTTTCTTAAAGAAGTAGTTTTCTGTTTATTCACATGTATATAAATGTTGATGTTAATTATGAATGAAAGTTAGATCAGTTCATTTCAGATTTGGCATAGTGCTGTATTAAACCCTCAGGAGGCATCGGTCCTAGCCCAGCTATTTTCGTGGTTCTCAGAAGCTTACCATCCCTGGCCTAGGAATTTTTTCCAGTGGGTTGCCACCATCACGAAAACCTCTGCCTGTAATCCTCAGAACAACTTGCAACCTGGTGAGCACAGAGTGCCCCAGAACATGTTGCTAGAAGCTCCTCTCCATTTGCCACCCCGAGTGGAAACTCCATTTTGTCACTTCAACATCGATGCTATTCCTTTGGGGAACAAAATTTCCACTTATGAAAAAGAAAAGCAACAAAACAGCAATTATGTAAATAGAATGGAAGGCAACCAGTAGTGTCCTGTTTGAGGTAATTTTCCCATAATGAGCGTTGGGGGAAGGAAGAGAATGGGCAGGACGGGAGGTTAAAAATTGGAAACTGTGTGTGTGTACGTAATAAGCTTGCACAGAAGGCAGATGCACATTGTGGAAGTCATGTATAGGGCACTAATCTGTGACAGAAAGATTTACATAATATTCTTTCAGGGCAGGTTCCCCATTTTAAAAAGATGGTGAAATGCAGACAGCATGCCTGACTTTAATCAATCTAAATCAGGTAAATAATTTGCACTCTCAGATGAACCCCCCATCCCACTACCCACCCGCATATCCTCACTCGCTTAATGGATCCATTACAGCTTAGAGGGTAAAGAGAACTGAAGTTACCCTGACATGTACGTGCAACAGAAGTTGAACGTAAGAAACACGGCATTTCAAAAGGCAGAATGGTACTGATAGGCTTTTGCAATTTTGCTCTTGTAGATCATAATTAAGAATTGGAGCACTTATAAGGAGAAGAAAAAATATCCCTAAATCGTGAAAGAAATGTTGTTTTAAACAACCTCGCCCCTTCCCCCAAACAAACAAACAAAAAAACTGACTTAGAGGACTCTGGGTGAAATGGCATGCTGTATTCTGCCCACAGTGAGTCCCTGTGGTAAGATGAACATTACGTAAAACGTAGACCAGTAACCCTCCTCTGGCTGTGAATTTCCATTAGGTCCTGGGATGCCTCCTGGCAAAAGAAGAAAAACAAGACTGTAAGATGCTGTTCACTCCGTGTGATGTCACTTAAAACAGGATAGGGACGAAGTCCAACTGCCTTCTTTTAAATGTGATGACAATTCTTACATTTTAAGCTTACCCTGCTTTCATTCATAAACACCTCTCTTGTCTGTTATTCTTTCCATGACATTCGTATAACTTGGAGTAGCCTCTTTCTCTGCTTGTAAATGGGTACTGGTCTCTTGTGTGTGTCTGCATCTGGTGCAGGGAGGCTCATGTACTTGCTCCAGCAGCCCCAGATCCTAGAAGTACTAGATGTACGGTTCCTAACTTTTTACTGCACAGTAGCCAAGAGCTGTTGCAAAATCCTGACTTGGAATACTTAATACCCTGTCTCTATTACGCAAGTTTCAATTAACCTACAAACCTCTTGGTTAGTGTGATGCTTAACTACAGCTAGAGTAATTAACTGCCTATAATTACTTCATAAAGCAATTGAAAGTATTGTTTCACATGCGTGGAAATGTAAAAAAAAAAAAAAAACTTTAAGATTGGTTTCTTCCATTGAGTACTGTACATGAAATATATTATTCATTGTATATGTATGAGTTTTTTTTTTAGGTAAATACAAAATATTGAAAGGGAAGCAAGCCATAGAATATACTCAAAACACCACCAGTGTTGTTGGTGGTTTTCAATCTTTTCGCTTTCTCTTTAGATGACGAATACAGGTACAAAAAAATGAGATGAGCACAGGAGAGAATTCTAATCAGGTTCAAAAAACAAAAAAAAATGCAGTTTATGTGGTAGGTGAGTCTGATTTGCCAGGGAACATTCCTGTTTCAGATGTGACTGTCAATTAATACTGCACATTTATCATCATAAAATGTTTATTTTGACTTTTTATTTTTAAAGAAAGGCAGAAATTTATATATGTTTTCACACATACTTACATACACATAGAGGGCAAAGCAAGGAGCTGTCTCTCTGGGGTAGGTATCACTTGCCCCTGCTTGGAAGAAAAAGCTTTCTCAATGGGATTACGTCTCCTCTCATAACCTATCATTGTCTGATCAGAAATTCATAACGCAGCCCATCTATTGCATAGCTCAGCCAGGGCTGCAGGATTGCATTTAAATAGGCAAATGCAGACTTGGGCGTTGACAGTCTCTCCGTCTCTCTCAATCTTGCTCTTTCTCCTGTCCTCCTTCTAATCATATTGTCTCCCTTTTCCTTTTTCTATCTTATTTTTTTAAAAAAATTCCTTCACCCACCACCATTTTAGATTAGGCATGAACTAACGTGATGAGAAGTTGTCAGGAAATGGAGAATGGATGGTGAGTGGAGAGGCAGAGGAGGGAGGAGGGGAGAATGAGATGGAGGAAAATTGTAAATTGTTGCTGTCATACCCTTGCTGGGACAGTAAAACCTAGTTGCATTTTTTTCTTTTTTCTCTCTCTCTCTCTTTTTTTTTTTAAAGGAAATATTTCAGGATAAATTACGTAGCAGGCAGCCTTCTCCAACCAGCAAGATATCTGCGTATATAAAGTTTACATATGTCCCTTATTATCCCTCTTCTTTTTGTGGGGTTGATAATGAAGAAAATGCATTTGAATCTGTACATTGTCAATCTTGGCTTCCTTTGGTCTCCTGGCGACCCAGGGAGTCAATTCTGCAGAGTTGTAATCTGATGACATTTAACTTGGGTCTGATAAAGTCGTAATTCAGATTCTCTCTTCCCACTCTTTCTTCTCATCTTCTCCCACCCCAATAAATAGAAATCAGATTTAAGTCCAAAAACTACAGTGGAAGGAAAACTTGTTTAATTGATAACATGTTAAAGCTATCCGTAGAACTTAAATGTTGCACGTTGCAGGCTTTTGTGTTCAGACAGATGGCTGAATGTTAATCAGACTGGTTGGGCTTTCCTGCAAATGACTGAAAAATGAAAATTGCTGCGAAAACCCTGCCTTTTGTCCTGCCTCCCTTCCTAAAGGAGGAGGGAAAATTCATTCAACTTCCTGCCAGATTGCTAGCTTTTAAAAGTCATGCTCCCTCCCTCTCCCACCCCCTGTCTCTTCATTGGGCTGGAAAGTGAGTCTTGAGCTATGAGTTTCATTGTGAGGTTTTTGCTAAAATTCCTCTCTTCGTGGCTACTTCCAGAGAATTAGATCCCTGGATTGTAAGGTTTCTGTCAGTAATGGTTAGTTAAAAAAGGAACGTTTATAAGTATTTATTTTTTTAAATCACCATCAATTTACTGGTATTTAAATTTCCTCCAGCAGGCAAACTCCAAATAAATTTTGTCCACATGGGAAAACATATGGTATGAAGGGTATTGCACCACTTGTAACAAATACCTCAGCTTTAATAAAAATGATATTCTGCACGATAATGTTGTACTACTTCTGACGAGGGAAGGATGATATTGTATATTAAAAATGTGGCTGGCGGGGAGCGGTGGCTCACGCCTATAATCCCAGCACTTTGGGAAGCTGAGGCGGGTGGATTACGAGGTCAGGAGATTGAGACCATCCTGGCTGACACAGTGAAACCCTGTCTCTACTAAAGCATACAAAAAATTAGTTGGGTATGGTGGCGGGTGCCTGTAGTCCCAGCTACTCGGGAGGCTGAGGCAGGAGAATGGCACGAACCCGGGAGGCGGAGGTTGCAGTGAGCCGAGATTACGCCACTGCACTCCAGCCTAGGCGACAGAGCAAGACTGTCTCAAAAAGGTGGCTAAATATATTCCCTTTAAGAATTATCTCCATGTGAGTGTTATAACCTCATTTCTGTCTTAGGATGTTAAAAACTCATTGGCTTTAACTGATGAGGGATTTGGTAACCAGGAGAAAAATAATCAGAAGCGGATGCCAGTTGTCCGGTGAACTACTGACATAATAGGATTTCCTGAATTTACTCTGTGACTGCGTTTTTTTCCGGAGGTGTCCACTAACTTGTAGGCACTTGACCCATGGAGTATTCAGTTAGTGCAATATTTGGCCCAGTTGCTATGGAGAAAAACGTAAACCAAAGTCACTAAAGACCCAAATAAGTCTCCTTTTTTTCTGAGGTTTGCATTGATAAAGAAGGGAGCTCTTATACTTAAGATGCTTGCCATTTTCTCTGTCATTTCAGGGTCTGATGAGCCCCTGGATGTTGCTATTTTCTCAGGAAGGGCTAAATGGTACATTTCTGGTGGGTCAGGGTTTTATAGATTTTTTTCTTTTAAAATAACAGCTTTATTGAGATATAATTCACATACAATACAATTCACCCATTTAAAGTGCACAATTCAGTGGTTTCTGGTATATTCAGAGTTGTACAACCATCATCACAATCAGTTTTAGAACATTTTCTTCACCCAACAAAAGGAAATCTCATACCTATTAGCAATAACTCCCTGTTTCCTCCCAACCACCCCCATTCCCTGCTTCCCATCCCTAGGTTATGCCCTAGACTTTCTGTATCTGTGGATTTGCTTCCTCTGGACATGGGCTGTAAATCGAATCATACAATACCAGGTCCTCTGTGACTGGCAGATGTGGTTCTAAACATTTCTTGGGACATCAGCTTCTTTGGGAGTCCAGAAAGATGTATATGCACACAAATATTGAGAACAGTGTTGGGGGCAATTGCCCCTCCTAACATCTGCAGACCGCCACATAAGAGCCCCACTCACTTGGCGGAAACACTCTTTGTTCATATGAGCAGAGAGATTCAGAGGGGAGGAAGTGATAGAGAATGAAAAGAGGCCCTTGAAGCTGGCCTGTGGGAAGCCTTGTCTTCCCTGCCCTGGAAGTTTTCCTGTTTTCCAGTACTATGTACTTTCTACCTTGATACATTCCAGTAAAGGAAAAGACCGGTAGAGTCTACCTATGGCTTTCCCGAAGCCACAGATATTCATTGCCTGCCTTTAGTAATTGCTGGGATTCACAGTAAAGTCATGTATTTGATACTAGAGTCCTTCAGCCTAAAGCAAATTAAGATGGGTCTGAAAGAAGTACAAATCGTAGATACAGTTTTATGTCTCAACTATTTGCCATTTAATTCACCTCTGCTCTAAGCCAACTAAAGGTAAAAAAGACATGAAAGCTTTGGCAGTGCTTTAGGATTCTTTTCTAGTCCATAGGCAGGCAGGTAAGCAGGTAGGTAGGTATTAAGGCAATAGATAGATAGGCAGAAAGGCAGGCAGGCAGGTAGATAGATAGGCAGGTAGGTAGATAGGCAAGTAGACAGGCAAGTAGATAGATAGGCAGGTAGGAGGCAGAAAGGTAGGTAGGTATTAAGGCAGGTAGGTAGATAGGCAGGTAGGCAGGTAGATGGATAGGCATGTAGGTAGATAGGTGGATAGGCAGGTAGATAGATAGGCAGGTAGGCAGGTAGGTAGATAGGCAGGTAGGTAGGTAGATGGATAGGCAGGTAGGTAGATAGGCAGGTAGGAGGCAGAAAAGCAGGCAGGCAGGTAGGTAGGTATTAAGGCAGGTAGGTAGGAAGAAAGGCAGGCAGGCCGGTAGGTAGGAAGGCAGGCAGGTAGGTAGGTAGGTGGGTGGATATATAAATAGATGAACAAATAAGTAAAAGCCATAGGCAGAGGTCCAAATATGCTTTTTAGGAATCTAGGGGCTGCCTCTTTGCCAAGTGGCCATTGGTTACCTATTTACACATACTTTTTTTCTCTTGCTAGCTTCCCGTAAGCTGGCTATGTCGGTAAAAAGATAGTCTGTCTCACTCTGCTTAAGCTTCTTATGTATCCAAGCCTGCCCACTGAAACTCTAAATGTTCCACTTTTAGAGCAGAGTCTGCCAGCAGCCACATAACAGTCTGGCATCTTTTGCAGACTTTCTTTGCCATCCAGGAATCATGCAAGTGTGGCCAGCCCATTCGGCTGTTCTTAAGATTGCTTCTCACACACACTCTCCCATTTCCTAGTTCAGACTGTCTGACATTCTCAGCTTCCAAGTAAGCTGCCTGGAGAGAAGCCCAAGCACACAACTGTGTCTTTCCTCTATGGTTTTATCCAGAAGGGAGTTACAGCACAATTTAAACGCATCAAACTATCTTAGTTTGTGGGGAAAAAGATCTAGCCAGGTAATGCACGTTGTTTTATCAATGGTCCTTTACTGTTTGTTTTCTTTCCTCTATTACTTCCTGCGTACTTTGGTTGTTTTCTTTTGCACATTCATTTTTTTTCTTACCCTGGGAATCTTATTTTTATTTTAAGAGCAACAGAATTTGTTGGAAAACCAATTTTACACACACAATGAATCTTTATCTCCATATTATTATAAGCAAGAAGTAGTAGGAAATACATGGGACAGAAAGCACAATGAATTTATTTCTCATTTTCAGCTATAAGCTAGGGCCTAATTCTGTCTAGAGATTGATTAAAAAGAAATACTGGGTTTTGCAGTATTCTAGCAGGGTGGGCATATACCTAGGGTACAAAGCTGGCTATCCATCACCATTTCCCTCCTCACTGTCTCGGTTTTGTAACTGAGGAGCAGGGCAGGAGCCTGGGTTTGTGGTCAACCTGAGCTTCCTCTAGGTCATGGCAACTGGAATTTTTATCTATTTAAGGACACCCTCATCAATGATTGCCTTTACCAAAGGCAACACGAATCATGTGTTTTTTTTTTGTTTTGTTTTTTGTTTTGTTTTCCCCTTTTTTTTCCCACTATGTCAAATGGGAAATTAAAAACTGTAAAAATCTGGGGGATGAAAGAAATTCATGTATGTGTCAGGAGGCAAGTACACAATTCACAACTCACCTTCTGAGATGATGTCAGTTGAGGTTCCTTTGCCATAGTGAAGAAGTTGTTGATTCAGATAAGCCTAGCAGAGAAGTTTACCAACATGATGACTGCAAGGTTACGCAGATGTCAATGGATTTTATCACTTATTTTGTCCTTTGAGATTTAAATGGATGGCTCAATAGCATATCCTCTAGGAAATCCAAAGTCCCCACCAAAAATGCAGTTAATTCTGGGGCTCGTGTTTCTGTGGCTCTTTCCAGCTCTAGGAGCTTGTTCCAGTGAGTTCCTGGTTCCCACATTGACTGCACTCTACCTGGCCTTTTCTTTCTTTTCTGCATTTCAGAAAATGACTTCCGCCAGCCTTGCCAGTTTTCCTCCAAACCACTCATAGAAGACATGTGTGAAGAACTTCAAAAAAAATTTTTTTTTAATTTTGTGGTGACAACTCAATAATGAATGTTACATACACACATTCTGGGAAGATGTTTGGCCAATGAACACCAGAAATTTCTGACTTCCTTTCTTTGATGGCTTCGGTCTTCTGCCATGTTGCCCAGCTTTTTCTTCCTCTACTCCACACCATTCTCATTTCTTCTCTCCTCCTTCCCACCTCTTAACTTCTATGTTGGTATGTGAAAAGTGGTTTAGTACGTTTTTTGGTGGTTGTGTCTACTTTTCAATTGAGCTCATCTTCAACATGCAGAATGGTATATGAAAGGATTTCCTACTTGAAGACGGGTCAGTCCATAGCATGAATGCTACTGGTTGTTGTTAAAATTAAAACCATTCTGCTGAATGGTTCCATTAGAAGTGCAGATATTAAGGCAGAGCAAAATCAAGCCACACTCCTCCCGCCACCACTAACAACTTTGGAGGATTCTTGCCATGAGTCCTTGGGTAGTTCTACTTGTGACCATTAAATATGACATTTATAGTTTCTATAGTGCGTCAGTGAGTTGATTTTAAATCACTGAAATATTCTCATTTGAATTCTTAAAGTGGAAAAGAAACATTTTTCCTCCAAGAGTTGAGAACAATTGAAGCTACAAAGAAATAATAAAAGGAAGGAACTGTTTGAAGGTTCCAGAAGTAAATATGAAAAGGTATTTTTGGATCCTGCTAATGAATAAAAATGTGTCTGTTGAAGCCAATATTCAGAATTCCTCAGGCTAGTTGTGAAGCTTTATAAATGAATAAGTAAATAAGTTTTGTGGATGACAAACATGAAAGAAAAAATCCAAATCCATTTGGAAAATAATTTGAAACTAAACTTCTTACAGAAAATGAAATTTCAAAGGAATCTGGACAATAATTGGCTACATAAAGTAGAGGAAAATGATCAGTGTTTGAAAATTCACAAACCTCTAAAAAGGGTACTGTCTCTCAGTTGTTACTAGTTTATCTCTACAAAGATAAAACATGACATAGAAATAATAAATGAAAGTATAAAGATAAAAATAACATCAGAATTAAATGAAAACAAATCCCAGGCAAAATTTTTGCTAAGATGAAAATAGACTGTTCGATTCAGCCCTGCCCTTTGTATTTTGGATTCAAATTTGGCTTAGTTGATTTTCTGATCAAGTACAAATCAAATGTAGAAAATCAGAATTGAAAGATTTTTAGAGCCCGAATGCAAATACTTTCATGTGTGATTCAGATTTGTTTTCCTGGCCAGAAGCCTGCTGGTTTTCATCTGTATTTCTACATGGCTGAAGCTTCAGTCTTCTCAGTTTTTAAAACCTGGTAAGAATTACTTGCAGGTTAGCAGAGATTTCATGATGTCATCAAATATTTTTTGATGAGAACTCCTGGACGTCTCATACCCACCCTATCTTCACATGAATATTTCAAGTAGGTGAGAGTGTGAAATACAAGGCTTAATCTCTTGTTCAAACATTTCGAAAGGTCTAGGCATGTAAAACGTGCACACACTTTGGAAAGGGCTTCAATGCTGTTGAAAACTGGTCTAGTTCAGCATGCAAAGCAGTTGATGGATCTATATGGTTGCTGTGTACATACCTTACTGTCCAGTGGGATTCCTTCAGAAAATATGTTGTAAGGTAATACAAAGTGAGTTCTGGCCGGGTGTGGTGGCTCATGCCTATAATCCCAGCACTTGGTAGGCTGAGATGGGTGGATCATTTGAGGTCAGGAGTTCTAGACCAGCCTGGCCAACATGGTGAAACCCTCGTCTCTACTAAAAATGCAAAAATTAGCTGGGCATGGGTGGCACACACCTGTAATCCCAGCTACTTGGGAGGCTGAGGCAGGAGAATCACTTGAGCCTGGGAGGCGGAGGCTGCAGTGAGCCAAGATCACACCATTGCACTCCAGACTGGGAGACAGAGTGAGACTCTGTCTCAGAAAAAACAAACAAACAAACAAACAAACAAACAACAAAGTGAGTTTGTTTAAAGAGAACTTCAGTACTTTCAACAGAACACAAAAGAATTGTATTACTCCAGGGCTCACCATTAAACTGAATCATAACCAAGTTGGTTTGGTAGAAATGTACCATTTTCAGTATATGTGTCTGGTTTTTGAAACCTTTGAATGAATGTTTGTTTTGTTTGTTTGTTGTTTGTCTCTAGGTAGACGTGTGTATGTGGGTGGGTGTTGGGTGTTAATTATGGTAAATTGATGATGATAGACATTTGTTTAGCTGACAGAGCCACTGAGCAAAGTTCTATTTATGGTCAGGGAAGATACAGAAGCAACAGCAGGTACAACACAAGTAAACCAATGCCATGTCTACCATGCCTGGTCTAGAGGGATATGATGGAGTGTCAGTCAATCACTAGAAATTCCCAACCTTAGAGTGAGTGGTATATACTCATTAGCCATCCCCAATGTCTTTGGTTGGCTGCTAGTGAGAAGTGTTTGGATCCTGCAGCTTTATGAAATACAGAACTCATGCCCCATGTTTTCAATTGTTACCCTGCTCGGTAAGCATAGCATTCATTTGTTCTTCTTGAACATTCTGCCTTTGTATCAGGTTCATTTGTTCTTCTCCTTGAACATTCTGCCTTTCTATCAGGTTCCAGGTAGCTTTTCCTTAACTGCAAAATGCCCTGCCCCAACCCTAGAGAGTACATTTTTATTAAAATGTCCCTGAATATGTCTATTTATATACGTTGTGTTCACTACGAGTATTTGAGGGGAAGCTTTGATCCTAGTGAAAATGGCCATGAGTGTCCATCACAGCTGGTGACCTGTAATTCAAGTAAGTTCCCTGACCCATAAGGAAAGCTGCAGGGGAAATCACTCAAGGCAGTCAGTGTGTTGATCCCTTGCCAGAGGGAATGGCTATAATGGTGGCTTCATCCTCTAGAGAAGCGAGTAGTTCTTGAGTTTTAGGGGCCATAGTCTCCTTCGAGAATCTGATAAAAACTGTACTTACTCCCCCCCCAATACCCCCCACATTTTGCAAAGTAATTCAGGGGACTCTTTACAGTCTCTGAGGCTCATCAGTATTCCTATTAAGGTAAAACTGTTCAGGTTAAGACACTTTCATTTAAAGAACCCACACATTGAACAATCTGTGTATTAAGATAAAATTTCATTTTTGGAAATTATCAAGTTGAGTGGCCATGATAAATGACCATCATATTTTGTGTATCTTGGTTTATCCCACTTCCATATCCTGCTTCTGCTTCTTTCCCGATCATTCTCTGATTTTGGTTCTCCTCTAACTCTCAGCTCTGCCCCATGTGGATATTTGACTCCAATTTCTACCCAGGTTACTTTCTTATTCTAGTTCTTGCCATTGAAATATATATTCTATTCCTACTCAACTATGATTTATTCCATCTGTTTCCCACGTGCTGTGGTTTCAGTAGGGGACTTGACAAATCAGATGGCGGCACTTGGAAGAAAAGGGCTTTAGAATAGGTTAGGTAATTTTGGTAGTGGTCATTGTGCCACAAATAGAATGATCCCACTTTCATTTTGTCCATATCGAAATGCAAAGAAAGACGGTCGGGGGGAAGATGTTGTGGTGACATTTTACCGGCACAGAAGTTTTGATGTAAAAGAAAGAATATTGATGTTTTACCAAAAGTTTAATATATAATAAGTCACCATGCTACATAAACTATGATCCAGGAAATGAGGCACTGACTTTGTTTTCAAGGGTGTTTAACAGGAGCTTTTAGTTTTAGAATGAAAGTCTGATCATCCATAGTTGGCTCTTCAAGTTATTTAATTCTGTGCCACAATTTGAGGAGGGTCTGTGGAAACCAATGAACATAAAAACCAATGAAGTGTCCATTTCAAGATACACCTTATACACCTTAGAATTAAGCAACTTCAATCAATGGAAATCAATAGAACGTTAGGAAGGCCAAGGAAACTATCTGGCAGGAGAGCCATGAAGTAGTGAATTAACTTTTCATGCCAGGATCAGTATATTTCACTGCAGTCCTGGGGCTCCAGAGACTCACTCAGGTGAGTAACCTACATGTGATTTCTTGGTTTTTAACAACTTGAGGCCAATGTTCTTGTAAAACTGCTGTGTGATGCCATCTGCTCTAGGATCGGAGTAGGGACAGAGCTTACTTTGATGAACATAGGCTCCATCAGGCATATGTGAAACTTTCCCAAATAGGGGATATTATATCTTGGGTGCTTTCCTGAAGAGTGTTTGGTAGAGATTCTCTGTTGAGATTTTTGGTCAATGACTATGATATGTAATTATGACTCAGTACATCTGAATACTATAAATTATTTTAATAACTTTTATAACTTTATTTTATTTTATTTTATTTTTTGAGACGGAGTCTCACTCTGTTGCCCAGGCTGGAGTGCAGTGGCATGATCTCAGCTCACTGCAACCTTTGCCTCCCAGGATCAAGTGATTCTCCTGCCTCAGCCTCCCTGGTAGCGGGACCACAGGCGCCTGCCACCACTCTTGGCTAATTTTTGTATTTTTAGTAGAGACCATGTTAGCCAGGCTGGTCTCAAACCCCTGACCTCAAGTGATCCACCTGCCTCGGCCTCCCAAAGTGCTGGGATTACAGGTGTGAGCCACCGTGCCCCACTTATAACATCTCTTTTAAACAGTTTAAATATTAGGTTAATGATATGCAGTAAACAGCTTCTCATTTGATACAGCTTTTTAGAAGACTAAGAGTCTATCACCCATTTAATGCTAATTCTTGTCCACTAAAAAAAGAAATGACAGGAAATTTATATGATTTATAATATGAGAGATTTAGGCTAAATATCAGAAATAATTGTTAAAATCACACTAGCATATGAATGGCTAACATAAATGACATTTTCTGGAAGTCTTGAAACCATAACCATGGTTTTTATACTTGTCTGGGATGGCTTAAATGTGGCCCTGCCAAAATATCAGAGAATTTTTTAGTCAATTTTTCTGAGAATAATCTATTTTAAAGTATTAAAGGCCAGGCATGGTGGTTCACCCCTGTAATCACAGCACTTTGTGGGGCTGAGATGGGAGGATCGCTTGAGCCCAGGAGTTTGAGACTAGCCTGGGCAAACTAGTGAGACCCCATCTCTACAGAAAATGAAAAAAATTAGTGAGTACAGTGGCAGACACCTGTGGTCCCAGCTATTCAGGAGTCTGAGGTAGGAGGATCACTTGAGCCCAGGAGGTTGAGGTTGCAGTGAGCTGAGATTGTGTAACTGTACTATAGTCTGGGGAACAGAGTGATACCCTGTCTTAAAAAAAAGAAACAAACAAACAAAAATAAAACCCTGAAAATTGATCAAGGAATTAAAATATTCTTAGTTACACATATAGATCTCTAAGTTGCCTATGTACATTTTAAAAGTTATATTTTATAGTATTTGTCCTGTGCATATGAGCTCTTTGCAAATAATTTTGTGTATATAAAAGACACTATATATAGTATGAGAGGGAAGGTTTTAGGAAAAGGGGGCTCATGCCTTACATTAAAGTGTCATTTATATCCTTTACTGTCCTTGTAATATTGATGAAGATTTTATTGTATTTTTTTCACCATTAAAAACTCACATGGGCCGGACACGGTGGCTCACGCCTGTAATCCTAGCACTTTGGGAGGCCGAGGCAGGTGGATCACGAGGTCAGGAGATTGAGACCATCCTGGCTAACACAGTGAAACCCTGTCTCTACTAAAAATACAGAAAATTAGCCGGGCGTGGTGGCGGGTGCCTGTAGTCCCAGCTACTCAGGAGGCTGAGGCAGGAGAATGGCGTGAACCCGGGAGGTGGAGCTTGCAGTGAGGGGACATGGCGCCACTGCACTCCAGAGCCTGGGCAACAGAGTGAGATTCTGTCTCAAAAACAAAACAAAACAAAACAAAAAAACTCATACGTACACACCTCATTCCCAGTACAATGCCAAATAATTAATCAGAACAAGGGAGGTCTCATGAGATAAGAAACAGAAAAACCTCCCTGACTGTGTTGAGGAGAGAAAAGTGAAAGTGATATGTTCAGATTTTTGCAAACTTTCTAATTAATTAACACATGAAGCCATCTTCACTCTCTACTTGAGAATTCTGAAGATGTCAAAGAAGATGACTCTCTGTCATCTCCATCAATAGTAGGTTAAGTTAATGTATGAGCTAGTGACCTAGAAATGGGAACATTGAGGCCAGGCTGTTTTACACTGCAAGGGAAGGTATTTGGATTGAACTTGCTTATAAAATGTTTTTCATTGCATATTATATATCATGCATGTTGATAATTGCCAAAATTCATTTATTTTTGGCCTAAAAGGTGGCAGTGTTGTCTTACAACTTAATTTTCTTGTGTGTGTTCTGTAAGCTATAGATGTTCATTCATCCTTGCTCTAGTTTATGCATTTTTTTCTTTTTCCATAGGTTATTGGGGTACAGGTGGTATTTGGTTACATAAGTAAGTTCTTTAGTGGTGATTTGTGAGATTTTGGTGCACCCATCACCTAAGCCATATACACTGCACACCATTTGTAGTCTTTTATCCCTCACCCCACTCCCACCCTTCCTCTTAAGTCCCCAAAGTCCATTGTATCATTCTTATGCCTTTGTGTCCTCATAGCTTAGTTTCTACATATCAGTGAGAGCATAAAATGTTTGGTTTTCCATTCCTGAGTTACATCACTTAGTATAATAGTCTCCAGTCTCATCCAGGTCGCTGCAAATCCTGTTAATTCATTCCTTTTTATGGCTGAGTAGTATTCCATCTATATATATACCACAGTTTCTTTATCTACTTGTTGATTGATGGGCATTTGGGTTGGTTCCATGATTTTGCAATTGCAAATTGTGCTGCTATAAACATGAGTGTGCAAGTATCTTTCCCATATATTGACTTCTTTTCCTCTGGGTAGATAACCAGTAGTGGGACTGCTGGATCAAATGGTAGTTCTACTTTTAGTTGTTTAAGGAATCTCCACACTGTTTTACATAGTAGCTGTACTAGTTTATACTCCCACCAGTGGTAATCAACTCAAGATGAATTAAGGACTTAAATATAAGACCTGAAACTATTAAAAATTCTAGAAGATAACGTTGGAAAAACCCTTCTAGACATTGACTTAAGCAAGGATTTCATGACCAAGAACCCAAAAGCAAATGCAATATCAACAAAGACAATTCGTTGGGACTTAATTAAACTAAAGAGCTTTTGCATGGCAAAAGGAACAGTCAGCAGAGTAAACAGACAGCCTACAGAGTGGGAGAAAATCTTCACAATCTGTACATCTGACAAAGGACTAATATCCAGAATCTACGGTGAATTCAAATCAGTAAGAAAAAACCAAACAGTCCTATCCAAAAGTGGGCTAAGGACATGAATAGACAGTTCTCAAAAGAAGATACACAAATGGCCAACAAACCATAGGAAAAAAAATGCTCAGCATCACTAATGATCAAGGAAATGCAAATCAAAACCACAACACATCTTACTCCCACAAGAATGGCCATAATCAAAAAATCAAAAAACAGTAGATGTTGGCGTGGATGCGGTGATCATTTTGTGCATTTTAAAATGGAGGTAATTAAACTTACCTCAATGTTGTTGTGAAGATTAAGTGAGATAATACATGCAACTTGTGTAGAACAGTTAAGTGATCATAAACTCCCAATATTATCATTAAGATTCAAAAAAAACAAAGCCGCTGGGTGCTGTGGCTCATGTCTGTAATCCTAGCACTTTGGGAGGCTGAAGCGGGAGGATGGCTTCAGCTCAGGAGTCCAAGACCAGCCTTAGCAACCTAGTAAGATCTCTTCTCTACAAAAAAATACAACAATTTGATGGGTGTGGTGGCATGTGCCTGTAGTCCCAGCTACTCAAGAGGCTGAGGCAGGAGGATCACATGGGCCTGGCAGGCTGAGGCTGCAGTGAGCCATGATCATGCCACTGCACTCCAGTCTGGGCAACAGAGCAAAAGCCTGTCTCAAAAACAACTACCACCACTACCCATAGTATTTGTCTATCATGTCTACCATGCCTGGTCCAATAGAAATACTTCTAGAGAGACATGATGGAGTGTCAGTCAATCACGAGAAATTCCCAACCTTAGAATGAGTAGTGTATACTCATTACTCATCCCCAGTGTCTTTGGTTGGCTGCTAGTGAGAAGTGTTTGGATCCTGCAGCTTTATGAAATACAGAACTCATGCCCCGTGTTTTCAACTGTTACCCTGATCAGTAAGCATGGCATTTGTTCGTTCTTCTCTGAGAACATCTTGTCTTTGTATCAGGTTCCAGGTAACTTTTCCTTGACTGTAAAATGTCTATGTGGAATGAGCGTGAGGTCAGTGGTGATGAGAGGAGTACGCCCTGGACCCTCAGCCTCATGGGTGACTACTTACACCACCAAATTCAAAAACAACTTTTTTTCCTCTTTGGTAACTTGAAATATCCTAACAGTCACTGGATGGAGGCTGAAATGTGACCTCTGTAAAACAGTTTCTGCATTTTGCTGCTGAGACTATTACTTAATTCAGCTCTCTATCCTTAATGCTTAGTAAATGTCTTTTACATAGTAAGTGCTGGTATATATTAAATTGCATTGAACTGAGTTTAAGGGATGGAGCAATTTCTAATTTCACCCTGTTTTTCTGGAAATCTTATTACAAGAGATATAAATAAATTTGGAGGCAAAGGAGTATATTTCAAGATACTTGGAAAAGATGGTCATTGTAAGAAAATCTCTTACAATGGTATCTAAGTTATTATTAGTGTATCAGTCAGGGTTCTCTAGAGGGATAGAACTAATAGGATATATGTATACATGAAAGGGAGTTTATTAAGCAGAACTGACTCACGATCACAAGGTGAAGTCCCACAATAGGCCGTCTGCAAGTTAAGGAGCAACAAAGCCAGCAGTGACTCAGCCCGAATCCCCAAACCTTAGAAGTGGGGAAGCCGACAATTGCAGCCTTCAGTCTATGGCCAAAGGCCCAAGAGCCCCTGGCAAACCACTGGTGTAAGTCTAAAGAGTCCAAAAGCCGAAGAAATTGGAGTCTGATGTTTGAGGACAAGAAGCATCCAGCACAGGAGAAAGATGAAGGCCGGAAGCTTCTTCCACCTTCTTCTGCCCCCTTTTTCTAGCCGCGCTGGCAGCCAATTGGATGGTGCCCACCCACACTGTGGGTGGGTCTTTGGGAGGGTAGGTCTTCCTCCCCCAGTCCACCAACTCTAATGTTAATCTCTTCTGGCAACACCCAGAGACACCCAAATACACCCAGAAACAATACTTTGCATCCTTCAGTCCAATCAAGTTGACACTTACTATTAACCATCACAATTAGATGATGTGAAAAATCTAAAATAGGCAAATGAGATCCTTGGGGGCAGAGGGATACAAGGGGAAGAGTCTGGCCGTTGGTCAGACCTGTAGCAGGACAGCTCAAATCATGCTGAGGATGACCTTCAATTAAGCAGCTTTCATGAGCTCTGGCTGTCTCCAGCTCTGGTAAGACAACATAGAGCTTCTGGCAGGGCGCGGTGGCTCACACCTATAATCCCAGCGCTTTGGGAGGCCGAGGCGGGCGGATCACCTGAGGTCGGGAGTTCGAGACCAGCCTGACCAACGTGGAGAAACCTCATCTCTACTAAAAATACAAAAAAAATTAGCTGGGCGTGGTGGCACATATCTGTAATCCCAGCTACTTGGGAGGCTGAGGCAGAAGAATCGCTTCAACCCAGGAGGTGGAGGTTGCAGTTAGCCGAGATTGCGCCATTGTACTCTAGCCTGGGCAACAAGAGCAAAACTCCGTCTAAAAATAAATAAATAAATAAATAAATAAAACATAGAGCTTCCTGATTGGAAGGGGCTGTGCATTCCCAGCTCTTCTCTTAAAGAACCGAATTTTGGGCTGTGCGTGGTGGCTCATGCCTATAATCCCAGCACTTTTGGAGGCCGTGGCAGGTGGATCAGGAGGTCAGGAGTTCAAGAGCAGCCTGGCCAAGATGGTGAAACCCTGTTTTTACTAAAAATACAAAAATTGGCCTGGCATGGTGGCGGGTGCCTATAATCCCAGCTACTTAGGAGGCTGAGGCAGAGAATTGCTTGAACCCAGGAGGCGGAGGTTGCTGTGAGCTGAGATCTGGCCACTGCACTCCAGCCTGGGTGACAGAGCGAGACTCCGTCTCAAAATAAACAAACAAAAAAATAAAACAAATTTGATTTTTGTTAAGGTGGTCTTTCTAAAAAAAAAAAAATTCTCAAGAAAGAAATTCTCTTGGACTCCTGGTATTAATGGAAATTATTTTTAGCCATTTTACATGGCATATTATTTAAATTTGTACAAACATTAAGTTAGACATTAATTTTCTATGTATATAGCTTTTATACAGCTGTAAAACTAAACTAAATTTACCGATTACTATATAAATTTACTATAAAAACCATAAAGTTTAAATTAACATTAATTTAATGTTCTATTTGATGTTTTGCTGAAATAAAGCACTGATGGTGGATTTAATAGTGGAGAAATACACTTGCTTATTTGATATTTTACGTAAGTTGATTCTTTGGATTCTGAGCCTGATGGGATTATCACTTTAATGATTTTAATTATCATGGTTATTTTTCCGTTTACACCCTGCATTCATTCTAAATCACTGATCCATCATTTTGAGCTGATCAATTTAATAATGCAACTCAGAATACAGTATTGAAAAATTTAAAAATGTGCTTTAATGAAAACTTCCTTGCTATTATCTTCCACATTTATTGAAAATGAATTGTCATAAATTCTTATGGATAAGTATGGGAGTCTCAGGATTAATTTGAAACGGGAATATTACAGTGGGACTGTTACGGTAAGGGTACTTTGGAATTTAGCTTCTCTGAACTAGTACATGCCGTGTGAGGTTGGAGTGTTCCCATTATTTTCCTCCATTCCACCTTCTATGAAACCTGCAATGTCCTAAAAAGTCATTTGGCAAGGCCCTATCATTATGTATCCAGTCGGCGTTTGCTTTTTTCTCATTAGATGCAAACTATGAGAGGAACGTGTTAATCTACCACACTGTCATTTTCATGATGTCAAATCAAAACCTCGATTTGTTACATGACTTAAGAACCGACATCATATTCTGTGAAAATGGCTCTTGACTGATAAGTATTACTCCCCAAAAGAAATTTTGTTTTTATAGTGTAAAGAATTCCACATGAATATCATGGTAAACCTGGCATGACTATTTTGGGTTTGGATTTTTCAAATTTGTGAAACTTGAGTGTAGCACGTGAATATGTTTTTGAAGGAATGCACTGAAAGGCAGGGATAAAGAAAACTTAAATAGAAGGAAGTTTCACTGCAAAATGGATATATCTGCTATTCTGACTGTATATAGAGTTGATTTAAAAAACAAACAAACAAACAAAAAACAACAACAAACCTGAACCATAGACATCTAGCCATCTTTGTTACAAAGGGTAGTGATTCCCAAACATTTAAGAACTGAGATAACTGCAAATTATCTAGCTCAGCAAAAGAAACTTCAAAGGCAAGACCCTAACCAAATATGTCAATTGGTATTCTGTGTTTTTCTGAGACGGAGTCTCACTCTGTTGCCTAGGCTGGAGTGAATGGCATGATCTTGGCTTACTGCAACCTCTGGCTTCTGGGTTGAAGCGATTCTCCTGCCTCAATCTCCCAAGTAGCTGGGATTACAGGTGCCCACCACCACAACTGGCTAATTTTTCTATTTTTAGTAGAGATGGGGTTTCACCGTGTTGGCCAGGCTGGTCTCGAACTCCTGACCTCAGGTGATCCGCCTGCCTTGCCCTCCCAAAATGCTGGGATTACAGGCATCAGCCACCGTTCCTGGCCAGAATTGATACTTTATAACTTAGGTCATTTTATTGCTAATTTAGTTGTTTTCTAAGCTTCTCAAAAATACCTTAATTCTATTAGTAAATTTTTACTCTATGGCATTGGTTCATCTTGAAAACAAACTCTGCGTGTATGTGTGTTTAAATAGTAATTTTATTTGAAGGGGCAAACGAAACTGCCTAAGAACCCTAGGACAGAGCTAGCTCTGCCAGTTATGATATCAGACATCTTCGAGAAGTCATTGTCTCTGAGCCTCAATTCTTATATCTATAAAATGGAACAAATATTACCTGATCTGCCTCTTCAGGGAGTTAGTTGTGAGTTTACTGCACTTTGAAAGGGTGAAACTGAAGTACATACACCTTGATATCATACTATATACAGGCCACAAATCTGAATCAGAGAAAAATTTAAAATTTATGTGTTTGGAATCATTAAGATTCTCTAATTCTTTCATTTCTATTGTACAGCTCCACCCATTATTCCATCCTTCAATTGCGTTATTAGAAAAGTTATTATAGATTTGGATCAGCAAACTGCAGGCTTAGTCCTGCCTACCACTTTTTTTTGTGAAGAAAGTTTTATGAGAACACAGCCATGCTCCATGGATTATGTATATTCTATGGCTGCTGTTTCATTATGAGAGTGGTTGAATAGTTGTGAGGAAGACTGTATGGCTTGCAAACCCTAAAACATTCACTGTCTGACTCTTTACAGAAAAATGTTGCTACCCCTCTAAAGTCCAGGACCAATTATAATCCACTTTTTGGGAACCTACATCCTTGATAGATATTAATTTAAGATCCAAACTATCACATAAAGAACTAGGTGACCCCTGTTAATAAGGCTGCAACCTTACCCCTTCTCCTCGGATCCGTAAGTCCAGAGATGTGGATGTCTTGAGGTCTTGTTGCTTTTCTTTATTCTGTCACTGGCTTGATTCTTTGAAAGTATATTCTTGGTGACTTGAGTGATATTACTGAAAATTTTGGTTAGAAATTGAGGCACATTTTAAATCTAGTTGGTTACCAGTATATAACAGTGTGTGTAGGCTACTGTCTCCCAATGGTTGAGGCTCAAATGGCCTGTTGGAGAAAGTAAATTACTAACCCAGCAAATAGACAATGTGGAAATGTAAGACACAGTGGATAAGTTCACATTTTAAATGCATTTATCTATTTTTCCCATTTCCAGATTTTCATCTGTTTAAATTTTTAGGCTTGATATGCTATATTCAGGTGAATTGGAAGTATCTAGTGTGAGAGATGGGGAATTTAGCAGTCTCTGCAAGTTTACTTTCTACTAATTTAGAAAAGTCAGAGGTGTCTCATTTAAAATATAGAATTTTAGAGCTAAAGTAGACCTCAGAGATCAGCATTTCCCAACCTTTTTTGACCCATAGACCATTTTCATAGTAATTTATAATCTTGTCAACCCTCTTAGGAATTTTAAAAATCAGTTCATCATTTTTGTATGGTATGAAACGGTAATTTTAAGTGAAAACTATTTTATCTTGGATTAGTACATTATTAAGAATTGTATTATAATTTGCTTTTAGGACAGTCATTAATGATAGCATTTGTAAACAAATATTGCCTTTTTTAAGTTAATGAAAATACTTTAAAAATTTACCTAAAAGACATTATAAAGGGAAAAAGTATGAATTGTTTAAAAAAAAAGAATGTGACATTATTTTCATATGTCATTTTGGAATTGAAATGTGGGTTAGTATAAAAAGGCAAAAATTGCTTTCATGATGTGATATCTGAAATTCTCAGATATTATGCTATAAAATTAATTTATTTAAAAAAATTTTGTATTTGTGCTTTAAACAATGCGATCAGGGCGGTGTGGGGTTTCCCTTCTCTAAAGAAATAGTATTGACGGAAAATGTTAGTGAAAGCCAAATTAAATACAATTTTGTGGGTTGTATGTGTATATATACATATGTATACATACATATAGTTCGTTTTAAAGTTTTTCAAGTAATAGAGTCGTATGTTGATATATAAGAATTTTGATCAGATAGATGTCTCCTGTGAACATCTGGAAGCAATTTGGCACAATTCTTACTATTTTAATCTCCTCATGAAGCTTCATTTCTTTTTTCTTTTCTTTTTTTTATAGGCAAGGTCTTAGTCTGTTGCACAGCCTGGAGTGCAGTGGTATGATCATTGCTCACTGCAGCCTCAAACTCCTGGACTCAAATGATCCTCCCGCCTGAGCCTCCTGAGTAGCTAGGACTACAGGCACGAGTGCTAGTATGCCTGGCTATTTTTATTTTATTTTGTAGAGACAGAGACTTGCTATTTGCCCAGGCTGGTCTCAAACTCCCAGGCTCAAGCCATCCTCCTGCCTTGACCTCCCTGAGCCACTGTGCCTGGCCATTCATTTCAATACGCTCCCTACTTTATTTTTCGGCTTCTGGTATTAAACAAAGTTCCATAACGATTATGTACTGCATTGCACATGACGAGGAATAAGATAACTCATGACCCAATAATGGTTGAGGACCCATGGGGCTGATGGACCTTTCAGGGCACACACCTCTCCTCACCACTGACCTCATGCTCATACCACGTAGGCTGGGAGGCTCTTGAGCGCTTCCATTTTAAAAGGAAAGAGTATTTCAATATTATTTCATTTATTTATCTTACAAAGAAGTAGAACCATGTTATTGACAAGAGTTCCACATTTTATTCATTTTATGTTCAAGGAAAATAGAGCCAAGAGACGTTAAATGATATTCACAAGTTCACATAGTAGCTTAATGGTTGAGCCAGACCACAGCTCAGACTTCCCCTAAGAGCACCATTTGTATATTTTGACAGTACCGCCTTGCATCTTGGCCCCTGCCTGTGTGTGATTATATAGTGGTACTATGCCCTGCACAAAGCAAGCAGAGTAGTCCTGGTTCTGCTTTTTAACTAGTAACTCATAAATTAATTCACTCAACAACATACATTGTGTTTGAAAGCTGTTATTCAGCAGAGGGAAGCCTGTCCATTTATTTCTTAGGTGTCTCTTGAGATGTTGATTCTTCATGTGCCTTCCTTTATGATATACTAATATTCTAATGGTAATTATTTATGTTTAAGTCCAATCACAGCAAATACCTATTCCATGGAAATCACTTGGTAACAAAGGGTATTGAACCTGAACTAGTACACCATTTATTGGAGGCAAGTCATTGCCTGAATAAGTTTACAAAATAATGAAAGAACTTGGAGTTTTTGCTAAGTAGACACGATTTCTCTAAAACACTACAGAATAGTTTGTTTAAACCAGTAGTATAAATTTAGACAGGATTAAACAGAGTCTTTGGTAGGATATGGTCTCTGTAGGTCAGTCAGGTAGAATTCATTCAAGATATGTGTCCTTTTTTTTTTTTTTTTTGAGACTCTGTCGCCAGGCTTGAGTGCAATGGCGTGATCTCGGCTCACTGCAACCTCCGCCTCCCAAGTTCAAGTGATTCTCCTGCCTCAGCCTCCTGGGTAGCTAGGACTACTGGCGTGCGCCGCCATGCCCAGCTAATTTTTGTGTTTTTAGTAAAAACAAGGTTTCACCATGTTGGCCAGGATGGTCTCAATTTCTTGACTTCGTGATCTGCCCGCTCGGCCTCCCAAAGTGCTGGGATTACAGGCATGAGCCACCGCACCCAGCCAAGATATGTGTCCATTTCTAAAGTTGCTTTGGTCATGATTGCTATAAAGAAAGGATCTCTGGGTGTCTTCAATTGATTGATCGTTGACTGTTCATTCAGCATATGTAAGCCTGTGTGCTCTTGGGCTATGTCATGAGGCAAGCATCTCAGGGATGCTTTTGGGGGACTGGATGGCTGAGGGTATCTCCTGTCTTCCATCCCTTTAGGACCTGCTAATATCAAGCTCCTCAAGCAAACTAAATTATTATGGGAAGACTAAAACACATCCTTAAACAATATGTAAAACCCCTAAAAGTTTACACTCCTTTGCATGATTAAGGGCCATAAAGTTCTTTTTTTTTTTTTTTTTTTTTTTTTTTTTTAAGATGGTGTCTTACTCTGTTGCCCAGGCTGGAGTGCAGTGGTGCAATCTCGGCTCACTGCAACCTCCACCTCCCAGGTTCAAGTGATTCTCGTGCCTCAGTCTCCTGAGTAGTCGGGACTACAGGTGTGAGCCACCACGCCCAGATAATTTTTGTATTTTTAGTACAGATGGAGATTTGTCATGTTGGCCAGGCTGGTCTCGAACTCCTGACCTCATGATCCGCCCACCTCGGCCTCCCAAAGTGCTGGGATTATAGGTATGAGCCACCGCACCCGGCCAAGAACCATAAAGTTCTAGTGGGAAACTCGGTTACAGAGTCTTATTCATGAAAAAGTTACAGATGATGCCCCACCTACAGTAACACAGTGCCATGCTGAACTTACTACCCAGCTTCAGCAACTCTGAAGAATATTTCCTATTCTTTGACCCCCAGATGGAGTAAGGAGAGTGGGGAGAGGAAAGAGAATAGAGAAATAAATTCAGGCTTTTCTTGCCTTTCTTCTTCTGTCTCAGTGGGAGTCACCCACGGCAGATTATTCACGTGACTGTGTTGTAAATCGTAGGTTTTTAATATCTGAACTACTGAGTACAAGCATAACATTTAAATAAAAATAATGCAGTTATTTATCTTCACCAAATCTAGAGAATGAGAGCTGTCTCTTTAATAAGGTAATGGGGTAGTAAATTTCAAGCTGAGGTAGGCAGTAACAAAGAGAGTGATCTCGGTACTGCCCTAATGTCAGTGGAGTGGCTTAGGAGAACACCTTATTAGTTCTAACAGGCTGGTTAGCGCGGGGTCACCTCTCTGCCTCCATCTTTCCCAGCAGGGTCACTCATCTCTGGGCTATATTTGGGAGCAAAGAAGTGAGGGGGAGGGGAAGGAATATATTTAGTGCTTCTTGCATCTCCCCAGCATTTAGAGCTATTTATTTTTATTTGTTGTCCAATTGTGTTATTCTGTCTCTCCTCCTCTCTCCCTCTCTCTCCCCATTCTCTCTCTCTTTCCCTAGCTGCTCCATCTTCTCCCTCTGTAATATGTCTCTCTGCATCCTCTGTGTTGAGTGGAAGCAGAAGCCCTAGCAATATTTCCCCTTTTTTATTATTATTTTTTTCAGTTTCAGAAATCATCCAAAATAAGTGTCATTTATACATCTGTATTTGAGTGAGTGTTTACATTGCTAAAAACATGAACTGGGAGAGGCCCAGCATTGCTAAGCTTCCAGTTCACATGATTAGCCGAGAGAAATAGGAGGGCAGAGAGATACCCGTAGATATACCTTTTCCTGTCTTAAAAAATTGAGATTGATCACATTTTTGAATTGTGTAAATCAATAGAATAGTGTAAATCAATCGCTGTTTAGAATTGTGCTTAATATGTTTTCATAAAAGAAAAAGATGATCTAACTATCCCCTTTTTAAACATATATTTTTTTCTGCTGTCTTTGTGTTTTTTTTTTGTTTGTTTGTTTCCCATCATAGCTACCAACATCAACCCTTTCTCCTCCCCAGCCCCCAACCCCCATTCTCCATCCAAAAACGAATGCAAAGAAATACTATTAGGCTGTCTGGTTATGTATTTTTTATGAGGCCATACAAGACGCTGGCTGACCCCTTGCAGCTCATGTTATAAGCACACTGAAGATGCTTTTCATTTGGGTTTTTCTTTTCAGCCTGGATGACCTCTATTAAAAAAAAAAAAATAAGGCAGGGGTGGGGTAGTGGGAAAAGGCCTAATATGTGACCCCAGGGACTAGTCGCTTCAAGAATTACATTTAATTCTTATGATAATATTGAAATATAATGTTCCTGGGTCTAATGTTTTGGTTATTTTCTCTTTCTCTTTATTTCAGGGACTCATTGATGAGTCTTGTCATAGATAGTTTTCATCAATTTTGGGTACTGAGCTATAACTCATGCACTAGGGTCAGATTCTTAAAATTACCTTTTTCCCTCCTCTCAGAATTCAGGTCATGAATACAAAACATTTCTCTTCTCATAGTTTCTCTGAGAGACACAGAGAAATTAATTTTTCTAATGTGTGTCTGCCAAGAGTTCTGTTTCAAATAAAGAAACAATTTTTATTTTGGCATTTCCTTAACCCACCCTCAGCAACTGACCCCCAAGTTCTTTATTTATTGGTGTAAAGGCGAACGTCTTTTTAACTCCTTCCTTCCTTTCTTCCTTTCCCTGCAAGGTCAATTGTAGATATATTACAGTGTTCTCTCATATGTGATATGTGCTGTGATTTAAATAATGAACCACATTTAGGTCTTTGTGCAGGGTACATATAGATGCTGTAATTCCTGTTTTCACATTCCTCTTACAATTACTGTGCTTTTTATAATGCCCATATTAGTTATTTAATGTCTACTTACATAAATATTAAGGAGCTTATGACTTCACCATAAAAATGTTTTTCTTCCCTCTTTTACAGTGAAACATGCTTCCTACTATTCAAGTTTAGGATTCAAAACCAATTTGTAAATGTATCCCTCTGGCCAGGTTTTAGAATTATATTCCTGTTAAAGTTTCTTAGGCCATCAGATGTCTTTGTGTCTTTGCTAGTTGAAATGAACAGGTTGAGAAATGGAATTAAACTCCATGCCATTCATTGTAGTTGGAAAATGTTTTTATTCCTTTCACTTAACAGACCATCACTTAATTTCTTTGAATCAGCTGCTGTTCATCAGTGTTGCCGCATCTTGCTTGTCTTCGAAGGCAGGTTCCTTGGAGGGACAGTAACATTTCACCGGAGCTAATAAAGTCAATTAGGATAATATTATACAGTAGGCCACTAGAAAATAAGGTGTATTTTGCACCAATCATTCTATGTTTTAAATCCATACCAGCTGTACTTCGTAAGGAATATGTAGAAAGAGCTATTATTTGTGACATCAGCTTGCATATATATATATATTTAATTGCAATTTTTCTTTTTCTTCCTTTTTTTTTTTAAGTTGTTGCAAGAAAAAAAAAGCCAGAAAATTTGTGGACATGTTCACACATTTTCAATACCACGAAAGTACTGGTGAAAACTGATCAAAGCTGGGAAATTCATTGCAGTAGCTGGAACCCCATCTCGAGTCAGTCCCTTATTACCCAGGTATTGCCACAAATGTGATTCAGCAAATAAAGCCCCTAGCTCGCTGCCTGGCCCCCTCTGCAACCAGGGAGCAGCAAAGTGGATCCGCAATGGGGTTTTCAGAAGGACTCATAATTTTTCTACATTTGCTTGCACCACAATCTGAACATTTTTGACATCTGGCTTACTGGTGAAAACATACATATGTCTCTGTGTATACATATAAGTACATATATTTTTGTCTTTGTCAGTCATTGTATGTGAGAGGGATGTTTTAAAACAGAGTCTCCAGGTTCTCCTTTGTAAAGCATTAAGCTGTGACCCTCCTCCTTTCTTCCCTCCCCCTGTAGCCCTGGACTTCATGATGCTTCCTTGACTGCTAGCTTAACATGGAGTTGTCTTTTTTATTTTTTTTATAAACCCAGTCACAACACAGAAAGAGGAGGAGGAAGAGAGAGAGAGAGAGAGAGAGAGAGAGAGAGAGAGAACTAAAAACCCTGAAGGATGGTTCTCAAAAATTCTAAAGGAACCACAGGGAATTCCTTTTAAGAGCAACAGAAAGCAAGCTAGCTGAGGTAAGGTAGATGTGGACAGCTTTTCTTTTCTTCTCTTTTCTTCCTTCTGTCTCTTTCTGCGTGTGTCTTTCTCTCTCTCCATGCCCCCTCCCTTTTCATATTCTCTCTCTTTCCCTTTACATTCATATGTCCTCTCTCCCCCTCTCTCTCCCTCTCCTTCCTTCTCAGTAGCTGTTTTCTTTATGGATCGGGGAGGGTAGGAGGGTGGGGGAGCTACCTAACTTCTTCCCTGCTTAAGCAATCTGAGAACGGAACTCATGTGAATATGCAAATAGGACTGCCTGGGCCGCGTTGCTGACACGTGTATGTGTGTATCTTTCTCCCCACCTCCCTGTCTTAGCGTCTGATCTTCAACAGATTGCTGTTGTTTCTTGTGATCACCAGCACAGCGTGCTGGAAAGAGAGCTGGGGGGAGAGGTGGGGATTGGAGGGAATGCTGTGGGGCTGGGAGGCAGGAAATCATGACATGATTGCTGTGACTTTTTTATATTAATGTGTGGCTTTTTTCTAGCTCATTTGCATGTCAAAGTGGCAGAGGTGTGAGGGCAGAGATTAGTATGGAGATGACATAATGATGCAATGAATTAAATGTGATCACTTCTCTGAGCGGGGGTGAGGTGGAGGGGGGGAGCGGCGAGGTGGGGTAGGGGGAAGCCAGCAAGACAGACGGAGTGAGAGAGGGAGAGGGGAGCGCCTCTTCTGATCTGCACCACACAGTTGATTGATGTCACCAGCTCACAGAATGCATCTCTTTATTGTGATGATGGTGATGGTGGTGGTGGTGATGCTGATTGCGATGATTACACTTATCGTTAGTGTGAAATTTGAATTTTAAGTGGTCAGTGCCGGAGCCCTAGCGCACGTGATTATTTGGTCCATCAGTGCAAACCCTTTACTGTCAAAATTTAACACGGCTCCACGTTTGCTTTTATTTAAATAGGACGATGTAACGTACAGGAAAGAGAAGATGACTAATTTGTGATATTACGCAGTGGGCTGGGATACCAAGGCTTTTCATTGTAGCTTCAGTTCTGTGTTTGAGTATGCAAAAGAGAAAAAGAAGGGACCAGATTAAAAATATTTTTATTATGACAAAAAATTAAAAAACCGAATCTTTCACTAGATCGGTTGGGTGGCAAAGGTTTCAACCGTTGACAATAAAGAAAATGCAATTTCATCTCTGACATTCAGTGTTATCTCCCTTTAATAACAAAACCAAACGAGAATGATTGCTGAACAAAGCAAATTCTCAGGCGGCTAGTTGCAGGTCTGAATGCAGGAGTAAAAATGGAACATTCGCTGCCCCCTACCCCTTTTGGCTATTTTGTATGCAACACCTGCAAATGTGCACAGAGTCGTTGTAAAAGGGGAAGAAGGGAGAGGTTTTTTTTTGTTGTTTTTTTTTTTTTTGGTTTTTTTTTTACACTCTTACAATTACAAGAAGAAAAAATTTAACAACGAAGTACAAAGGTTTTTAGATGTCATAGATTTATTTATTTTAGAAGTCAAATTCGCTCTGCCTGCCAGTAAGTTTTCTCCGAGTCTTGTCTACTACTTCTTTGGGAGAATGGACTTCCTAGAGTATAGACAAATCAGTATAGAAATTTAGGACTAATTGTTATGTGTGCAATAACCCTGATGATATAAATGAGCACTTAAGAATCCACAGAACATCACTAACATTAATTTATTGAAAAAGAAAATCCAAAGCAACTCCATTAGTTTTTCCCTGTTATTGTTAAGGACTTTAAATGGATTTCCTAATTGGATAATTTTATTCACAAGAATAATACACAAATGGAAAATAAGCCCTGGCTCTGGGGGCGGGGATGGGATTGGCCTACAGAAAGGAGAAGAGTCAGTAGAAGGGTGAGCCGCTGTCAACTTCAAGAAAACCTGCACTCAGGAGAAGGGTGAGGGCACAGAGAATAGCTCCTGTGTGTGAGAATTAACCCATACACTGGGGTCCGGTAGGCAGTGGGTGTTTTAAGCATGTTCAAACAACAGCGCATGAATCCACTTGCCTCCTTTGGATGATACTTAAAACAATGCGGTTCATTATTGCCCCTCTTTGATCATAGGTACTTCACCCTAAGTTTTCCTAAGATGCAACTTCCCATGTTTGTTCGCCTTTTTCCATTCTCTGTCATCACATCGTTGGCATTTTCTGTCCACCAAGTTCATTCTCTGGGAGATGCACTGGGGCTTGCATCACTTCTCTTCCCCTTCCCAGATGAAGGCAGCTGTGCTGACTCTAGCCTGGGTCTCACTGAACACTGTGCACGGATACTATTAATAGAAAAGCATATCGTGTCCCATTCTTACACCCTTTGCCTGCCAAAAACATGGAATGAATCGAGACAGTCAGTGGAAAGTTCTGGAGCGCGGGTCTGGCGCAGCTTCCTTCCTGCACAGCCGCACCTGTGTCCTTATTCCCATCTGTCCCCAGGTAGCACTGTGGCCTCTTCTAAGACCGGCTTTCTCCTTGCCTTAGTCTTCTATGCCAATAAAGAAGAAAGGCAGGGATGAGGATTGTTACTATTGATCTGCCCAAGGGGATCATTAGGCATCCGTATCAATCTACAAATCAGTGGGCCTGTGTTACTAGCTTGGGCAGTCATTGCCAATTTGTTTCTATTAGATGGTGGAGCCTGGAGGTGTTTGATGAGCAGATTGGGTCTTTATCTCAGCACTGGAGAGTATGCGGGCTTGCTACCAGACAGCAGAGGTTTACAGGATTTTTTGGGGGGGTGGTAGGGGGCGGGCGTTGGGGGAACAGGGATCCTTCCCGGTTTTTTTTTAGCCTGAAATCTGTCTGCACCTTAACTAGACCTCCAAGGTGGACCCCAGCCTCTCTGAATTGTTTCTGCTTACACTTAGCCCCCACATCACAGCCGCCAGCCCAGACATCCACCCGGAAAGCTGCCCACAGAAGTATCTTCTTGAGTATTCTTTTGTTATCGTTTTCAGAATCGGCATCTGAACAATTGAAATGTAAACATTTTTCTTTTCCCTCCTCCAGTTCCTGAACTAGGAGCAGTGTATTTACTGTGGAGCAGGTGACATTTTTAGCTGATATTTTCTCTGTAGTTCAATTAGATAAAGTAAAAGTTAAAGCTCCAGGTAATTTTGTTTGGGAAATCCTATTTACCTTTTCTCCTTGAATTGAAATCTAGAAGAAATGTGTTGCCACACCCATCTTTATTATTATTACTATTTTTTTAATCTTTACAAATCATCTTTGTCTCTCATCTTGGGCTTCGAGAGAGCAACAACTATGGCAAAAGCCGTATTCCCTCGCAAGCATGTAGATCTGAAAAATAAAAATTATGTTTCCGTGGGGGGAAGGGGAGGGAAAAAGGATAATGAATGAATGAGCACAATTTATGCCGTTACCGCTGCTAGCATGACATTTCTTCTTCATTATTTTGTGAAAACCTCAACTTCTAACCTAGTTTTACTCATTCCTGACGTGAGCATTATTCAGTACAAATACCTGTCCATTGCCAGGCCTCGGTGATGCTCCTAGAGACATTTGAGCTTTATAGCTTGCGGTAGGGAGAGGAAGACGGAGGTGGGCTGATGCAGATGGAAAGGAGGGGCCCCGTTGCATCCACTTCCTGGGAGCTGTTTTTATCTTGCTGCTGAGTTTGTTACTTGTGAATAATAAACCGTTCCTCCCAGCTGGGAGTGGGTCAAATAGTCCAACCTAAGATGAGGACTTAGCACTTATATCTTCTCTTGAAATTTGCTCATCATTCCAAAGAGGTGGAAAAGTTTGTTTTTTTAAAAAAAATTCAGATTTTAAGTGTTGAAAATGAGATAGAACTCTGGGTGCATTGAACACGAATTTCTAAGTGATTTTGGGCTGTTTTAAGTTACCCAACATACTTTATTAACAAAAAAAAGTGTGTGTGTTACTTTAGAAAACTTTAAAATTATTATTACTATTTATTAGTTTGTGTTTACCTTTTCTCACCTGTGTATTTTTTTTAAATTTTTTGGTTTCTTCCTGGCCCCAAATCCAATTCATCTACTCTAAAGAAGCATTCACTTCATTCCATCTGACAAGAGCCTGCTTTTTTTTGTTGTTGCCGTGGTGTAGTTCACAGAACTTCACAGAAACACATCTGTGTGGAGTACATCATTTTGGAAGTTAAACCATTTTAATCTATCATAAACCAGACATCCAGTTAGCTTTCATCTTTATAGAACATGTATAGAAATCGATTTGGAGTAGACTCAGAGGAATGTTTTAAGAGTTTGTTTTGCAAATATTTATAAACCTTTTTCTTTGGAGCACAGGCCATTTTAGAATGGTCACCATACTATTAAGACTAGAGTTCATTTTGAGGAAGATCCTGCCAAAATCTCTCGTTTGTTTTATCTCGAGGCCTGGGAGTTCAAATTTGCTTTGCCGCCAACACGCTGTCACAGCTAGAGATCTCTGTGAATAAGGTGATATTTTGTTAATTTATTTTATAATCCTTAGCATATATTAATCCTAGCATCTCCCAATTTTATTAATCCTTACCATCGCCCAATCCCAATTTTTTGAAAGGAGAACTTTACAGTGAGTGAAACAAACAACTCAGGTGACCATATGGATTTTTGACTGAAGGCAGAAGGTGGATCTTTTTGCATTCCTCTTCCAGAGAGCAGCGGAAACCCTTCATTTTCTCATCACCTAAGGGCTTATTACTTAAGGATGTGGACAGTATGTTGCAACTTTATAGAAACTTTTAATCAGTGACAGACTGGTCCTTCAGCTAGGACATTTATAGTTCCCAATTCACCTAACCCAGTTGCTAAGGATACTGTGTTGATTTCTTTCACAGTGATAGAAAACATGTTTATTTCTTAATACACTGTTTGTTTATCTCCCCATACATCTCCCTGATTTTCCTTGTTTTATTTTGTGTGGCTTTGCATGTGCCATTTCTCCACAAAACAATTGATACATTCTCCTCACGCTGTTGTGAGGCGAAAAAACTCTCTAGATTAATGGTCAGTGTCGCTCACACGCACATTTGTGTTGTGATACTACAGAGGAGCTGCGAATTACTGACAAGATCTAGAATAATTCCTAATGCTGTCGAAGGCTTCATTTTCTCCTCGGCATGATGGATGAGGCATAAGAAGTGCTTTCTGAGATTATTATGTGCGTCATTCTGTTAAGTGTTATTAAAGTCCGTCTGTCTTAGGCAGCAGAAATATCTTCGCCCTTATTTTGCTCCTGTGTTTAAAAACGGTAACTGCAGATCCCTTTCTTTCAAATGTAAGCTTTTTTGAGGTTATCTGACTGTTAATTTGTGTCCTCAAATAATGGGAATGGTGTTTTTTTTTCCCTCTTAAAATTTGATAATATTAATCCATAAACGAATTCTGGTTTATTTTTAAATATTTAATTTATAGTAAATGCTTTAGAAATGCATTTTATTTTTTAAAAAAGGAAGTAACAGAATTTGAGGTGTAGGTTTCAATCTGTAACTTCAAACAGATTTAATAGTCTTTTATTTTCTGGGCTCCAATTATTTTAAAAGTCATTGACGATTTGTTACCTTGAATGGATTGTGTAAGGTTCAGGATTAATTTGAATTTGATGAATATTACATTGAATTCCTCCCTATAGGCAGATGTATTCAGAGGTGACAGTATACAGGCATATGGATGGAAAGGAAAACTTCGCTCTAACATTTGGTCAGGGAAAGTTTGTTTATAAACTGTACATTTGGAGGGCAAATTTCCCTCAGTCAGGGGGGTACTTACTGCTTTTTGATGGGCGTGGGTGCATCAGGGTCTGGGAGTGAAAGTGACTTGCAGTGTTTAACAGGGCAGTGAAGGGGAAATTACAGATGGCTCATATTATATCTCCAGCAATTTCACTGAAACAGCAGAATTTACTTTTAAGGTTTGTAACCTCCTTTTAAGTCACAGATTTTCCCAAACCCTGTGATAATAAAATACAATCTACTTTACGGAATGCTTTTATTATTATTCAGTAGCCCTTCTCCCATCACCTTTTTTTGTTACTGTTTTTGAACAGTTTGGTGGGAGCATCTTTAGACCCCTGGAGGCTGATCCACGGAAAAATGAAACAAACAAAAAGAAGTAGATCATCACACTTTCTTAGAAAACACCACTTCCCCTTTTCAGAGATTCAGTGAGATCTAGAAAGGCTCATTTTGATACTTCTAATAGAATTATATAAGTATAATGCACAGCTGGGATAAGCTCAGCCATCCACAGCGCAGCTAGTTTTTGAACATTTAATTTTATATTTGAATAATTCTCCAGATCGGGCTATAATCATGAATGTCATATAAAAAGTTTTTTAAAAATAAATTACATTATTTCACAGATGTGCAAATACTTCTGAGAAAAAAATTACATTGATCAGTTTTTAATACCCCCCTGTCTCACCCTTCAGTCAAAGGGAAAAATAGGTTTTTTTCCCATCTTTGTCTTCAGAAAGGTGCTAGATTGTAAACATCTGAAGGAAATGAAAGGGGGTTGGCCAGTCCACCCCAAACTCTTTCCAGATTTTCAATCCTTTCAGCAGCAGACTTCAGTTTTCAGAAAAGAGGGAGGGTCTGGGTGGGGGGAAAGAAAGGGGATGTCTCTGTTTATTATTAAAATTTAAAGCGAAAAGCATTGCTATAACTGGCTAATTTTGAATCTACCAAGTTAGAGGGCTTGAACAACAGGAGGCAACATTTAGGTAATGTGTATTATGCTGATTTGGAAAAGATAAGGCATTTGCAGCTAATTAAGTTCTAATTCTGGGAAGAGGACAATAAACAATAGATGACTATCATTACTTTTATTGTTTCTGAAACAATAGCATGTGGATATTTAATTCAAAAACTATTCAGATAAACAGGGTCATTTTTACTTAGGCAGAAAGATTCTTATTCTTTGTAGAGTGTTTCTGAAGCATAGTCTATTTATTACAGTTTAAATAAAGGCATTTCGGAATGTCTGTGTTTTGCGAATAAAGACTCTGAAAGCCACCACTGAAGCTGTCAACCGTGGTCATTTCGGGAATAGTCATCTGTGGTTGGAAACACCACTGGTACTCAGGGCTGAATGAACAAAGTGCTTTTGAATCCAAAACAAACAATTTAATTAAAAGTCTAAACTGCATGATTTTTCCATGTTTCTTTTGTTAACAGCTCCAACCAAGTCATATGGCATGGCCTCCACACTCCTGTAAGATTTGGGTATTTGATATGTTGTCTTAAAGATATCCTGAAAGTGGAAAAAATTGCATTAGCATTTAGTCCATGGATAATAATTTGGTTAAGCTACAGTTTTTCAGGACTTCTTTATTGGCCCACATAACCAATTTTTTTTTTAACCAAAACACTGAGCATAATATACAAAAATAAAACAAGGTGTTGTATTCAGATCAGTAGGTACAAAATCATAATTGCCCCTTTGTCTTCCAGAAACCATACAGGCCTGATACACAATGAGAAAAATAATCTAAAATGTTGGGTTTATTTTCAATATGCGAGTAGTATAAAAATATGCAAGCTCTGATCACAGTGTGCTGGAAACTACTTCACAAAAATGTGTAACGAAAGCTGTTACTCTATGTGTGGTTCACGTATTGGGACAGCTGTGACAGCCTGGTACAGTTTAACACTTGTTCAATTATAAGAAAAAGAAGGGAACTTGATTTAGATAAGAATCTCAAATAATCCTTGAAATTTCCAAAGTAACTTCTCCTTCTGATCAAAATTGTAGCTTTCTCCAAGTTTCTCCCCTTCTCTTTTCCTATATTTTGTGTCCTACTCACTTATGGAGACCTTGGCAGTAAGAGGCACCCTTGACTTGACCACCTCATCCTTCTAACCTTTGCTTATCTTTAGTTCTCACAGGGGCTGGGTTATAGCTATGTGCAAATTATTTCATATTTTAGGTGTCTTTTTTATAAAAATATTCACTTAGGAAATCCCTAAGGAATCATCTAGTAGCTGGCCACACTTTTCCAAAACATGTCTGTTTGTTTTCAGGTGATTTTTACCGCGCCTTTCTGGCAGATGTATTTTTGTACACGGAAGAAAGGCTGATACTGAGGTTGGTAGCAAACCTTAAGTTCTGAGAATGTGTGCACATGTCATTGTTGTCTGTAGCAACTGATTGATGTGGTTGCATTGTGCGTGTGTGTGATTGTATGTATATATCATGTCCACATTATAAATACATATTCATATACACACACACACACACACACACACACACATATATATGGCTTATGTGCTACTGTGTTTATGCACCAGCTAAACTCATTCCTGGAGTAACAGAATACACAGAGAACATAGGCTGCCAGACGTCAAATTCCTTTTGTTTAGCTGAACTTTGTATTTTCTAAGCTGAGTTGTTTCTGCAGTTTGTTATGTATGTAGAGTTTCATGTGTTAATACTGCATATTTTGAATGACATATTAATAATGTTTTCTTGATGTTCTAAAAAGTCAGCATCTTAATGTCATTCTGAAATTGCCCACCTTAAAAAAAGAAAAACAACAACCAAAAAACCACAAATATCCCAGCCTTAAGCTAATAGAAATCATGTAGTTTTTTTTTTGATGTGAAAGACTATTTTTTTTTTTAAAAAGCTTGACTAAAAATAATAATCTCAGGCATTTCAAAAAAACCCAAATCCCCAGTGTTTATAACCAAGGCCCACTGGTAGACAGCAGGGACAAGTATGTTTGCATCAAGGGAACAAATGACCCACAAGCTTCCTCTTGCAAAGTTGCCTGTTTTGGCTTCATGATTCCCATTAACTTTACATTATTTAAGTCTTTGAAAGTGGATGGAATAAACAAAATGCTGAACTTTTTTTGAGTAGTTGTTTCGGGACACTTGGCACCCAAGAAGCTTAAAAAAAAGGTCTGTCCATTAAGAATCTGGCTGGAAAGGGGAAAATGGGTGAAAGCTATCTTTTTTCATTCAATCGTGGTTGATGTGGGTAATTTAAAGTAGGATCCTGGAATTTCCAGACCCTGGCTCTATCTTCTAAGTCATTTCTGTACCTGGAATAAAATGTTGCTGTAGAAATTATTGACATAATAGTCCCCATGAGGACTCAGAGCCATCAAAGTGAAATCTCACAATAAATTCAGAGGCCACCTGGAGAACCGCGGTTAAAGAGCTTTTTAGAGATGGGAAAAAAAAAACTTTAAAAGCTTAATTCTTCTTAAATATAAGTTCACTGATCATGTTTCTGTACCACTTTCCTAGAGTTTAGTTCTTTACTTTTAGCTTTGTTAAATAATCCTTTAAAGCTTTTTTGACAGCAAAAATGCTGCATTTTGTATAGATGACATCACTAGTCCAACTCCAGCCACACTGAAAGCCAAGAGGTTACCAAGCAATAAACCTCAGTCGGGATTTCTGCGTGTCTCGGGGCATAAAAGCCTTAAAACGTGAGGTGGGTCTTACTGATCTGTGGGACAAACAGTCCTACTGTAATACCAGAAACATTATTGATCAGTTTGGGGGGAACATTTTTTTAAAAGCTAATTAGTCTTTGCCGAGTGGAATTACTAATGCCGTTTTACACTTAGCACTTAGCGGTGCTTTTCATCTTCAAAGTGCTTTGAAAACATTAACTAATTAATCATTAGCTAATTTAGCAACTGACGATAAAAGTTAAGAGACTAAGAGACGGCAGACTCCACGAGCGTTTTCTGCACAGAAATCCCTCTATATGAAGCAAAGGCAGGGAAACTGGAGGGGAGCTGCGGGGCAGGTCACCAGGTGCTAGCAATTTTAGGGGACACTGCTCAGGTAATATCTGCAGAGAACAGAAAGAAAATCCTTTAGATACACACTCTTGGACAATCTTAACAGATAATAGCCAGCTTCTTTTTTAACTTTATATATACATACGCACACACACATATATATCCCATCTCCATCTAAAATGTATATGTGTATGTATACACACACACACACATATAGCACCAACTAAGTAGTGGGAACCCTAGCAAATATCCAGAATATATCAAGATGCTGACAGTTAAAAGTGTGGTTAATAACATCAATATTTCCTAAACAGATAAAAATGGAACAGTGAAGCTATAGACACTTTCTCTTTGGACTCCAAGGGCCTGCTTAGAGTAGCAGTAACCATGGGCAGAGTGGGGGGGGGGGGCAGAGAGAGAGAGAGAGAGAGAGAGAGTGTGTGTGTGTGTGTGTGTGAGTGTGATCATTACCAGCAAACCTTCAAACCTTCCTGGGTCCAATACGACATAATCCATGAATTCTGCCCTGGAAATCAACTTAGTTTAGGTAAACCTGATGCAGAAACATAAGAGAATTCTCCTGCATGTCGTGACAGACCGAATTCTTTCCAGTGGGGCTTGTCTGCTCCGCACTGCAGCCCCATCCATTATGTGAAAATGGTTCCTTGTTTCTCTGAGATATCAGCGGACCGCACAAGCTGAGTTTCTTTAAAAATACAGAGACAGTTCATCTATAGACTTATTCTGAATGAGTGAGTATGTGTGGTCCAGCTCATTTAAAGAAAGAAACACTCCACAAAAGCCACCAGTCTTATAGAAGGTGCTACCAGGGACTGCATATTTGAAGAGCGGATGTAGTACTTTGTATTCAGTTCCTTCCCAATGCCACATACCCTTTGCCTGTGACATGGAAAAGTAAGATTTCAGAATATTAGAAAATGTCAAGTGTTAAAAATGTGTTCATACTCTTCTCGCCTATATCATCAAAGGGTTGGTAAATAAGGGGTGCAGAGACATGTCGTTTACATTTTTCAAGGTATTTTGGAAAGATTACTATCCGACTGAAAACTTTTCACCAAGCAAACTTTGATATTCTTGGTAGATGTTAAAAAGCAACAGAAATAAATAGACCAGGCACATCTAATACAGTAGATCAGTTACTGCAAAATTATTTTGTGTTCTGTTGGAGACATTTAAATGGAGACTGCACACACCTTCTGGGATGAGACTTGAGAGATTTTACTCTTAGATAGAAGCATTTCAGGTTAATACAGAGCTACACTGCTCTAAGCCTGAACTTCACTACAATTTTAACTTCACTAGCCCTCTTGAATATAAGGCCTGTGTCTCCCCAGACTCTAACTTCTTTTCTTACTTTTATCCCAATCTCATCTTTTCTTACAGAGTGATAATTTTTAAAAGCTCCACATTGAAGTTGCAAATTACGTCAAATCCTGAAATTAAAATGTTGTACTTTCCTGTTCAGATTTCCTGTTATAGGGAAAAAAAGAGTTCTCATTTAAAGATGACCTATTTTTCAGTTTATTATTTGCCTTTGAATAGTGAAGCCCCTTAATTTAAACACTTTGAATAAAATAGCTCCGCAGCCCTCTCTCCCATCCCCCATCTAAACCTCTCTGCCTGCCGGAAGATTTCATTTTGATGGCAAAATTTTTCCCTTGCTTTTTGGGGCAAATCTGACAGCGACCTTCCATGAGCCAACCTCTTCCTTTTGTTTCCTCCGGAGAACTTTCAAGGGAGGCCTTTGGAAAGGTCAGGAATGCTCATCAGCCCTGAAGTAATGGAACGTGTAGAATGGAGATTGTTACTCTCCCATTCACGCCGATTCCACCATGTTCTTAGTTCCTTTAAAAATGTTGTTTCACACACCACCATGAATCAAAGCCAGATAGAGACTGGTGAGAACTAATGTATATAAAATTGAAATTAGGATCCTATAACAGTTGTTATCAGTAGGGTGTAATTTTGCCCCCCTCCTTCCCCAGGGGACATCTAACAATGTCTGGAGACCTTGTTGATTGCTTTAACTGTGTGTGTGTGTGTGGGTGCGCCAGTGGCAAGTAGTGGGTAGAAGCCAGGGACACTGCTCACCATCCTACAGTAATTATCTGGCCCCAAATGTCAACACTGTGGAGGCTGAGAATCCCCGCTGTTTACTTACACTTATACCTATACATGGAAAATATTGGCAGCAGCTTTTAGGCAGGAACTTACTCTCTTTTTGCTAGTACTAGTGAAAACAAATTCTTATTTAATTACAGTGATAGTCCCTTCTTGCTTCTTAACTATTGCCTGCCTTAACTGGAATTGCTTCATCTAGAGAGTGGAAAATGGTGACCCTACCTCCTTCCCATTTCTCATTTTAAAAATCACAGGGCGAACCAACCAGAATGAAAGGGAAGCGTGCAAATGAGCAAAGGACATGCCGGTGGAAATGTGGGAATGGCTTACAAAACCTCGGTGAATTCTTATTCTTAAAAGGGACCTTAGATTCTCCATCCCATACCGCATAAGAACATATAAAAAGAGACTTTGTGCTTATGAAGCCGGGGGCTTGATCTGTGTCTGCTTTTTTTTTTTTTTTTCTCCACCTGCTCCTGACCACGATGGTAGTCTTTCCTATTGTGATTTTAGGTATTAAAAAAGAAAAAAAAAACCTTTTGCAGAGCAAATGCTAACACAAACTGCTTGCGAAAAATCACAAGCTAGAGATTGCAGAAAAGGACCCCAAGGTCGCTCGCTGCTGGTGATTATTTTTCTGGGTGTTGTTAACTTGGTCCTCAAGAGAAGTTGGAAGAAGCTAAAAAAGAGAGGCTTTCGCTGGAAATTAAGAAGCAAAATGCTGGGAGGAGATCTCAGAGGAAGAACATAATGATCTATAATAGGAACTGATGTTTCCACAACTATATATATATATATATATATATATCTTATCTTTTTTGAACAGTGAAGGATGTAGGACTGGATGTCTTTCCAGTTACATCTATCAGCCTTTTAAACTAGCTCTGCTGTTTCAAGTGACGTTGAACTTCACTTTTCCAGTAGATGGCATTGTAGTCTGTCCAGTGGAGAAGAGCTTCCTTGAACCAATAAGACTTAATTTTTTTTTCTTCTGAGCAGCTTCCTTGATAATGTCCCCCCTCCCTCTTGCATTAAATACTAGCTTGAGGTTATAAATAACAATCTTGTTTTCGCTAGTTACCTGTAACTCTCAAAAGATTTGACTTAAGAAAAAGAAAAAAAAAGAAACAGTAGATAATTTAATATCCCTATATCAAATGAAAAAAATATAGACTAGATCTGGGAGTATGGCATATGGATAAAATATGCAACTGTTTCAAAATGAGAGCTGATTCTGGTCTTCCTAAGTCTACTTTTCCTATTAATCCATTATGCTTATACCATTTTAGTGTCGTTGTGAAGAGAAGGCTTAAAAAAGTTTTACTCTGTGTCAAAGATTTTTCAGATACAATAGGTTCTTCTTGGCTGAACCCCTAACAAACTTTGCATCTTCTTTATTAACTGTTTTCAAACTCTCTTTATAAAAAGTAATCACCTCTCGGTTTCATGTATATTACCTGTGGGATGAACAATTGCATAATTTTTGGTGAATTATAAATATGATTTTCATGATATTCTGTTTCCTTCATTTAAAACCATTAAACCTAAAAATAATAGCACCAATCGATTGAACCAGCAAGAGTTGTCATTGCTTGATGTTAGAAAAAGGTGCCAATATGTATTTTATTATTATTACTATTATTTTGCTTAGTATTAAATGAGGGTCCCTCACTTTAAGTAGTCAGAATATTACACTGGGTTTCAACCAAAAAGAGAAATGATGGTATGGAGAAGATATATATATGTATATATATTTCTAAAAATCTCATGATGAAGCTTTCTCTGTTAAATATCTTTTTTAAATAAAGAGATTGGATATGTTAACCATTAGAATCAAAATGGATTTTCTTTTTTGGGGGGAGTTGAACTTTGAAGATGAAATCACCATGTTTGTGTATGTCTTTGTGTGTGTTTTAATAGAATCTGAGTTGTCCCTGAAGAATCCTTTTTATCTGTGAGGCTTCCATGTTCTCTTTTTAAAAATATTTTGCTAAAACTTTAATTTTTTTCCTCCGAACAAAATCCTCTTTCCACTGAATATAATCTATATTTCCCTGATAGTCATTTGGTAATAATATTTGACTTCCATTTATCAATACTGTTTCTTTCTATTATTTTTAATCACAAGATTATGAGCTGTGTATTTAGTTATTATTTAAGCTAAATGGTGTCTTTGGCTGTTAGCTCAAAAAGATAATGTCCCAATATCAGGATTAAGTTTTCATCTGTATCAACTGGCTTAAAAATACCCAACTTGATTCCTTTTGAATTAACTGAGTCTTATTTTATTATATTTTTTCAATATCACCAATCACCATAGTAACCACTAGCTGTCAGTTCAGCTTCTGACATTTTTCTCATTTGGTAAGATTTCAGAATTGCCATCCTCCCTGCCAACATGTCATGAACAAGAAAAAAAAATTGCATGAAGAATCTAATGGGTGTCTGGTCTGATTGTCCTCATTTGTGGCAGGAAAGACAAAAACTGATGAATTGTGAAATGTATTCAGAGGGTTCAAGGAAGCAAGTGCCTGGGACCCCCCCCCGACCTAACCCCCCGAACCCAACCATCTCGTTTCTTTTTGTTATGCTTGATGCACCATACATGCTTATTGTGACACTTGGGTTTGTAGAAATTTAAGATTAACAATTTTTACATTCACCCTGCTGATCTCTCTCCCTTACCTTGTTGTTGTTGTTTTTTTTTTTTGAAAGTCATCATTAAAAATAAAGTTACCAGGGCTCGTATTTAGCATGATTTCTCACTCGTATCATAGATTTTTTAGTAAGTCCAAATTGGCTTCACAATATTTAAGATGTGCTTGCAAATGTACAACTCTGCGTGGGAGCCAGATGTGGACCGTGAACCCACACGGTGGGTTTTGTGTCTGTGTGTGAAGGTGGTGGAGAAAGGACATTAGACCCATTTGAAAAAAGAAACAAAGCTCATTCTAGACCTCTTCTAGGGGGTTGTTTTACATGGTTAAGAAAAGTAAGAGAAATGCAGTCTTTTCTAGTTCTTTCCAGCATTCTGGTTTAACAAATGAGTAGGGAAAAAAGCCTATGCTAATGAATTCCTACCCCACATATCCAACTGGGGAGTTGATTAAAGGAACTATTTCTATACTCAAGTATTTTCTCCCTTTTGGTTTCCAGACTTATTTTAGCAAAAAGCAAAAAAAGAAAAGTGATAATGTACTTTAGCTAATGTAAACATACAAATTATTGAATATATGTTACTGATAGGATACACACATATACCCCATATGTGGATCTTATCACTGACACTTAGGCATGACATTTAATATGCATGTGGTCTGAATACAAGTAAATGTATTAAATATATTAGCCTGTGTCTGCATGCATACAGATGGTCATCGTGTTAACATACTCTTTAGCTGCCTAGGTGTACATGGGTGTGGTAAAACTTACGTGTTTTTCCAGAGGTTTTGTTTTTGAGCTAGATCAGTCTTAGAGGATATTTTTTTCATGACTGTCTACAAATTCAGACTCAGCAGCAGGAACTCATTCCAGAAACATAAACCTGATTTGATAAGCAGCTGCAGAATTCAGTGCCTCTTTACTAACGGGTGGACAACCCCAGGATCACGCATGCAGGGATTGGGATGTTTCCATTTCATGTTTCATACGCTGTGGCTTTAGCTCCTTTTAAAAAATTCAGACACTGGACGGTTTGGGGTCGTGTTGTAGAATTTATTGCAGATTTTTATGTACCAGTGTATTTAAATATTACTATGGCTAAGAAGGAATGGAAAGGCCCAGTGAAAAATATCTCCATTAAGGACCAAAGTCTCTTAATTTAAAAAGCAAAATCATGTGTATATATTTGATGCCATTTATATGAATATTAAAATATTTAATGTTCGGTGTAGGTGGATTGATAACATGGTTTTGTCATTGATGATTAATGGTGTGCCAGAAATATACATGCGTAACTGCATACATATGTATCTGGCTATCAGATGTGTGTAAAATAAGCAATCCGGTTCATCATGCTTTTGTTATTTGATTCTTTTTAAATTTAAGCACTTTGGAGAAACCAAATGAATAATGCCAGAATGTTTGCTGCTATTATTATGAACAAATATAACCCTTGAGAAATAACTAGAAAATTGATATCGAATCTCAGGGTATATTTCAAACACATATTTGGAAGTGGAAAAATAGGAAGTATTTTTTGAATACTGGTAAATAAATTTACCTCATAAAAGAAAAAAGCCAGAAAAATATAAATCTTTTAATAAGAAATAATAATATTTTTATATGCTGTATTTTAGAATGAACGGTGTAAACAGAATATACTTTAATGCCTTTATGCTTGATAAGATTTATAACAATAATCAGCAAAACCTTGTAACTGTGTTTGCACCTTACGTGCCTTGAAGCCATTGGATCTTGCAGTTAATTGTATAAATTCCATACACTATGGGAAATCATGATGTATCATTTATATTCAGCATGTGTCATGTGTATAAATATTAAAATATATTAGCCAAAAATGGCTGATTATTCCTCAGACATTTTGCGATAAATCTTATCTTTTTATGGGTTGGGTGAGGGAAACTAAATATTTTATGTTATTTGGAAATACTCCTTAAACAACCTAGATTTATTATTAACATTTTAAACATTTATAACTGCCTTAATGTATTCAGAGTCTTAGCTCACTTAACAGCTATATACCCGGGAAAAGTTCTTTCTGTATGCAGCATGTACTAGCAGTTGAGACTTCACCGTTCTTCAATGTAGTGAATATACAACTGCCTCTGTTGCCAACTGTATGTATATAAAATACCCATTTGTGGATATGTTCAGAGTTATATGCCATTGCTATTGCAGACCAAGATAGGAATAGCATAGTATTTGTGTGCCCAGGGATGTTTTGAAATCTATATCATTGTAATCCTCATCTTTATAAAAATTCTTTAATCTACCCTAAACAGAAAGGCAGGATAATATGTGAATTTTTGTATGTGAATATTCAGTTTTCTTTTCACTGTGTACTTGAGATATTTTTTAAACGTGGGTGGTGTATATTCAAACACAAACAGGTAAGTCAAATATACAAAGGTTTGATGTAATAGCAAATGTAAAAAATTAGGGTGTTACATATTTATTGAGACTGATAGAGAGGCATAATGAATAAACAAACACAGGATTGAACTGTTTTACAAATGTATTTGGCAACTGCCCGTAGCAGTGAGTGTGTACATTTAGAGGGGAGGAAATGTCAGAACAGAGTCTTGTAAATACATGCAGCTGGAAAGAATAAAATAAAAAATGATGACTAGTGCTGACAGGCAGACTTGGGGTGTATGATATACTTTGTTCATTTGATTCTTAGAACTCAGTCGGGGGTTAAATTGGAATCCAGACATCAAAGAATTCTTCCACCAGACCCAAATTTTGCCCGTATAATTTTTTTTCTTACAGTTGTCATAATTTTAGCTAATTTCACAGTGCAATAAATTTTTACCGTTTGAAGTCTTTTTTCTTCCTAAATATGCACACAGTATGTATATAATATATCTTATGTGAACTCCCCACACACTTGATACTGGGTACACCTACACTTAAAAATGATAGGCACACACATATGTAGATTACATATGTGCCTATAATATGAATGTTCACAGACAGAGGAAGAAATGGCGTAGGCAGCTATTGCATTCATCTGACCCTAATCCTGAGATATTGAAGAGAAAAGGCTGACTGTTTTCAGTAGCAATACCTTTGTTTCTTTTTTTTTTCTTCTTACTTTTTTTTCCTCTCCTGACTGTTGTGTCTGAAAATGTTGGAGGCATGTGGTGCTGCAAATTTGGAGCTTTTGCAGATTTCTGTATGATTTTTATCTGAAGGTCAGGGCTGAGGAAATACATCAGGTGGGGATGTTTGCCGTTTGCCATTTAGCCTTCCTCCTCTTATCAGATTATTTAGTCACGTGAGCCACAAACAGGGAACTCCTCTAAAGAGAGAGTAAAAATCAACATTATTTGATTCATATGCATTTTTTTCCTTTCTAAAGAGTCATAGCACAATTTCCATGTATATTTAACTTTCAACATTCCTTAGGTTTGTAGGCTTATGATTATGATGCCATCTACCATTTGCATTTCTCAAATAAAAATGTTAAAGGTAAATATGTTTTTTTTCTCTGTAAAAAGTAAAAACAGTGATAAATCACATCCATAAGGGAATGTGTCATTTCTGAGCCATTGGTGTGAGCTCACTATACTTCGTTTTAGCTTAATATGCCACTTAGGATAAAGAAACACATAAAATGAGTGGGAGGATTTTCTCTATTTGTGTTTTCCATGGATCTAAGAGTCTTGTTTTGTAGTTGATGAACTTGTTGCTTTTCAAATGAGATTTGCTGCTGCACACTTGGCTAATTTGGTCACCACCACCCACTACCACCCACCACCCACTACCACCCACCACCACCCACCACCCACCACCACCACCATCCACCGCCACCCAACCACCCACTACCACCCACCACCACCCACCACCCACTACCACCCACCACCACCCACCATCCACCACCACCCACCACCCACCACCACCCACCACCCACCACCACCCACCACCACCACCATCCACCGCCACCACTACCACCCACCACCCACTACCACCCACCACCCACCACCACCACCATCCGCCACCACCCACCGCCACCACCATCCACCACCACCGCCACTCACCACCCGCCACCCACCACCCACCCGCCACCTGCCACCACCCGCCACCATCCACCACCCACCACCACCCACCACCATCCACCACCCGCCACCACCCACCACCCACCACCATCCACTGCCACCCACTGCCACCACCCACCACCCACCACCACCCACCACCTGCCACCCACCCGCCACCCGCCACCACCCACCACCATCCACCACCCACCACCACCCACCACCCACCACCATCCACCGCCACCCACCGCCATCCACCAGCTACCACCACCACCAACCCCCGCCACCACCACCAGAGTAGCTAACCAAGTTATGGTTTCCATTCCATGAAATTAACCTTGTTTATGGAAGCCCCACATGGAGAGAGAGTTTCATACCATGAAAGGTGTGAATTAAGTTTTTTAAAGATAACTGTCCGACAATTCATGTACTATTCAGAGGGCATGCAGAGCCAAGGAAAATGAGCTTTGTTTCCTGATATTAAGAAAGGATCACCTGGCCTGGCAGTGGCTCATGCCTGTAATCCCAGCAATTTGGGAGGCTGAGGCAGGCTGGTCACTTGAGGCCAGGAGTTCAAGACCAGCCTGGCCAACATGGTGAAACCCCGTGTCTACTAGAAATAAATAATAATAATAAGTTAACTGGGCATGGTGGCAGGCACCTGTAATCCCAGCTACTGGGGAGGCTAAGAGCCTGGGAGGTGGAGGCTGCAGTGAGCCAAGATCACGCCACTGTGCTCCAGCCTGGGCAACAAAATGAGACTGTCTCAAAGAAAAAAAAAAAACAGGGATGTCCTCTCTTTTATATGGGGAGTGATTGGAGGACAGCAGCCATATTGGAGAATAAGCAGCATTCAGAATAAGTGTTGGTCATGGCTTTTGGGAACCAATTGCGGAATGCCTATTGGCTTTCGAGATTATTGGGTCACTAATTAGGGTTCACATTCCATCCAATCATTCACTTACAATTCAAAATGTGAATATTGATCGCAAAACTGGGTGTACAATCTTACAGTTAGACCTATAAAAAATACTCGGTGACCTTCATTATGGTGAACCTGCCAATTTTCATAAGTACAATTACTCTTCAAAATAATTTTCAGGGAGTATGTCTCATTGGGAATTATTAAGAGGAAGCCCAGTTTCATTTCCATAAGCATCTATATAGTTCAGGTGGCTCTGTGTCTGCTTGTTGCTTTTCAAGGTGATTATTTATTTTGTTAGCAAGTCTAACTATGGTCTCACTATGAAACAACTACCACCAGAGGTATCTAATAGGAACTTCATTTTTTTTTTAAAGAGGGATTGATGAGAGACTGCCATAAGCTTTGTTATGCTGGCCTTTGCAAAAGATAAACATTTGCTTTCCATCTTGATGTCATCTTTTCAGGTTATTATTTGGTCACTAATTTATTTCACCATTAGCAAATTATGGGAGATGACTGCTTGGATGCATTCAAAGCACCAAGGGGCTGTGGTCCTGTGGCTATTTCAGGCAAAGTCATAAGCACACACACTCTCTCTCTCTCTCTCTCTTTTTTTTTTTATTGTCCTCCCAGGGAGCAAAATTTGAACTTAATATTCCATGAAATAAGCCATTGTAATCACGTTGGGTTAATAGAAGAAGTAAAATTGCCTCTCCTCTCACAAGACATTAGAGCAAGGCTGCGTTATTAAAGTTTTCTTGCGGACAGGCGGTTTAAAATATATCCTCAGTGGCTGACGCAAGTCGTTTCAGTGTGGATGACAGCTTTTCAGATCTTAATAGCCTGCTCATTCCTGGTGCACAACTTTCCAGCATTTCTTGCTTTCCAGTCAGGGTGTGACATGAGGGCTAAAATCCAGTGTAATTGAGCACCATGTGCTGTGCCAACCTTGACCCCCTAAGTAGCTTTATGTAAATTTGTGTCAATAAGTAAACAATTACAACTTGTAAACACTATTGATTTGGGATACCTATTCTCATCCGTCTGACCCACGAAAGTCTCTTGCATGGCTTCCTTGCAATCTACAGCTCCCTGGTACATACGATATGGTCATGAGAGTCTAGCAGGGGTATTGGTTTGTGAATTGTTGAGTCAATGCAAAACACGATTCAGATTAAAAAAATTGCCCATTGAGTCATTGTTGGTTTTATGGTGATCTAAATATAAGGAAAGGTTTTAAGAAGAAAGTGGGGAGGTATTTATGTGTCTTTCCTCCACCCACGCCTGAGTTGCTGCCTGATACCTGCTGATGTTCGTGCTCAGATATAGCTAATACAGGGAGAGCAGGTGCTGCCCGCCGGGCCCCACAACAAACTTCAACACTTCCACAGTCCTGAATTGACTTTGAACTTAATTTGAATTGGGGAATAGAACTCAGAATGCACTTTCCTCTGAGTGACTTTTTGAGCACAGAGAAGGAAGAGGAGTGTGCTCTCAGACGCTTTGCAAATGCCATTTTCCTAGTCAAGTCTTGTCCAAGAAATAAAGAATAATGGGCACTTGTCTGGCTATTCCTCAGTTCCTTAAAAAAAGGGGGATTTGTTTTGAGCGTTGACGTGGACTAGTGTGAAGCCGCTTTGGCTTTTTCCTCCTTCCGCCCTCGTTTTGGTTTCTCTCTCCTTGAGTCTTGTCTCTCCTCCGTAGGACTGAACAGATGCATGGCACACATGTGGGGCGGACGCTTCGTGATTCCCAGGATTGGCTGCAGGCAATGCTTTGTTACTGCCATTGCCTTTGGCTTGCTAGTTGAGATGGAATATGTAACTTGGATGGCTTGTCTAATGCCCAGTGGTACGGGGGAGATTCTCTCGAGGTCCCTGAATTGCACACAATGCAAACAGCAAACCTTGATTGTATGTAAATTGATTATGAGGGACCTATCTTTCTTTATCCCTAAAGATGACATATAACTAGGTTTCTAGTGAGGAAGATGGAAAAGATGAAATTTTGACCTTCCTACGTATACTCTGTATTCAGAAATAGCTCAATAAAGAGTCAAAGGTTTTCTTTTCCAAAGATTCAAGAAGCTTTATTAAACTACTTTATTCCCAGTTAGAAGCTTGACACTGAGAGAAGATACACGAGAATTGGACTGAATGAAATGAATGTTTATTGAGCATCTGCTTTGTTCCAGGCACTGTCCTGGGGCCCCAAGATTCCACATATAAGAGACTTAATCTCTGTCTGTAAAAAACTTGCTAAAGCAGGAGACCGCTACCTCCCTCTAAATAAACAGGAAGCCCGGTTAAACATTATGAAGTTCCTTTTGGTTTCTCTCTAAGTCTTATGTATCATGAATACTGTTACCTCCACAGCTTTATATTGGGGTAGTTGGCTTCAGTAGGTCACATACCAGAACTTATAGATAGAAACAAGTTAAAAGCTGCCTAGTTTTTATTTTCTGTCCCAGTATATATGTAAGCGCCTATTTCTTTCCCATGATAATCCTTAAATACAGTCATGCAAATACACAAATAAGTTATGTATGTATATCCTGCGTTTTCTAAAGCATTTCTCCAGTTATCTTTTGCATGGGCAATCCCTTTGTAGTAGAGTGTATTTTATCTATGGTGCATAAACAGTTAGCCTTTTGCCTGTGTAACTTTTGCTTGAAGACAGTTCTCTGCAGTTGCTTAGCGTTTGTGGTATTGACATAATTCATTCTCAGCTGATAAGTTTTAGCCCTTTTCCTTCATCAAATGGCATCTAAAATTTAGCTAAACATTCCCTCTGTGTTTACTCTTCAAGTTGATTTGGGTGGTCGGGGCTGTTTGCTTATTCATGAGTCATATTTAAAATGCTGTCTTTTCTAAAACACCCTGTAGGTTGCTCTACTATGAATTTGCAGCTCTGCGACCAACTGTGTTTCAAAAGTTGTACAATTTATGTGTGCCTTGACCAGGATAAGGTTTTTAAAAGAGTGTTGTGAACATGACTAGCTACTGGGGAGGTTAATGTGACATATTCTTAAAGAATAGTGACCTGGACAAATCCCGCCAGAGCACTCACTGGACCTTTCCTCCTAGTTTAAATTGATCAGGACAACATTGACCATTTTTGAAGGGGACAAGTTCCAAGGCAAGGAAATGGTGTAAAGAAGATTATGAAATCATGAGAAAGAATGAAAATGCTATTTTAAAAGCAGGTCAATAGCTGCTTTAAAGCCTTTAGATTATAAATTGATCATGCAGAGTATTGACATAAAAATATGGAGCTTGGCAATATGGCAGGACAAGAAGGAAAAGCTGCTCATTAAAAAAAGAAAGAAAGAAAGAAAGAAAGAAACCCTTCAGTGTACACTTAGTAATTTTGCACTGGGATAGCCTTTACATTTAAGTGAAAAAATTTCAGTTAATATGCTTAGGTTTTTTACAGTGTCTAAGGAGTTGTCCTTAAGGGGAAGTAAGTTTTGCGTTCACATGGTAAAATGCACAGCATACAACTTTCAGAGGGGGACAGAGGGAAGCTGTGGGAATGCCACTCAGCAACTGTTACATTGTTTAAATCTTTTTTGTTTGTTTGAGATGGAATCCTGCTCTGTTGCCCAGGCTGGAGTGCAGTGGCGTGATCTCCGCTCACTGCAACCTCTGCCTCCCAGGTTCAAGCAATTCACCTGTCTCGGCCTCCCGAGTAGCTGGGATTACAGGCACATGCCACCAGGCCCGGCTAATTTTTTTGTATTTTTGGTAGAGACAGGGTTTTGCCATGTTGGCCAGGCTGGTCTTGAACTCCTGACCTCAGGTGATCGCCTGCCTTGGCCTCCCAAACTGCTGGGATTACAGGCGTGAGCCACCCCACTTGGCCGCATTGTTGAACCTTGACTTCAGAGGGTGATGTGGACACTGTAGATTTCACCATCAGGTTTTCTATTGTCTGTATTCGTTATGGCTCTTTGTTACACATGCCGAAATGAACTCTGGGCTATTTAACGAACGGGGATTTATTGGGAGGAAAAGAAGAACAAAAAGCATCAACCAGAGACAAGAAGACCAGGTTTAGGGAGGGGCAGGAGAAGGGAGCTCCGAGGGCTGGAGGTATGAAGAAGGAAGCCTGGCACCCAGCGCTAGGGAGAATGGCCTGGTTGGCCGGCCCTCATTGCTGCTCTGATGAAAGACTCACCATGTTCTCACTGTTCTTGTGTTCAAGATGCAAAGTCCTTTGAGAGGACATCACCTTGGTCAAGCTGAGGCCACAGGCCCACCTCTGGGAAGTATCAGAACGCTGCCAATTCTCAAATGACAGTGAGGCACCTGAACCCACCTTCTCAGCAAGCCTAACCTAATGGAGGGGATACAATTATCTACAGATATCAGAGTGCATTTGGGAGGGGGAATGGGTACATCAGATGCCCAGAAAAACGATAGGTGTCCACTATACCTTCTTACTAAACATACTTATTAACTATCACAACTGTAAAGTGTTAAGTACCATGAGGATTAGTATAAACGAGAAAAGAACACTGGTCTGTAAGCCTGTTATTGTCAGTGGTCAAACTAAGAAGCACTAAGCCTAAAATATCGGGGAGAAACCCCACCTTGGCTTTGTCTGAGATTGTGATTGACTCCAAGTGAAGGTCACCTCCGTGGTCCTTTTGTGGTTCCCGTGATGCTGGGGAGCATCGGCTTTGCAAGTGGTGAGCAATCCACCTTACTAAGCTACGTGATGTCTAGGTGCATGGGTGAGTGAAGCAGAACCCAGCTCAGGATCTGGCTGTACCCCACTTACTTGGGCCAGAGACCCAGTTTCCTCATCTGTGAGATGGAGCTCATGAAAATGTCGAAGTGTTGGTTTGAACATTGCATGAGATAGCTCACGCAAAGCATCTCACACTGGAATTGGCTCATAGAGAGTCTTCAGCAAATGGAGTCATGGCAGGCACTGTAAATGCCTCATCCCAAAGCCCTCTGGCCCCCGTCTCAGTTCACCTGTAGTTGAGGTGGGGCAGTTCCAGGCTGTCTACAGCCTCTCTCCAAGGTCTCTGTTTCTCAGTCTATGGGATGCCTCTGGGCCAAGGACATAGCCCAGCCCAAGCACAAGACGACGTGAGATGCCAGAAATTGAATGCCCTCAGGGGCAATCCCAAAGCAAGAAGGGACATGAAGGGAGTTGGCGGATAAGAACTGCACTTCTCCAGCCCTTGGAGGGACAATTCAAAGACTTTTCTATGTGGTTTCCCTAGAGCTGCCTTGGCAGGATGAAGCACTAGATGCCCGTAGCTGTCAACAGCTCACCAGGCCATTATTTTCTGCCCTTTTCCTACTCCTTCACGTGTCCTTCCTGTGTTTACCTCCCAAATAAACTCCCTGCACCTGTGCTGTTGAATCAAATCCGGTTTCTGAGGGAAGCCCAACTGGAACATAATTACTAAAGGAAGAATTAACTCCAAGAATCAAATCTATTCCGGACAGATAAATACATTTTTCTTCTTTTCTTTTTTTGGGGCCTGGAGTAAATAATGAGAGAAGGAAGAAAGACAAAAATAATTTGAGGCCCAAACTCTTTGAAAAGTGATGGACTTTTCATGAGTTTTCAGGAGAAGTGGGAGTGACGGGCATTTGTCTTGTTTGGAGAAAAGTGTGTTCTTCCGGGGGTGGTGGCTCATACCTGTAATCCCAGCACTTTGGGAGGCTGAGGCGGGCAGAGTTCAAGACCCACCAGGGCAACATGGTGAAACCCCATCTCCACTAAAAATACAAAAATTAGCTGGGCATGGTGGCGTGCACCTGTAATCCCAACTACTAGAGAGCTGAGGCAGGAGAATCCCTTGAACCTGGGAGACGGAGGTTGCAATGAGCCGAGATCGTACCACTGCACTCTAGACAGGGTGACAGGGTGATACTCTGTCTCAAAAAAAAAAAAAAAAAAAAAAAAAAAATTAGCCTGGCATAGTGGTGTGCACCTGTAGTCCCAGCTACTTGGTAGGCTGTGGTGAGAGGATTGCCTGAGCCCGGGAGATTGAGGCTCAAAAAAAGTGTGTTTTAAGATTGAGAACAGGATTCTCAAAGCCATTCCTAGGGCAGTAGCATGTTTTGTTTTATTTTGTTTTGTTTTGTTTTGTTTGAGACGGAGTCTTGCTCTGTCCCCCAGGCTGGAGTGCAGTGGTGCGATCTTGGGTCACTGCAAGCTCTGCCTCCCGGGTTCACACCATTCTCCTGCCTCAGCCTCCAGTGTAGCTGGGACTACAGGTGCCTGCCACCACACCCGGCTATTTTTTTTTTTTTGTATTTTTAGTAGGGATGGGGTTTTACCATGTTAGCCAGGATGGTCTTGATCTCCTGACCTTGTGATCTGCCTGCCTGGGCCTCTCAAAGTGCTGGGATTACAGGTGTGAGCCACTGTGCCTGGCTGGCAGTAACATGTTTTAACAGATGACTGGATGCTTCTCTGAGTCACGGCAGTTCAGATTTACCCCAAATCAGGACCTGGAACATGGTGCCAATGGCCCAGAACTGGGAGTGAGTGGGAGGAAGAAAATAAACAAGGTGCAATTGTGTAATTGTGAACAAAGCCAAGAAACTATCTAGAATATAAGAGAGTTGGGAGGTTAGGGGATCTCAGTTCCAGGAAACTGGGGTATGAAGAGCTTCCCCAATGAACACATGGCGTGCAGGCTTCAGGGAGGTGCCTCATGCCCACCCCACACCGGCCCCAAACCCTTCCCATACATGTCTTCCAGTTTCTCTGATGTTACTGTCTTGGGGGCCTTAACATCTCTGCATGGCCTATTTGCATAGATTCCAGGCCTTTCATTTTTTTAACTTATTTTCAGATCCCAATTGCATCAGTTAGCATTTGCTGCATAAGAAACCCTCCCCAAACAACAATCATAAAGTTGCTCACAAATCTGTGGGTCAACAATTTTGGTGGGGTTCATCTAAGATGCTCACTTCTGGTATTGACTGTGATGACTCATTTTTCTGGGACCTCAGCTGTGACAGCTGTGATGCCCAGGTCTGTCTTTCATGTCATCTCTTGTGCATAAAGAAGCTAGCCTGGGCTTGTTGACATGATGTCAGAGATGTTCCAACAGCAGTAGAGAAGAAGCTGCAAAGTCCCTTAAGAACAAGGCTCAGAACTCACATCAGGTTACCTGTGTCAGATTGTATTGGTCAAAACAAGCTGTGAGGCCAGCCCATATTGAAGGGGTAAGGGAATTGTTGTCTCCTCTTACTGACAGGAGCTGCAATGAGTATGTGGCCATTTCCAGTTTATGACACCAATTCAAATATTACTTTATTGGGTATTGGGATGCCTAATGGCTCCCCTGCCAGGCTATGTCAAGTCCACCTATTTTATTTTCTTTATTATTGATTGATTGATTGATTGAGACAGAGTCTTGCTCTGTTGTCTGGGTGGGAGTGCAGTGGGGCGATCTTGGCTCACTGCAACCTCCACCCTCCTGGGTTCAAGCAATTTTCATGCCTCAACCTCCCAAGTAGCTGGGACTACAGGCGCCAGCCACGATGCCCAGCTAATTTTTGTATTTCCAGTAGAGACAGGGTTTCACCATGTTGTCCAGGCTGGTCTCGAGCTCCTGGCCTCAAGTGATCCTCCTCCCTCAGCCTCCCGAAGTGCTGGGATTACAGGCATAAGCCACTAGACCCAGCCTACATATTTTATTTTCCCCAAGTATTTTGTGAATGTTTGTTCCACTCTAACCTCTGTGTTTATCACGGTATCTTTGGCATTTAGCATAGTGCTTGTCACAGCGTAGTTAATGAATGTTCCTTCAGTGAATGAAGGATTGCTCTGAGGGCAAGTATATTAACGTTGACTACGTTAATAGGGAAGCCATTCTGGAGGAGGCTATAGAAATCAGACTTGGAAGCTGAAAGAAGACCCTTGTGCTGTGTTTGCTGAGATAAGTTATGTGTAAATTCATGAAGTCAGAACTGCAAGTTCTGGCAATGGATTGTAAACATGCCAATAATCTATTAGGCAGGTAGATAACACACACCAAAGAAGGACATTTTTTGGCAAGCTTAGATAAGGCAAATGCACAAGGTGAGATAACTTAAAAAGCCCTGGCTTTGTGACTTGAAGCTGGAATTACTATTCGTAAGTTTTGAGGAGAGGTGGGAGTGATGGGTACTTGTCTTGCTTGGAGAAAAGAGCGTGATCATTTTTCTATCTGAAAAATTTGACTATATGCATATTAAGCAGAATTCAGTAACTAGTAAAAAATTATGACTGTGAAAAGATGGATTAGAACATGTTTCATTTCGGCACTTATTCTTTCACAGAACATCTATTGAGCTCTTCCTGAATATGATATACAATACACTTCGCTAGATGCTTTGCAAGACATAAAGAAGGCATAAAAATTCCATGCATTATTAGGGTATAGTGGAACTCTAAGGTATATGCACACATGACCATCGTATGATATAGAAACTGATCTATGTTGGAATGAAGGCCATGTAAAATAACTTGAGAATGCAGAAGATGATCAGCAGAACTTAAGCAGATGGTCACCATCACCGTATGTCTTTTATTGCCTTTCGGATTTTTTTCTGAGACTGAAGACTGCCCTTCTATGTATTCTGCTCTGTGTGAAGACTATCTCCCTTTGGACACAAGGGTGGCTTTGGTTTATATAAGCCATCTCACAGTCTTAGGCAAAAGGAAGGGTGTTTCCTTTTGGCGTCCTGCTGTTCACACTCTTCAGTCCTGATCCCTTCTGGATCACCCTCCATCTGGGTCCACCTTCTGGGGCCATTGTTCATGATCCTACTCTTTATGCCCATTGCCTACCTATTAAAGCTTCACTTTCAATACCCCATTCCTCTAGGGACTGCTTCTACTAATTTATTTATTTATTTATTTATTTGTTTATTTTGAGACGGAGTCTCGCTCTGTCGCCCAGGCTGGAGTGCATTGGCACGATCTCCGCTCACTGCAACCTCCGCCTCCCGGGTTCAAGCCATTCTCCTGCTTCAGCCTCCTGAGTGTCTGGGATTACAGGCGCCTGCCACCACGCCCAGCTAATTTGTTGTATTTTTAGTAGAGAAGGGGTTTCAGTATGTTGGCCAGGCTGGTCTCCTGACCTTCTGATCCATGCACCTCAGCCTCCCAAAGTGCTGGGATTACAGGTGTGAGCCACCACTCCTGGCCATGCTTCTACTAATTAATCTGTTACAGTTGTATGAACCACGAATCTTCTGGAGATAACTTACTCTAAAGTTGTATGATGTGTAGGTATCACGTCAGGCTAACGGGTTGAGATTTTGTTATAGGTAACTTTCTTTACATTGATTGATTGATTGATTGTACAGGGTCTCACTCTGTCACCTGGGCTGGAGTGCAGTGGCGTGATCACAGCTCTCTACAGCCTCTTCCTCCTGGGCTCAAGTGATCCTCCCACCTCAGCCTCCCAAATAGCTGAGACAAACAGGCATGTGCCACCACACCTGGCTACTTTTAAAATTTTTTTGTGGAGATGGGGTCTTACTGTGTTGCCTAGTGTGGTCTTGAACTCCTGGGCTCAAGGGATCCTCCTGCCTCAGCCTCTCAAAATGTTGGGATTATAGACGTGAGTCACAGCAACCGTCCTCGTCACATCTTTCTATACTTCTTTGGTCTGGCTAATTAGGATGGAATTACAAGCATTGGAGGTGACAGAGAAGAAGTTAACATACATAGATTTTTACTATGTGTCAAGCATGTAACCAAGAACTTTCCAATATGTAGTTGATGGGGTTCTTAGTTACCAAAAACAGAATTCACTTTTGGTAGTTGAAACCAAAGGGGACTTATTAAAGGATATGGTAGCTCCTATAATCAGTGAGAAGCCCAAGTTGGGCTTCCAGGACGGAACCTAGAAACATACCCCAGAGTAGACCAGCCATGGGAGCTGCAGCCTTTACTGTGATCAGAAAGCTGGTGCCATGGCTACTGGTTTCAGAACTATGTGGTACCTAGTGATCTGGGCCCACAAAATGAATGCTCAGCACTTGGTCTCTCCCTAAACAAACTAAAGAATCTAAATTACAGGGGCAGCTAGGAAATGTAACTTAGATTCTTCCTTGGGAAGGTGGGTAGTTAACTATAGATAACTTTCAAAATGTGGAAAGGAGCTTCCAGAGATTTTGAGATGTGACGACTGCAGAAGTCCTCTCGACAAAACAAATGACACATTTTGAATATTTTACTTCCATATGAATGATTTCTTCTAAACTGTAGTAATCAGGTATTAGTGCCTCCTCTTTTAAGGTTAGGGAAAAAGGTACAGAGAACCAAATAATTTGTACACAGAAATAGCATTAGGATTAATTCTATTTCTGTGTACAAATTATTTGCTGGGATTACAGGTGTGAGCCACTGTGCCCGGCTGGCAGTAGCATGTTTTAACAGATGACTGGATGCTTCTCTGAGTCACGGCAATTCAGATTTACCCCAAATCAGGACCTGGAACATGGTGCCAATGGCCCACTACTGGGAGTGAGTGGGAGGAAGAAGATAAACAACGTGCAATTGCATAATTGTGAACAGAGCCAAGAAACTATCTAGGATATATTAGGGGGTCTCAGTTCCAGGAAACTGAGGTATGAAGAGCTTCCTCAATGAACACATTTGTGTGTAAAGATTATTTGTACACGGAAATCACCCGACTCTAACCTCCCCATATTTCTTTGGCATCTTTTTTGGTTGTATTAAAGATCATTTTTCCCTCTGGCTTTGGAGATTGTCTCAGGAGGCAACCATCACCTAGAATCTCAATGGTTAAGCAGACAATTTTGATTCTGAGAGTGAAATTCTTTAGAAATATTTGCATAAAACATGCTGGACTTGGTGGCTCATGCCTGTGATCCCAGCATTTTGGAGACCGAGGCGGGCAGATCACTTGAGCCCAGGAGTTCAAGACCAGCCTGGGCAACATGGCAAAAGACCATCTGTACAAAAATACAAAAAAAACCATCCAGGTGTGGTGGCACTTGCCTGTAGTCTCAGCTACTCAGGAGGCTGAGGTGGGCGAATTACTTGAGCCCAGAAGGCCAAGGCTGCAGTGAGCACCACTGCACTCCTTCCTGGGTGATCCTGTCTCAAAAAAAAAAAAAAAATCTGCAAAAAATATACAAGCAGTGTTATTTCCATCATAGAACCTACACAAAGTAAACTAAGAGAATATTACCTCCCCTCCCCATATAGAACTTTTGCCTGGGAAGGTGCAAGGTGGAGAAAACGGTGAGTGGGGGTTGGGGGAGTGGCCCCTGACACTTGTTGTTGAGGCTTTTATGGTGAAGCTGGGCTAATGTCTTTAATCACTTCCAAAGGAATGACAAGCAGAGTTCTGCACGGAGAAGGCCTGAACTTTTATCAAGTGCTAGCGTCTTTAGGAGACAGCATGGGAGAAATATAAAACAGGCCGAAGGAAGGTGAAGTGTCTGCTTTGTTTCACGTTTTCCTTTCTACCAAGATATAAGTGAGATCTTTCTATAAAGACCAAAATGGCTCCATGAGAATTGGCGTAGTAGACAAGAGGTCTTTTTACTTTTTATGTGATGCATTTGTATTGAAAACACATGTTGGAGACCAAAGTCATTTTCTTTACAGACAATGAATCTTACAACTGGTTTGAACAATTTCTTAGAACTCAAGTGCTTTACTACTCCTCGTGATTGGTGGGACTAGAAAAATTGCCAAAAAAAAAAAAAAAGTAAGGGAATGAAAAACAAGGAAAGCAGAAACAAAATGGAAGAGTTTGAAAAGTTGCAAGAAATTATGAAGCACAGAGAACCTTCAAAAGGCCAGTGATTCCGCTGCTCTTGGGACATTTTGGTTACTTTTGCTAGCCACATACTTGGGGGAACATTACATTTGTCATTTTTCAAACTGTTGGGAATTTGGTAATTTATCAATGTTTTTTCTTAACTAGAAAAGAAAGCTTTTGGAGGTGGAGGAGGGGCACGTCAGGATGGTCTCGCTTCAGAATGGTTCTTCTTTGCTATTGTGTCTTTGTTCACATCCGGCAATGATCAAGGCAGTATCTTTAAACAAAAGTGAAAAGTTGCTGTGACCTTCACTGTCAGGCTCAATTTGAACTGGGCCACAGGACTTTGCATTTTATTTTTTAAATTAGCTGTGCCTGTCTCTTGGTGTTTGTCTACAGGCCGCCCCTGCTGCATGAAAAAGACAGACAGTGGGATGCTTTTACTTCGTCGGATGTTATCTTCATTTCCAAATAAACAGTACCGTGCTAGGTTGTAAAAAGGCTCTGAACCCAAGTACGTCTTGCTGACATTGTGTGAATTTTATATTTAGGCTTTATTAATATATGAAGCAGTCTTGTCTTTGATTTTGGTCAACTTTTCACCTTTCTCCTTGCTAAAAGAGAACGTTTCTCCTTTTTTGGCTTTTACTAGTGGTGGTGGTGATGTCATTTTTGCTTTTTTGTTATTGCCTCTCTCTTTAATTCCCAGGTATTATCTTGTTAATAGCTGTTAGAATTGTAAGTTCCAAATTCCAGAGCAAGGCTGGACCTAGACATCCTCTGCTCCAGTCCTTCTAGAAGTGAAGGAAACTGGATGATGGAGAAATGCAATGACTTACTCAAGGTCATACACCCAGTTAATGATCTACAGACTTCCATTTGAATCTCTTCCCCTTGTACCAGGTGGCTGATAGGCAGAGAGAGACAGGAGTCAAGGGAGGGCCACTTCTTTCTCTAAGTGAGCACATTAGAGGTTTGAAATGGATCATCATCAAGGCTTTAATTCACAAAATTAAATTAATTCTGACTCCCCAGCCGGGTAACATAACAAGATTTAAATTTAGCGATGTTCTTTTACCATTGTGCCTGGTTATATTGATCATTTTTATGAAGTAGGAACTGGGGGATGTTTCAGAAACTTATATTTACTCAACTGGGGACATCAGTCCTCAACTGGGACCTGCAAATTTTCCTTAGGGAAGCTTTGATCCTAATTCCCCATGTTGGACTGAAATTTGGAAATGTTTCCTCATATTTAGCTGTACAGCTACTTTTCCCCAGGGAAAAGATGGGGATTTACCATCTCCTTGTATCCCCTTAGGTATTGCTTTGTTTTGTTTTTCCAATAGATAAATTAGGCTTGCACAAATCATGTAAGGACAAATAGATGACAGCTAAAAAGGAGGGATGGAAGATGGTGCGTGGTTAGTTCATTTGGGAAAAGCTGGTCACAATCAGATCTTGGGATCCTCTCCTTCACATCTTACATGTCTCATAATGTACTGAAAGCTGTGGATTATTTTGGTGCTAAGAATCCCATCATCATGATATGATCTACCTGAAAACCCCGTATTAAAACCACACTGCACTGTGATCACCTTCCATTTGCTGAAGCTCCCTGGACATCTTTTGTGTTATCTTTGTGTTTTTATATGTGGAAGAGTTTAATGTTGAATTATTCCTCCCAAATGCAAATGCTAGATTAACCCATATGTCATCTATTTACAAGACACTGTGAACACTGGCTTTCTTTTACAGTGGATGAGACAATGTGTGGCAATATTTCATGAAGGCATAATAATGCTATGCAAGGCCCTAAAATATAGTGTGACACAGTGCAATTCATGGAAACATAATCATTTCCTTTCAAAATGGCAAATGTAGTTTCAGTGCTGAAGAACTCAGCTCGGGCCATTGTTACGGATGGAAATCACCTCTTGTCATCAGAGCATCTAAGACTGTATCAAGATCAGCAGCTGTTCTCACTAGAATGGTGCATCTTTCAATATTCAGGTCTTCCCAGGGGTTCTTTGACATGGTCTGAAACTGTTTCTATTTTATTTATGATTCTCAGTCTTGTAATATCACTGTTTACTAGATTTGTACCTACTGAGCTTTTCTTGTATTGGATGCCCCAACCCTCATGTGCATGGGGGAAAGAGGCATTGCAGTGCAGGAGAAGGCTTTTTGCTAGATTTCATTAGGGACTTCTTCTTCTTCTTCTTCTTTTTTTTTTTTTGAGACAGAATCTTGTTCTGTTGCCCAGGCTGGAGTACAGTGGCCTGATATCAGCTCACTGCAACCTCCACCTCCCAAATTCAAGCAATTCTCCTGCCTCAGCCTCCCGAGTAGCCGGTACTACAGGCGTGGCACCACCAGCTCTGCTAATTTTTGTATCTTCGGTTTCACCATGTTGGCCAGGCTGGTCTCAAACTCCTGACCTCAAGCGATCCATCCACCTCAGTCTCCCAAAGTGCTGGGATGATAGGCATGAGCCATCGTGCCTGGCCCAGGGACATATTTTTGATTTCTGCAAGATGTCAAAAATGAGGATCAGCCTCTACCAGCCAGAGGACCCTTTTCCTGACATCACATAGAAGGGGAATCTTCTCTGGCTCTCTGTCTTATTGAAAAAGGGCAGAACAAAAACCCTAGCGCAAGTGCAGCATGTTATGACTTACACAGTACCAGGCAGCTCCTCTTGGGGGTTAGCCTTGTTTACTTTGGAGGAACACGTATCCCACGTTTCACGAGACTTCAGTGTAGAACAAACCAAGGGAAATGTAGCTTTTCCTCTCCTCCCCGCTTTTATATTTCTCAGTGGTGTAATAAGGAGGTCTAAGAACAAAGGGGAAACTGTAGTCTTTGATTGGAACAAGTGGGGTTACTTTATGCTAAAGAGAGGGGATGTGTCCCTCCTACCAAAGGACTTGGAGTCTTTATAAACAATCACTTTTTTGACTGATAAACATACTTAGGGAAAAGTGCATTTAGATGCCATCTTTACTCATTTATTCTCCAAACTGTAATACAGCACATTTTGGGTTTCAGTATATTGCATTTTAAAACTAATGATGCATTCATTCTAGAGCAAATCTTATTTCTAAGCCCTAATTTAATAGAATTAAACTCTAAGCTGAATTGGTTTTATGAGATAAAACTCTGAAGTTGATAACTGCATTTAGGAATAGTTCAGGTATTGAGTTTCTAATTTGCTTCCTGAGCATGGAAATCCCTCAGATAATCAATATTGACTACCTTTAATTGGTAGGAAAGGCTCTTCCTGAGTTGTCTGTCTTCTGCTGAAGGAATTACCTCGGCACTCTGTTTGTCTGTGCCGCTCTCTGGCCACCGCTGAGGCGCCCTGGGCTTGAGTTCATTTCACGTTGGACATTCGTTCCTGATCAGTTGATCACAGCAATACTTACCTCTGTTCAAACAACGGTGGGGCATGGAAACATTTTTTCTGTATGCTTTATACAGTTTCTGGGTTTGTTCTAGTTTTCTTTGAGGGTTATACATTTAGTCTGTATTGCAGACATTATTGTTTTTATTCCATGGAGGCAGAGGGCAGGCTGGTCAAGATAAGATTAGAGCTTTCCAAAGGGTGGGAACATTCCTGATTATGGTATAACCCTGCAAATCAGTTCTAATACCGTCTAAAAAGGAAGATCCTGCTAATTGTTAAATGAAGTATTCACAGATGCTACAGGCATTTGGAAATGGATTTCTTCAAATCCATTAAAAATCAGATGCTGGCTTATTTTGGAAGAGAAAATATGTTTTAAATATGAATGTGAAATACAAGCAAATATGTATTTTTCTTTTGGAGCAGAGGATATCCATTAATCTCATCCTTGATTGAAATCCTCTAAGAAAGAATTTTTTTCCCCCTTGCCAAGGGGTGGGGGTTGGGGGGAGTAGATGTTGTTTAAAGGAGTTAAGTTTGAATACCATAGAACTGTTACTGCGTCCAACCTTGTTTTTCAGAAATGAGGCAATTTAAAATTTTTATTGTTTCTTTTTTCTTATTATCAAGGTGAGACATGCTTAGTGTAAAACGTTTTTTTAAAACTATGGAATAGCACACAAAATAAAAAATAAGGTGTAATCCCACCACCTACACGTAGTCACTGCCAACATTAAAGAGTATGTAACCTTCCCTCTCCTTCCCATGCATATATAAGCTTTTGTATAGGTTATAAAATTAAGATCAAAATGTACATAAGTCTTTGTAAACTGCTTTTAAAATGTAAGGCTGTATTGGAAACATTTTTCCATGGTACTAAGTACATGTTTATGACCTGATTTTTTTAGTGGCTCCACAGCATGGATGCACCATAATTTATTTAACCAATTCCCTGTTTATTGGGTATTGATTTTCTTCTGGATTTCTGGTATTATAAATAATGCCATGATAGACAACATTGAACATAGATCTCGTAAGACAGTTTTTAGTGCAGCACTGTGTTATCTGTATGGAAAACCTTGCCCCAGATATCCACACTTTGGGATGCCTTTGCTGAATGTTCCCTGACTTATTTTTTCTCTCTCTTCCATTTCAAAAATTCTCCAAGATGATGATGAGACATTTTCCACATGTAGCTTATTTGGGAAGTTTAGTTTTGTTCTTTAAGTCCTACGTTCTAGTAAATGCTTTCTGAGCTTGTTATGTTTTCCAGAGATGACTAAATCTGTGTTTTTCACTCTTGTCTATAAAGTTGCATTAATTATAAGGTACATGCAGTAAAGGTGAACTAATTCTTAGGAAGAGTTTTGGCACTTGTTTGAAGCTTGTAGGAATATTCCTCCTCCTCCTCCTCCTCCTCCTCTGGAAAAAACCCCGTGTTACTGGAGGCCTGGACAGCTGCTCTGGGGGCTGCCCACCTGCTACAGCCTTGCTGTTTGTGGCTCAGGGAAGTTGACTTCCTCTCTGATAATTCAGGAAGGCCACTGAATGTGAAATCCAGCTTGAGAGGCTGGGAGAGTAAATCGTGGATCTGGCCCATTTCAATGCAAGTAAATTACATTTTGTCAGCTTCATTGCCCTGAATTTCACGGGCAAATGTGGGACATTGAACGAATGGCATTTGACAAAAAAAAAAAAAAAAAAAAAAAGGCTAACGCCTTATTAATGCAAACAATCTCTGATTCAAATGGCTGCAGGCAAGGAGGGGTTGTTATTTCAGTGGAGGCAATTGCTATTTTTCCTTCTGTACATGTTAATTTCTCAGAAAAATGTAAGGTCCTTATTGTTTTTTATTTTGCTCCATGCTGGATTAGAAACACCAGTACCTCCTCGGGAAAAATACTGGCTTGGGGATTGTAGAAACTAGGAGATTTAGAGTTCTTATTCAACCTCAAGGGCCTTTGAATTCTGGTTTATGTAATAACAACATACATGTCCCCTTGAGTTTGTGTTCAGGTACACTCCCTTTAATTGTAGCATCCTTGTGGTTCTTTCTCGGTGCTCAACCTAGTTGAAAAACCCAGATACAAGTGCAATATGGTAAGTGTTTCATGTCCTAGACAGACAATCAAAGGTCTTAGGTTGCCTTCTAGAAATATAAAAATTGTTTCATCTTTTTTTTTTTTTTTTTTTTTTTTGTGGAAGGTGGGAGATAAGTTTCTTTATCGCATCACCTCCAGCAAGCAGACTTAGTATTTTGCCGTGTTTTTTTTCTATTTAACCAGAGAAAATATCAAAATTCACAGAAGCAAAAGTCAATTCATAGTCTAATTCTATATATTCATTCTTTTAGCCATCTTATTTTCCATCTAAAATAAAGACAGATGTGTACTTTTCTTCTTATGAGACAGAGTCTTGCTGTTGCCTAGGCTGGAGTGCAGTGGCACAATCTCAGCTCATTGCAACTGCCTCCTGGGTTCAAGCAATTCTCCTGTCTCAGCCTCCCGAGTAGCTGGGACTACAGGTGCCTCCTACCACGCCCAGCTAATTTTTGTATTTTTTAGTAGAGGCGAAGTGTCACCATGTTGGCCAGGCTTGTCTTGAACTCCTGACCTCAGGTGATCCACCCGCGTCTGCCTCCCATAGTTCTGGGATTACAGGCATGAGCCACTGTGCCCAGCCGATGTGTACTATTTATAATGCTCTTTAAATTTCCCAGCCAAAGAGAACCTGAAACAGTAAACATTCCAACAAGTTTATAAGTAGGTTTGCCCTGACACCACCTGTGTTTGTGGTTTGTCAATGGAGATAAAGGAAAATATCTACTTATATACTCAGATATGTACTTTGACTCTACTCGCAAGCAAAATAAATTGTGCTGTATGCTTTGTTTGTGCTTAGCTGAAAGGCCCTGCAAGAGTCTAACCTTCAGTATCAAAGACAGAAACTCTTTTAGGGTGATCCTGATGGAGGTAGAGAATCGAGATGAATGACCAAGTGATAATAGGAGAACCTATTGTCACTTACAACAATAGGATCACTTGTGAAGATCTTCACAGACTTTGGGAAACTTTTTCAGTCTTTTTTAAAAATTTATTTTAGATTTAGGGGGTATGTGTGCTTGTTTGATACGTGGGCATATTGCATACTGGTGGGGATTGGGCATCTAGTGTACCCATTACCCAAATAGTCAACATTGTACCTGGATGGTTATTTTTCAGTCCTTGTCTCCCTCTCACCCTTCTCCCTTTTGGAGTTCTAGTGTCTATTATTTCCATCTTTATGTTCATTGTACCTATTGTTTAGCTCCTACTTATAAGTGAGAACATGCAGTATTTGGTTTTCTGTTTCTCAGTTAGTTTGCTTAGGATGATGACCTCTAGTTCCATCCATGTTGCTGCAAAGGACATCATTTTATTCTTTTTTATGGCTCTGTAGTATTCCATGGTGTGTGTATACCACATTTTCTTTATCCAGTCAACTGTTGATGGATACTTAGGTTGATGAACACGTAGGTCCATGACTTTGCTATGGGAATTGTGCTGTAGTGACATAGAGGTGTCTTTTTAATATAATGATTTCTTTTTCTTTGAGCAGATACCCAGTAGTGGGATTGCTGAGTCAAATGGTAGCTCTATTTTTAGTTCTTTGAGAAATCTCTGTATTGTTGTCCATCGAGTTTGAACTAATTTACATTCCCACCAACAATGTGTAAGTGTTCCTTTGTTTTGCCACCCATGCCAACATCTATTGTTTTTAAGTTTTTAACAATAACCATTTTAACTGGCATGAGATAATCTCTCATTGTGGTCTTAATTTGCATTTATCTGATGATTAGTGACATTGAATGTTGTTTCATGTGTTTATTGACCACTGATGTTTCTTGTTTTGAGAAATGTCTGTTCAGGTCCTCTGCTCAGATTTTCATGTTTGTTTGTTTGTTTGTTTGTTTGTTTGTTTTACTTGTTGAGCTGTTTGAGTTCCTTGTAGATTCTGGATGTTAGTCCTGTGTCAGAGGCATGATTTGCAAATATTTTTCCCCCTTCTGTTGTCTGTTTGCTCTGTTATTTCCTTTGCTGTGCAGAGCTTTTTAGTTAAGTTCCAGCTTTTTTAGTCTCATCAGCAAATGTCGCAATGTGCAAGGATCTAATCCTAGCCAACAGGATCACATGGAGATGAAACTTTGACCTTGCCTCTTGAGCATCCTTGCCAGGCTTTCTTGCCTGGGTGAGAAAGCTCAGTCTTCCTAGGAGAAAAGTCTGAAAAAGGAGTCAGGGCTGAAGGACCTGAGATTGTGTTATGAGGGTGATCATGACCAATGCCATCATCTCTGTCAAAGATGAGATCATGTCAGTTCATAAACCTTTAGATACCCCTTTTTAATAACAAACATTTTGTTAACATCTTCTTTACCATCCTGCAAAGACATACATAGAAAATATAACCTACCCATTCATGTAATTTTTTAAAAAATCACTAAAATAACCCAACTGTAATATAAAACAAAATGAAAGGAAAACAATTTATATTGAAATATGCATTTTAACATGAAAATGCTCAGGACAACCACATTGGAAAATATAAGAAGTCAGACGCCTACACCTGTGAGTAGACTCACCATTAACAGGCCATCTGCAAATGAGGACTGATGAAGACGTGTTGTGTTGGTGACTTGGTTTCATTAAGTGGCTTTGTCATGATTTTCTGGCATGGTGAACAATAGAGTCTGGAACAAAACAGCCTGCAGTTATCCCTTGACTTACCTGGCAGTTGCATTTCTGGAAAATCCATTTATATTCACCCTGAGCATTAAATCATTTGCTTACATGTGAAAGTATTTAGGTTATAGTCTCAGATAATTATGAACAATTTTTACCTTTGTGAATGTCCAGTGAAACCTTGGGCAATCATTCAGGAGGTAGATGAGACAGTTCTTCACGGTAAGAGATGGCTTTGGATATGCTGGATGTTTGGCATCCCTGGACTTGCCCACTAAATGTCATTAATGCCCTACCTCCCCTATCATTGTGACAATCAAAACTGTCCGAGCAGTTCCAAATGGTGGGACCATTATGGAAGATGGTGGTGTGAGGAGGGACCCAAGACACACACAAATCTGTTGATCCTAATGCCTCAATATTTTTAAAAAAGGCCCTACGATGTCAAACTTAAACACAAGATATATCAATTTAGTATGTATGTTTGATACAATAGTATTGGTTCGTTATTAGAAGATTTCAGTAGGTTCTCAAATTTTAGCTTCGTCGTCCCCTCTAAAGAAGCTTTTTGAAGGAATTTAAAATATATGTGCTACACTTTGAAGATTTTATATGTACCAAATACCACGTTGCAATTTTTATACGTGAGTTTACTTAATGTCCCACCTGCAATTTTTGAAGTTATTTTATCCATTTAGCAAATGAGAAAACAGAGACTTCAGGAGGTTAGAACCTCAATGAAAGTTCCTCAGCTACTATTTTCAGAGTAAAATTTGACTTCAAGTCGGTATGCTTTCCAAGGAAATAGTATGACAATCGTCTCAACAAAGATAACCTCAGGAGAGGACAGTTGTTGGGATCCCTCTTTCTATAACTTTATGATGGAATTGTCCCAAAATACACTTTAGCAGTGTCTAAAATGTGACCGCACCTCTGGTAGAACATGTGGGCTCTTGATTCTCTTATGTGCTGGGCCCTGCTGAAGGCTTTGTTACCTAGGTACCATGTTGTAGCGATTAACTTCCCCCTCTGTATTGAGTTCTGTACTTTATGTTCGAGCTCTTTGCAGAAAAAAATCGTTCGTAACCATGTTTTGACAGCAGTAAGACAGACTATAACTCGGAAGTGAAGATATTGTGGTCTCTTGTAATTGTGCTTAATCACAATATATTTTAATAAAAGGAAAATTTTGAAGGAGGGGGAAAAAAAGGATAAAATAATGGAGGTGGCATACAGTTTTATGTTTTGCCCCAGAGATCACCCTTGTTGGTGGGTTCTGGGTTTTGATGGAATGACTGGCTTTTCTCCATGGCAGATGCTGGTGAGAATGTGACACTCAAATCCCCTGGAGTCTCTTTTACTGGTTAGGTACCCTTCACCCTGAGGAAGCAGCTGCTCATGTCTGCAGCCTTCCCCATAAAAGTGGCTTTGGGCGAAGAGAGCTGCTTTGCAAGGAAGTGCTGGGAGTTAGATCTCTCAAGCCACGGCCCTGGGTGTCCAGTAGACATAACTGACTTGGGTGGGTTGGGGTGGGGTCCACAGAAGCCTTTTCTCAAGCCAGGACAGACAGAGGACAGGCAATTTATGCCCCAGAGCTTCCCCTGGGATGGGAATGAAAGGAGACTTCACCTGAAAGCACATTCTAACTTACTCCTTTCTCTGCCCCATCCTGCAGCTCTCACTCCCTTTTCCCCGAGAGTTCTCATTCAGTAACTCGTGTGCTCAAGAATCCCCATCTCAAAGTTGTTTCTGTGAAATCAGACATGAGACAGACTCAGTTTTCAGAAGGAAGCCATCTTGATTTCCCACCAAAATCCAGCAAGCCTAACTTTAAAAATAATGACCATTGTATTAAGTATTTTCTCTGTTCCCAGCGCTCTGTAAGCAGTTTACATATATTATCTCTTTTACTTTAAAAATCTTTTGTAGTTGAGGAAACTAAGGCTTAACCAACCTGCCCAACAGCATGTGGGTTAATAACTAATGGAGATGTCATTTGACTTCAAAACCCACGGTCTAAAGTATGTTGCTCTACCTCTTTTGTTATTTATCACCAGGATGGTAAATCCTCATCAAAGGAAGCCATGGTTTCTAGGAGCCAACATGGTTTACTAAAAAGTAAATCGTGGCAAATTACTCATTCCCCTCCCTTCCTTCCTTTTAAAAATAAATGCTGGCCAGGCGCGGTGGCTCACGCCTGTAATCCCAGCACTTTGGGAGGCCAAAGTGAGTGGATCACCTGAGGTCAGGAATTTGAGACGAGCCTGACCAACATGGTGAAACCCCGCCTCTACTAAAAATACAAAAATTAGCCGGGCATGGTGGCAGGTGCCTGTAATCCCCGCCACTTGGGAGGCTGAGGCAGGAGAACCGCTTGAACCTGGGAGGTGGAGGTTGCAGTGAGCTGAGATCACGCCATCGTACTCTAGCCTGGGCGACAGAGCGAGAGTCCGTCTCAAAAATAAATAAATAAATGCTATATCAGTGGATGAAGGCAACAGCTCAGATTTCAGCAAATCCAGGATGTTGACAAATTCACTTATATATCTTCGAAGACTCAGTGAAGAAATGTGGACTGGCTAGTGGAACATAGTTTGTTGAATAACCGTGATCAACAACTTTTGGTAACTTGGGAGAATTACCCTCATTTCATAATCATTCCCAACCTGGAGGCCCTGTTATCTCTTTAAAATTTTAAACCAGGCCCTGTTATCCTTTTTTAAAATTGTATAATCGATCACTTACAGGAAAAAATAGAAATCATACCTTCCAGTATGCAAAGCGGGAGAGAACTAACACATTGGCTATTAGAGCCAGTGTTCTAAAGAAAAATCACAACAGGGGAGAAGGCTGAGTTCAGATGAAGTGAAGTGCAATAAAGGTAATTCAAATCCCAGTATTCAGATTCAAAGTTCAACTGCATGACTACAGGTCTTGTGAGATGTGGCTTCATAGCAGAAGTTCATATAAAAAGCAACATCAGGATGTGAATTGACGTCACACACCATGGGGCCCGCCTAAGGAGCGACTGTAACCTTTGACCATGTTTATAGATGTATACTGTGCAAAGCAAGGAAGGTGATTGTCTTTCCATACTTTGCACTGATGAGTTCAGTTTACACGTAGGAATATTTGAAAGGACATGGATAAAGCTAGAGTACATCCAGCAGTTGTTAACAAGAACAATGCTGTGTCTGGAAATTAAAAATACCAGTGAACTGAACAGTCGAAGAAAATGTTTAGCCTCAAAAGAAAACCCTTGGGAATTTCAAGTCCTGGAAGGAATGTGGCTTGTAGTTGCATGCTGGATGGCACCAAAAGACAAAATACATATGACAGAAAGTACGTATGAGTAAAAACTTGAGAAGAGACAGAAGCTGTTTCAACATAAGGAAGAAGTTTCCTGTAATTTTAGCACCATTACACATGGAATCTACTTCATAGCGATGTACTAAGTTCCGTCACCAACAGTGAAATTGGTCATTGTTTATCAGGATGTTATCACAGAATGAATGCATTGAGGAGGTGATTTGATTAGATGGTATCTAACATATCCATGAACCTGTGATTTAAAAAAATTCCTAATGTATATGATGTTCATGGGTGTTGAATTAATATGAACTTCACAATGAATTCCAGCACTGAAATATTCTGCAGTAAAGAAATCCATTGGATTATGTGGCCTTGAGAGTTTCTTAAACCTACTTTCCTTTGGTCTATTGCGTTTGAGGGGTATCTTGCATGGTGCCTGTTCTGTGGGCCAGGCTGTGGGAAGCACTGTTTTGAAGGACTCACCAGCTCTTGCTTTTATCTATTAGATATCAAGTAACGTTGCCCTAGTTTCATAACAGCTTATTGCCTAGGTTCAGTCCTGAGCATAGACCAGTGGAAAAAATAAGACTGGAAATAGGAAGCTCCTGAGTGCTCCTAAGAGAGTCTAGGAAGCTCCTGAGTGCTCCTAAGGGAGTCTAGTGTCTACTGGTCCTTGTCTCAGTTCTGAGAGTAGGACCAGCTCCAACTGCTATTTAGGGAAATGTTGCCCCCACTGAAATTAGCCCATGTCTAGACTAGATTGAGTGTAAACTGTAATGAGACAAAATTAGTTTACTCTTCCGGTGGGCCTTATTAATACTACTACTAATAAATATTGGCCGGGCGCGGTGGCTCACGCCTGTAATCCCAGCACTTTGGGAAGCCGAGGTGGGTGGATCATGAGGTCAGGAGTTTGAGACCAGTCTGGCCAATATGGTGAAACTCCATCTCTACTAAAAATCCAAAAAAAAAAAAAAAAAAAAAAAAAAAACTAGCCAGGCATAGTGGCACGTGCCCGTACTCCCAGCTACTCGGGAGGCTGAGGCAGGAGAATCACTTGAACCCAGGAGGCGGAAGTTGCACTGAGGCAAGATTGTGCCACTGTACTCCACCCTGGGCAATAGAGGGAGACTCCATCTCATCATAATAATAAATATTACTTATCAAATACTTGCTATATACTAGACACTGAACTGGGCACTTCCTATACATTGTCAAATTTAATCTTCCTAACAACTCTACAAGGTAGTTTTTATTAGTCCCATAAGACAGATGAGTAAACTGAAGACCCAGGAGGCTAAATAACTTGCTGAAGTTGGCTCATTCACCAAAGGATGGATGTGGGATGTCACTCTAGTTATTATAATTGACGCCAATTATACTATGAACAGATTCAACACACCAGATTGGATGAGTCTCTCTGGCCCAGGATAAGTCTACAAATGCCTGCCAAGGGTGCTGTTCTCCAGCAAGCCTCTCATGGGAATGCATTTTCCAGGGACCAGCCAAATCCCCCCTCGACACTGGTTTTTGTAGTTTGATGCTCATGTTCCTAGGACAGGAAGCAGTGTCATCCTTAAGGGCTTTTCTTTTTGAGATGAAGTTGCCCTCTTGTGGCCCAGGCTGGAGTGCAATGGGGCAGTCTCAGTTCACTTCAACCTCTGCCTCCTGGGTTTGAGTGATTCTCCTGCCTCAGCCTCCTGAGTAGCTGCGATTGCAGGCCTGCGCCTCCATGCCTGGCTAATTTTGTATTTTTAGTAGAGATGGGGTTTCACCATGTTGGTCAGGCTGGCCTTGAACTCCTGACCTCAGGTGATCCTCCTGCCTCAGCCTCCCAAAATGTTGGGATTACAGGCGTGAGCCACTGTGCCTGGCCCCTTAAGGGCTTTTAAAGCCCTGCAATCTTTGAGCACTAAGGGGAATCACTGTGACCTACAATATATAAACAAAGGAGAAAAAAAAACTATTTAAAAACAAGTTTAAAATAAAAAAAGGGCCTCCTTGCTGGAAAAATTTAATCAAGAGGTTAGTTTACTCTTTTATGGGGGTGTAGGAACGTGGATGATGGGTTATTCTTCATGGCTACATTTGTCTGTTATTTTTATTAATGTGTCTTTTAAAGTGTCCTATACCAGGACCTTTTCCACCAACATTGAAAGATTTGCCTCTGAGAATGAGAGGCCTGAGCTTCCACCGTAGGAATATCACACGTTTTCTCATGCACAAGTAAGTAGCAAGGGGGCGCCGAGACATTTGGCTTACTGCAGAGGCATCTGAGGCCTGTGCTTATTCATGCATATTTACAAGGTAATTAGTTGTCCATTCATTCATTAGCGTGTTTATAGGGCCACTCGCAAAGCCTCTCAATTTCAGCTTGAAGAGAGACAGCCAAGATTGGCCTCGAGGGAATACTTGGGTTAAACAGAGTCACAGCTTGATACAGTGAAACTCACCAATCCCCAAACCAGAACTAGTTGAGTAACTCAAATGTGATTTGTCAGTCACCTAGAAATGAGATCTTTAATTGGCTCATTCATGTTTTCCCTCGAAAACTTAGGCAGATACTCAGAGAGGATAGACGCTCCTATTTTTTAAGCCTTCCGTGTCCAGACAGAAATTTCAGTATTTCATTTTTTTTTCCTTTGACTCTTACTTAAATGGAAACATCACTTGCATACAGTCAAATTCACTCTTTGGTGTATAGATCCATGAATGTTGATGGCAATATACAGCTGTGTAACCACCGCTGCCAAGTACAGAACAATTTCAATGTGCTTTCAAAGTAAAGAGCTTTTGCAGGCCAGGCACAGTGGCTCATGCCTGCAATCCCAGCACTTGGGAGGCCTATGTGAGAAGATTGCTTGAGTCCAGAATTTAGAGAACAGCCTGGGCAATATGGTAAGACCCTGTCTCTACATTAGCTGGGCAGAGTGGCACATGCCTGTGTTCAGCTACTCAGGAGGCTGAGTAGCTACTCCTCTTGAGCCCAGGAATTTGAGGCTGCAGTAAGCCAAGATTGTGCCACTGCACTCCAGCCTGGGTGGCAGAGTGAGACTCTGTCTCTAAAAAAAAAGAGAAAAAAGAATTTTGGCATCTTTTTCAAAATCAGTTGAGCAGATCCTGAGTGAGACATGCCTTACTTCATGGATTGAGAAAAGACACTATTTTGAGAGACAAAGGACAGTTGCTGGAAGGTTTTGATCCATGACAACGCATGTTGGAAAAATCCTGACGGAGCCAGCAAGACTCAATCGAGTGACACAGCATCAGAAGAGAGTAAATAGATCTGCTGACTCGGAATTGATTGAGGGCTAGTTATCTGGTTTTCTAAAGCTGCTTTTTTTTTTTCTAAAAAATGAAGATGGATGATGTTTCCTCCTTATGTGGTTTGGTGTGAATTACTGTCATTCCAGTGGCCACCTAGATAACTGGACACAAATCTCTTTATATTTAAAATCCACTCGCTAAGTGCACGGGGCTGGTCTCACCACCCAGGAAGGAAGGTGCTTCTTGTACTAGCTCCTTTGCATTCCAGATGAGCTCCTCCTGGATATCAAAGACAGGCAGTTTGTAGAACCTGTGTTTTTGAAAATCTGCTCCTGTGTTAGATCTGAGAGAAAAAACGTCTGGCTCTTCAAATCATCTTCACACTCTCAAATCGCCTCTGAATCTTTGTTTTTCCTGGTTCCAGGTCCTCCACGAACGCACTTCCTATGGTCGCGTGCATGTTTCAATATTTAGTTCCTTCAGTTATTTCAAAATGACTTCAAACTCACTTCCTTCAGGAAATCTCCATTCAAACTAACCTCCTGGAAGAATAGAGGGTATCAGTGCATGGCTGCTTATAAAAAAGAGGAGCTCCTACCACCTCTTCCTTCTTTAGCCCTCATTTTGGGTTCCAGCAGCCTTTTGTTAATTCCCCTATTGCCCATTAGAGCAGCAGAGTGTGGGGTTGAGTGCCCCATTTTTAGAGTTGGAGGGCTATCTATCATCTATTCATCATCTTCCTACCATCCGCCTACCTACCTACCTACCTACCTATCCATCTATCAATCCCATCCATCCGTCTACCATCTGTCTACCCATTGATCTACCCATCATCTGTCTACTAATCTCTGTATTGTCTATCTCTGTCATCTAGTATCATTTACCTATCCATCTACCTATCATCTACATGTCTGCCTAACTTATCTGATCTCTCTCTATCGTCTGTCAATCATGTCTATCATCTTCCTGTCAGTCTGTCCATCCTTCCATCCCTCTACCCATCTTCCCATCCCCCCATCCCTCCCTCGAGCATGTTATTTATCATCTCAGGGTCTTAGTTTTCTCATCTATAAAATGGGACTAATAATAAAGCCTAGAAGACTGTTATAAGGATTAAGTGATGTATATTTAGCATTTAGAATAATTCCTGTCACATAGGAAGTCTCCATAGTATTGGCCTTCAATGTCTTCATTATTTTCATGATCTCCTTGTCTCCTTCCTTTTCTCATCTTCACTCATAAGAACAGGGTCATGCTTTCTTATTTGGGACTTTTGTCAAACCCTACCTTCAACCAAGTCCAAGTACCAGTAGCAAAACAGCTGTCCTGTTCAACCCCCCCAGTCATATAACTTCATCATATCTGGGACCTGGACCCATACATTTCACTGCATTTTGTACCTCTTTTCTTTTTATGGTTTGTTCATTTTTTTCTTACCTTATTGTTATTTCATGTGGTTGCCACTCCTGTTTCTGTATTCTTTGCAGGCATCTGTCCTTCTGAAACACTTGTTTGAAAGTATAGTCGCTTAGAACTGCACCAGGTAATATTTCATGGTGGTCACTGAAGGGTTTCTGGGTTACACAGGAAGGGTTGGCAATCCACAGCCCGCTGCCTAATTTTGTATGGCCTGGCAGCTAAGAATGATTTCTACATTTTTAAATCGTTGAAAAAAGAATTGAAAGAATATTTTGTTACACATGAAGACTACACAAAATCCAGATTTCATTGTCCATAAAGTTTTATTGAAACACAGCCACGCCCCTTTGTTTACAAACTGTCTGTGGCTGTTGTCATACGACAGAGGTGGAGTTGAGTAGCTGCGAAGGAGACCTAGTGGTCCAGAAAGCCTAAAATTTTTCCTGTCTGGCTCTTTACAGAAAATGTTTGCTGACTGCTGACTTGGAATCTCATTCTAAGTAAACCCACTGATTAAAAAATACAGGGTATCTTGCTGTGAGAAGCGGGGATTGAAGGCAGATGATACGAGGAGAGCAATCTTTGTAGAGCTGTTGTCTTGGGTTTTCAATATTTCCTATTCCTTGTCTGATGCATTTAACATATTTGATGGAATATGTGTTAAGTTGGTTTGCATAAGACTTCCATGTCAATTTCTTGATTCTCTACACCGCTGTAAGACCAGACCCTGTCATCTTTGACTACTGGGTTTCACAGGACACAATCCGTTTCCTCAGTGGCAAAGGCTTTGTTTCTTTGTGAACCACAGTAGTTCTTCCTGAATTTCTTTTATCGACGTTCAAAACCGGGCCTTTTGTGCTGAATATCTTCACACGTTTTAAAACAGAGCAACTTGGGGCTTTTCAGCTGTGCACACGGAAGGAGCCTAGGCATTGTCTTTCTATTGGCGTGATTGACTTGTTCTTTAAATAAAACTCCAGTCTTTGTTCTCCGTTCCCCACTAACTGCCATATTCAAATTGTTTGTTCTTGTCTAAAATAACTTCACTTCGTGCCAGTTATTCTGCAGTCTTGCAAACAATTAAGCACAATGTTTACAAAGTAAATTGACACCTATTCTGGAAAATTCTGCAAAAACAAAGAAAGAAATCCAAATAACAAAATGAGGAAAAAAGAAATCAGACAGTCCTTTATTTTGTACATAATGTGTTACTGAAAACTTGTCCAGGTTGAACAGTGGATTCACAAATCGTAAAGTGGGGGTTCCATTCACAGAGAATTAAAGAAAAATAAGTGTTAGAAAAGAGGTAATTCTGATTTGGACAGGCGGTGCCTTCCGTGGGTCATAAGAGCTGGGGCATGGGAGGTGGCGGTGGGTGGGGAGGGGGCAGCTCCCTCTGCATTTTAGAGAAACAAAGTCGGGTATCTACCCTGACTATGGCTGGTGGTTGCGCAGCCCCTACCCTGGAACCTCCGTGTGTGGAAGTGTTAGGTCCCTGGAATAAAATTAGAGGCAAGTTTTGTTGCTGTTGTTGTTGTTTTAATTTAAACTATTACTAGTAGCATGGAGCCTTGGCTGTCACTGTCCTGCATATACACACGCACATGCACACATACTTATGGCCATCATCTGACTGCATCCCAAGAGGAGAACTGTGGTGGAGTCAGAGGGGACAGATGTGGGGATAGGTATGGGGATATGGAGCATAGGCTGGAGACTGTACTCTTAGCAAAAAAGCCCACCAAGCCTCTAGGTCCTGGCCATGTGTGGTTTACCTGTCTAAGTCAGCAGATTGAAACAGCAGCTCCAGGAACTTAAGGCTGGGGGGTAATTCCTTCCCACCATGATCCTGGGGAGGCACCAGCAGCTCACCTAAGACCTACCCTTTCTCAGCCACCATTTCCCCTGGTGGCAGGAAGCATCAAGCAGTACCATGATGAGGTGGCTTGCAATCATTGTTTCTCTTTTTCTTTCTGTCTTTCTTTTTTTTTTTGAGATGGAGTTTCGCTCTTGTTGCCCAGGCTGGAGTGCAGTGGTGCAATCTCGGCTCACTGCAACCTCCACCTCCCAGATTCAAGTGATTCTCCTGCCTCAGCCTCCCAAGTAGCTGGGATTACAGGCGTGCGCCACCATGCCTGGCTAATTTTTTTTTTTTTAAAGTAGAGACGGGTTTCACCATGTTGGTCAGGCTGGTCTTGAACTCCTGACCTCAAGTGATCCACCTGCCTCAGCCTCCCAAAGTGCTGGGATTACCAGCGTGAGCCACCGCACCTGACTGTGATCATTGTTTTTCATATAAAGTATGAAAAGTCATGAAGTTGGGTTGCACATGTACAGACTATGCGCTCATGTGCAAAGAAAGTGTATTTTTAAATATTTTATGTCAAGTCTACTCTTCCCTGGCAGCCTCCACTCTGCTGAGTATCATGGAAAAATGAAATTTGGTCTGATTCAATAATTTAAGTCACTTCTTATGCAAAGTTCTCTTCGGGGTGAAACTTTATTCTTTAGATTTCTTCCCGTGCCTCTGCTCTTCTCCAAGAGAGCTCCCGGATGGGTGGTGGAGGGATCTCAGCTCTTGGGGAGGAGATAGTGGTCCGTGCACTGGGGACCCTCTTGTGGCCATGGCATTATCCTGTATCTGCCTGGTTGCTAGGTGCCCTGCTGTCACTGGTGCTGAAGTTGACAGTTCCGAGATGATGGTCTCTTCTCTTTCAGCTTGGTCATGCCGATCTCCCAGCCGACTCAGCCCCTCCAAGCCCAGGTGTCTTCCTGGAGCCTGATTGTTATGATTCCTGGTCCGCCATGTCTCCCCTGCAGTCTATGGCTCTTGGGTTCACTGAACCCCTGCTGTGCACCCAGCTCCCACCCACCCCCAGCTCATCTGGTACTTCTGGGTCCTTCCACAGGATACCCAGCAACCAGTAAATACTTTCCTTGTGATGTAGGAGCTGAAGGAGATGTGGAAAGCTAAACTTGGGCTCATAAGACCTCTGCCTGTTCTCCAATTTGACTCTGCCATGGGCACCCCTGGCTGGTATGGGGTGAGGGGAGTGAATCTCTGCTAGAGTCTTTGCTGATTCTGAGTGCCTCGTGAGAAGGAAGACTTTTCTCCGCTTGGATTTTCCCCTTTAACTGATTTCACATACCTCTCCACTTCCAGGACTCCAGCCTGGAGAATGGTAGTCAACACATGCATTTTTCACCACCTGCTTTCCTATTGCTTTTCCTGGTGTCCTGCCAATTCCTTTGGGGTGGAGGGGATAGGCATTCTCATTCCTCTTCCTGTTGTTTGGAGCAGTTTCCTTTACCTACCCACCTCTTCCCCAACCCCCTCCCAACTGGAAGAGTGAAATGGTTGCCAAGGGACATGTTTTACCGGGAGGAGGAATGGAAATCTCATCAGTCGACTATTTTCAAAATATTGTCATGGGCTTACTTCAATTTGTGGTATACAAGGCAGCTTATAGGCATGTTGCATAATGTGGGACCACTCAGGGTATATGGGAATTGACAAGGAATTATCGAGAACCACAACTGTACAGTGCCTTGGAGGCTCTTTAGGTGCTATGGACAAAAAGTGCTTCTGTCCTTGAATGTGCAATAGAGCCCGACACTCTGGAACACAGGGAACATTAAATCCTTCTTAATCAGACCATGGTACTAGAAGGTTCTATATCAAAGGACATTGTTGTTGAGAAAATGCCAGCCAATTCCTGAGGATCAGACCAGGAAAAATTACGTTGTGTACCTGAGTGAAATTAGGTTGGAATGAACATCCAGGCCATCTTTAAAGGTAAAGTAGTCATGGAACTTTCAGCTGAGGGTTGTGTATGAACCATTAAAGGGGTGGTCCCACTGCCTGCCTTTTCTGTGATGGTGGTGGGGGCTTTTGGGACTGAGAAAAGGGGGCCTTTTAGCAGCAAAAGGACATGGGTGGATTCCTGCCCCCTCTTTCTTTTCCTCCTCTTGGCTGTTTTCCTTTCTCCCCATCTTACCTCCCTGCTACGTTCATCCTCACCCCTCAGAGCCCAGCATCCTCACTTTAGCATTAGGGTCATACATTACTTATTTCCTGATCTGTTTGGCATGTATTGAATGCCTGCTGTGTACTGGATCCTGAGCTGGGTGTGCAGAGACAAAGATTAGGTCCCTGTTCACTCCAGATGCCTGGACAAGAGAAACTGACCTGTGAAAGATGGGATTTGAGAGAGTTATTGAACATGGGAGGACACAGAGGATGGGTCCAGGAATGGGAAATGGAGAAGAGAAGACACAGGGGAAATGTTACTAGCAAGACCAGCAGGAAGAACCTGGTGTACACCAAGCATCTCCTTCAGAGGTTGGTGTGGACCATAGTCCCCAGGGATAGGGTTAGGGTGATGGGGATGGGTGGAGTCGTGAACCTGTTTCCCATGTCGGAGGGCAGCAGCACGTCCCCTTAGGACTAGCCCGCTGAGAGATCTTGGCTAAATTCACGGGTGCGGAGGAACCATTTCAGTGCTTTGGGTACCTCCTTCTTTCTTTGACTTAGGGAAGTGAAGAGAACTTTAATTCTGTAAATTTATCATGATGGACTCAAGATAGCTTCACAAAGATGGACACTTAAAATCCCCTTGAACATTTTATTCTGTTCCGCTGTACACATGTATTCCATTGAACTGATGTTTTTCTAAGATGATTTGATTTTTTCATCATAGTGATTGCTTAGGTAGGGGAATGCAAGGATTATCTTCCAACCTGTTGGCTCTTCATATGCTCATATTCCCTTTTGAAAAGTTCTGAAAAGGTATACCAAATACTCCAAAGCATAATCTCAATTCATTGCCCATGCAGACCTAACTTTTTTTTTTTTTTTTTTTTTTTTTTTTTTTTTTTTTTTTGAGATGGAGTCTTGCTCTGTTGCTGCAAGTTCCACATCCTGGGTTCATGCCATTCTCCTGCCTCAGCCTCCCAAGTAGCTGGGAATACAGGCGCCCGCCACCATGCCCGGCTAATTTTGTTTTTGCATTTTTAGTAGAGACAGGGTTTCACCATGTTCACCAGGATGTGTGCCCAGCCAACCTAACTTTTTTCTGCTTTCGTACAACCAGGCCAATATAACATACATAAGCTAGCTCTGTAAGGGGAGCTGCAAGTACCCACTGACATTAGTAGCAGCCGCCTGGGATGCTTCCCTTTGACTGTTCCTGGTAGGATTTCATTCTGCTTTCCTCCTTAGCTGTCTCTGACATCCTGGTTCTTCCTTGATCTCCCTGCCTTGATATTTGAGCTTTAGATTCCTCCTATGGACTTTTACCTGATCTGCCCTTTTAGGCCAACAAAACATCATAGGAAGCTTCTTGGCGAACCTCTGGCTTCAGAGAACTCCAGTTCATTCCTGACCTAGCGGTACACACCATACATGCGTGCGCGCACGCACACACACACACACACACACACACACAGACACACACACGCATGTGCGCACACACACACAGTAGCAGTTGACTTGCAGAACCTCACTAAATCACATATCCTTCTGCTTCCTTTCTGTACAGCTTGATGTATAGAAACAACTCTTTTTCAATGGGGTTGAAAAAGACCTGTTGATACCTGACTCCCAAATGGGAAAGCTCACCTTTCAAATAACACTTTACTGTTTGCAAAGGTCTTTCAAACTTATGTTTTTTGGCTATCTGGAAGCTATATTAGTATTCATTGAAGTTCTCCAAGTGCTGGACCTTATTCAAACCTCATGTAGCTGATTTTACCATGTAGAAATTAAATTGGCAATATGCATTTTTTGAGCTGGCAAGAGGAGCCATTTTCTCATCAATTCACCCATGTACCTAACTTTATTAGAATCCATTAAACATGACAGAAATATGCTCATATAAAAATATTTTACTTGCCATTTTGTTTCAATAGAATGCACAAAAGTCCAAAACAAAGTTAAGGTATATGTTGGCTACAGCTCTGGCCACAGCATCCCAAAACAGGAAAAGCAACATGTAAGTCCTAACAGAAGAAAGGCTTTCTGAGCCAATTTGGGGCACTAGAGATACAGTAGTCATTTACCAAATTCAGTCAAAACCTGACAACTCTCTGACATTTCTAACGGGACAAACACTTAGTGTCAAGTGGTCATGTTGAAATGGAGACATGTAAATGCTAATGAGCCAACCATGTTATGTCCGATTATGTGTGGCAGTGACACTGGGGCTTTATGGACAATCTTCTATCCCTATACCATTGCTAAGAGAGGAACAGATTTCCTTTGAAAATAGCAGGAGGCTGGGTGCGGTGGCTCAAACCTGTAATCCTAGCACTTTGGGAGGCTGAGGTGGGTGGATCACCTGAGGTTGGGAGTTCAAGACCGGCCTGACCAACATGGAGAAACCCCGTTTCTACTAAAAATACCAAATTAGCCGGGCGTGGTGGCGCATGCCTGTAATCCCAGCTACTCATCAGGCTGAGGCAGGAGAATCGCTTGAACGCGGAAAGGATGTTGTGGTGAGCCGAGATCGCGCCATTGCCCTCTAGCCTGGGCAACAAGAGCGAAACTCCGTCTGAAAAAGAAAAGAAAAGAAAAGAAAAGAAAAGAAAATAGCAGCAATGTGGAAATAGAAATATAATTCAGCCAGTGTGTGTGTGCTTCCAAGAATTCTTGTGCTGTTAGTGATTCTGGAGCATGGGCATGCATAGCTCTTTGGGAAAAGTTGAATAGGTTTGAAAAGGCAAGCACCTTTAACATATTTAAAGTGGTTTGTTTCTTTACCACAACACTTTTTGTCTCCAGGATTTCCAAGGTTTTACCTAAGCAGATAAATAGGTCTTAGGGATGGAAGATCACAGCCTGTTAGTCAAAGAGCAGTAATCACATTTTGATGAAACTATATAGTTTTGAAATTAAATAGAAATTTGGGTTTACAGGGATATTGTATCAGGCAAGTGAGGTTTGATCAAACAACCATTCCAAAGATATTAACATGAGTTTAGTTCTAACTTGTTAATTTATTCATATGGCCCATCACATGGTGCACTGGGCTTAGGTTCATCATTGTCATTCCTAGACCTGATTTGTCAGAAGCTCCATCTTGACTCCATCTTTGTCTTACTCTATTGTGTGTTGCTGTAGCAGAATACCAGAGACTAGGTAATTTCTAAAGAAAATAAGTTTATTTGGCTCATGATTCTGGAGACTGGGAAGTCCAAGAACCATGGCATCAGCATCTGCTCAGCTTCTGGTGAAGGTCTCATGCTGCACGTTATAACATGGCAGAGAAGTAGAAGGGGAGGCAGGCTTGCCAAGGAGGCAGAAGATGAGAGGCAACCTCACTTTATAACAACCCACTCTCAAGGGAACAAATCCACTCACTCAAGAACTAACCCAGTGTCCTAAGAGAGACATTAATCTAGCTTAACGAACTAATCATCTAAGGAAGGCACCACTCCCAACCACATTACATTGGCAATTAAGTTTCATCGTGAGTTTTGGCAGAGACAAACCACATCCAAACCACAGCAGGCATCAACAATGCCAGAGGCAGGAAAAGAGAGATTGGTGAGCCATGAATGCTTGGATGTGACCAGTTAATGCTGATCATATTTCGTTGATTAAAGCCAGTCTCTTTGGAGTAGATGGGGCAATATGATCCTGCTTCATGGCCTAGAATGTGTACAGAACATTGTCAATAGCTCTAATGACTACTTCAGTTACATTTGAGGATTGTTATTCTTACGTGTTTATGAAATGACTCAAGTCCTGAATCTATCCCATTTTTAAAGTTTCCTTCCCTCCACCACTACAAAAAATGAACATGTTAAATAACCCATTTCGGTATTTAAGAATCTCACTTTAAATTGATTCAGCCTATAAATACTCAGTTTTTTTCTGATGTAGGCATTATGTTAAATGCCATCCTCAAGTTGCTTACTGTCTCCTGTAGTAGTGGACTTTGCAGACAAACACATGCAATCAAATAAGATGACTGTTCTTCAGCAGTTGGGTTCAATGTGGAATGGGAGCAGTGGAGAAGATGCTCCTAAGTTTACCTGGGGACACTGAAGACAACCTACTTAAAGTGAAAGAAAGTTCCTAGTGCTACATTTTAAATCTCTCCCCTCTTGTTCTGGCTTAAAACATTGTTCTCATCCTCGAGTGAAAGCTTTCATGTACTTGAAATAAATACAATTCCGTTTTCCTCCATTTTCCTTTCCATGCAAAGTGAGTATAATTCTTTTCATTTCCATGAGCCCATTTTCTTTTGTGGCCCTTTTGAATTATACCTTGCTCCTAGCCAGGATGTGGAAAAAGTAGTAAGAGAACAGGGAGTACGGCACATTTAGTCAAAGGCTAGGCTGGCTGAAAAACACCCTTGACTACTTCAAGAGAAAACAGGAAATTTAAGTGTAATTTTCTTTTTTCTCTTAATAGGTGGGGAAAAAGAAAGTGGAGGCCGGGCGTGGTGGCTCATGCCTGTAATCCCAGCACTCTGGAAGGCCGAGGCAGGTGGATCTCCTGAGGTCAGGAGTTCAACACAAGCCTGACCAACATGGTGAAACCCCATCTCTACTAAAAATACAAAGTTTAACTGGGCATGGTGGCGGGTGCCTGTAATCCCAGCTACTTGGGAGGCTGAGGCAGGAGAATCACTTGAACCCAGGAGGTGGAGGTTGCAGTGAGTCGAGATTGCAACATTGCACTCCAGCCTTGATGACAAGAGTGAAACTCCATCTCAAAAAAAAAAAAAAAAAAAAAAAAAAAAAGCAGAAGAGGGATGGTGGAGGAAAGTTGGCGAAAGAAGAGGGATGGTGGGGAAAGGTGGGGAAAGGGGAAAGAAGAGGGACGGTGGGAAAAGGGGAAAGAAAAATAATTTTCTTGACTACCTGGAGGGTATCAACTCTTCTTTAGCTTAGAAAACACGCTACCCCAAAGCTAGAGAGAGACATGTCTGGATTCTTTCAGTTTCCATCCTAGGTCTCTTAGAAAAACCTGACAGAGGAACTTCTAGCTAAATTTACTTCCCCATCTCACAGGCACCCTCTTTGGGGAGTACTTTGTCTTATAGCCTCGCCAACCCTGCAGAAGCTGCTTCAGATGTTGTTTTTGTTTGCTTTGTTTTTGGTAGCTGGGGGAGTCATAACATAGAGTGGCACCTTTGCTACCAGAACACCTTTTCCAGTCACTTCCGAGGGCCACCTTCCTCCATCGCTCTCCTCCTTCAAGTCCTTCCCTGTTCTACAAACACTGCAAAATCTTGCCTAGGTCACATTTGTGCACTGTTAAATGGAGTATATGTGGCAGACCCCACGGGGGGAGACGCTTCTTTTTTTTTTGAGACGAAGTCTCGTACTGTCGCCAGGCTGGAATGCCGTGGTGCTGGTAGGCTCACTGCAACCTCCGCCTCTTGGATTCAAGCGGTTCTCCTGCCTCAGTGACATGAGTAGCTGGGACTACAGGCATGCGCCACCATGCCCAGCTAAATTTTGTATTTTTAGTAGAGACAGGGTTTCACCATGTTGGCCAGGATGGTCTTGATCTCTTGACCTCATGATCTGCCCGCCTGGGCCTCCCAAAATGCTGGGATTACAGGCGTGAGCCACCACGCCCAGCTGACACTTCTTTCCCACTACTAATGTTTCCTTCCAAGTGAGGAAGTATCTGCTAGTTTAATTCCTGGCCTAACTCTGACATGGCAGATGCAGATTTAACTGATCAGTAAATCTGGGAGGAATAACCAAGGTTTTGGCTTGGCTGTGTGCTTCTTTCTCTTGGGACCTGCCATCCCTCCAAGAACACTTCATATGCTGTGACCCTGCAGGAAAATCTGTACCTCATTCTGGGCTTTACTTACCAGACAGTTTACTCTACATCCTACAACTTAACCTTTTTCATGAGTAAAGAAATGATCCTTCATCTGTTGCTCTTACCACTTCTCTCCTTGCAAGATGCAAAGGTGTTATTTATTAAGCCCTATTACACCATGAGATGAAGAAATGTGTTTCATGGAAAAAGACCAGAGAGTGATTTCCTGGGACAGGAAGTGAACCAGAGAAACTGTCAGTCCAGACATTCCAGAATCAACCTTGAGTTTCCTTTAACTCGTAGAGGCTCACCTTGGCCAGGTCTTCAGAGAAACTTGAGTGACTCAAGCACATCACTAATGTCTCCCTCCTCCTTTCTAGTGCATCAATAGACTATATAGCCCTTCATGGTGTAATTCATTTAATTTTTCTGAGTCTTAATTTCTTCATCCTTTTTCAAACATACCACCCTTGTCGTTTACTTTGGAGGGAAGCAACTGAGATTACATATACACACATACACATACATATACATATATGCATAAAATCACACACACATCATACAATGTGGTACCCGACATATGGTGGGTGCTCAATACCTACCATATGTCGGGTACCACATTGTATGATGTAGTTATTATCTTTGTATTTGTTTTAATTTTTTAAAATTATACTTTCAGTTCTGGGATACATGTGCAGAATGTGCAGGTTTGTTACATAGGTATACACGTGCCATGGTGGTTTGCTGCACCCATCAACCCATCATCTACATTAGGTATTTCTCCTAATGCTATCCCTCCCCTTGCCCCCCAACCCCCGACAGGCCCTGGTGTGTGATGTTCTCCTCCCTGTATCCGTGTGTTCTCATTGTTCAACTCCCACTTATGAGTGAGAACATGCGGTGTTTGGTTTTCTTTTCTTGTGTTAGTTTGCTGAAGAATGATGGTTTAAATTTTATGTCCCAGTTGATTAAGACTGTGAGTTTCTTGAGGACAGGAACTGTGCTTTATATTCCTTTTCCCATCTTGCAAGGAATTGATAACTTATTCTAAATAATTTTTTTAAGCTGGGGTCTAGCTGTGCTGCCCAGACTTGAGTGGTATGATCATGGCTCACTGCAGCCTCAAACTCCTGAGCTCAAGCAATCCTCTTGCCTCAGCCTCCCAAGTAGGTAAGACTACAGGTGTGTACTACCATGACCAGCTAACTTTTAAATCTTTTGTAGAGATGAGGTCTTGCTACGTCGCCTGGGCTGGTCTAGAACTCCTGGCCTCGAGCAATCCTTCTGCCTCAGCCTCTCAAAGTGCTGGGATTATAAGCTAAATAAATTTTTGAAATAATTGCTAGAAGCCTATGTAAAACTGATCTACAACTATTTTTGAGAACTTCTGAAAGTCTTGGGCAGGATGACTTCTGTTCCGTTATGTTCTTTGTGTATAAGGCTGGTATAGACATTCATGTAGAAAACAAAATACTAAATTTGACTGTCATATAGCCTGCCTCATGATTTCAAAATCCTCCCCAAATTTCTGACACTTATCAGCCACTGTGATGAAGATAATTTGTGAGAAAAAAATCTAGTAATATTTCTCAACAAAATGACAGATTTTCAAGGTGTGTGTGTGTGTAGATATATATTTAACATATACCAGCATGTGAGCAAATAGTAAAGAAAAAAACACTGAATAAAACCTTTAAAAGGCTTTTAAAAAGAATATGGTGGCTCATGCCTGTAATCCCAGCATTTTGGGAGGCTGAGGGGGGAGGATTGCTTGAGCCCAGGAGTTCAAGTCCGCAGTGAGCTATGATTGCATCATTGCACTCTAGACTCCAGCCTGGGCAACAGAGTGAGACCCTGTCTCTTAAACAAAAATAAAAAAACTTAAAAAGGGCCTATCTTGCTTAAAATAATTTCTTTTGTTAAAAGTTAGTTATCAAGGGATGTTTCTTAAATCAATTTTATGTCTTATGCTTTTTTCAGTCTTCTATCCCTAGTCTTAAGGAACGGGTCTTTGTACTGTTTCTTAAGCTACTAGGTGACCATTCCTTATACAGTAAACATAGGGGCTTATGTCCAAGCAGCCCCAAGTGAGCTGGAACTTTTCAGGATGTGTGAGGAGGCTGGGAAACCTCAGCATATAGCAGAGCCCTGGTGGATTGCTGCCACCTGGGTCAAAAACCAATGGCTTCAAGAATGCAAAAGAAAAAAAAAAAAGCATATGAGGTCGGGCACAGTGGCTTTGCCTATAATCCCAGCACTTTGGGAGGCTGAGGCAGGCAGACTGCAAGGTCAGGAGTTCAAGACCAGCCTGACCAACATGGTGAAACCCCATCTCTACTAAAAACACAAAAATTAGCCGGGTGTGGTGGCATGTGCCTATAATCCCAGCTACTCGGGAGGCTGAGGCAAGAGAATCCCTGGAACCCGGGCGGCAGAGGTTGCAGTGAGCCAAGATCATGCCACTGCACTCCAGCCTGGGTGACAGAGAGAGACTCCATTTCAAAAACAAAAAAACAAAGAAGCCAGATGAAACTCTAGTCAGGTGAGGGCCAGCCCTGGCCAGATTGGGACAAATGGATGTCCAGTTGCCTGTCCCTGTCCCTGAAGGACGGCCACAATAGGTGAACTTCCTCCGCCCCTTCCCTTGCCCATCCTATCTCCTCTTAGTTCCTTCTTGTGTCTTCCCAGTCTCCTGTGGATGCAAGGACCAATGAGTTGAAAATAATCATTCTTGGTGGCAGAGTTCTACAAGAGAAAGTTGTGGGATTGCCAATTATTTTATAATTAGATATGAGATTAACTGTCTGTGTGATGGAGAAAAAGCCAAGGAATGAATCTGTGAGAGGCTGCAGAATCTGTAGCTGGTGCTAAGAAAGCCATTCCCGTGAATGTTAATAGGCGTCGTGTAGATGAATTTCTGAGTGCTGTAGATACTCATCTTCCCGAAACCTCACTCTTCCAGCTGTCATTTTGCCCATTCCCATCTGTTTCTTATGCTCTAATAAACGATAGCACTAACTTATTTAGCACCTCTCATCAGAGCCCCCAGGGCTGCTCTGACCCTGCAGGGATTCCCTGCCAAAGTGTGACAACCTCGGAGTGGACACATGGCCTGCTGCTTCCGGACGTTAGTACCAGACTCTGAAATAGGAGGACTTTGCTTTCAGGGATGCTTGCCATCAATTATGTGATTTTTCTGTTGCCCTTTTCAAATCCCTTTAGCCTTGAGAATGGAAAATTTGGCCCATTTCTCCAGGGCTGTGAATACCCTGGGAGTTGCCTGCCTGGAGAAGCTCTAGAATGTTTGTAGATTTTTATGGTTGCTTTTGAAAATGGTTATTGGCCTTCTCTTTGGTCTTTTGAATGTGTCTAAAGGGGAAGAGAAATATGTAACATCTGCATTCTTAAGGATAATGTCAGTCTTTGAGCTAGTGAACTGGTCTGCCAGGTACCTAAATCCATTTCTTCTGTGCAATTGATGTGGTGGACTTGGGAACAGTGAGCACAGTTTGCTGTCTTGTCTGTGACTGATTTCTTCGAGATTTTGAACTTGCTGGCTTCTGTTCATTTGCATATTGAATGACCAGAGGAACGGCATCTTTGGCAATATTTAAAAGAAATTTGGCATCCAGGATTTGGAATGCAATAAGACAGTTCATTCAAGAAGTTAAAAATACTCATTTATTTTTCATATACTGCTGGTTTGAATTTAGAATTTTTGATCCAAGTGCAATTTGTTGATGTTGACAATTTGTAGAAGAGAAGAGAGGCAAATGCCAGTAGCTCTAAATACTGAGCCAGGGCATCTCAGATATGGGAATTTTCACAGGAAATGGGAATAAAATCCTCCACAAAATCCACACAAATGGGTTTGTGTGGGAAGAATCAGAGGTTAAGAGGGGTGGGGTTTCATGTCCCATGTACCCACAGGTTTCTAGCTTGCCACAGTTAACCCTTGCTTCTGCTGACAGTTTTGAAATTATTTGGAGGGGGAGGAGCCAAGATGGCCGAATAGGAACAGCTCCGGTCTACAGCTCCCAGCGTGAGCGACGCAGAAGACGGGTGATTTCTGCATTTCCATCTGAGGTACCGGGTTCATCTCACTAGGGAGTGCCAGACAGTGGGCGCAGGCCAGTGTGTGTGCGCACCGTGCGCGAGCCGAAGCAGGGCGAGGCATTGCCTCACCTGGGAAGCGCAAGGGGTCAGGGAGTTCCCTTTCCGAGTCAAAGAAAGGGGTGACGGACGCACCTGGAAAATCGGGTCACTCCCACCCGAATATTGCGCTTTTCAGACCGGCTTAAAAAACGGCGCACCACGAGACTATATCCCACACCTGGCTCAGAGGGTCCTACACCCACGGAATCTCGCTGATTGCTAGCACAGCAGTCTGAGATCAAACTGCAAGGCGGCAACGAGGCTGGGGGAGGGGCGCCCGCCATTGCCCAGGCTTGCTTAGGTAAACAAAGCAGCCGGGAAGCTCAAACTGGGTGGAGCCCACCACAGCTCAAGGAGGCCTGCCTGCCTCTGTAGGCTCCACCTCTGGGGGCAGGGCACAGACAAACAAAAAGACAGCAGTAACCTCTGCAGACTTAAGTGTCCCTGTCTGACAGCTTTGAAGAGAGCAGTGGTTCTCCCAGCACGCAGCTGGAGATCTGAGAACGGGCAGACTGCCTCCTCAAGTGGGTCCCTGACCCCTGACCCCCGAGCAGCCTAACTGGGAGGCACCCCCCAGCAGGGGCACACTGACACCTCACACGGCAGGGTATTCCAACAGACCTGCAGCTGAGGGTCCTGTCTGTTAGAAGGAAAACTAACAACCAGAAAGGACATCTACGCCGAAAACCCATCTGTACATCACCATCATCAAAGACCAAAAGTAGATAAAACCACAAAGATGGGGAAAAAACAGAACAGAAAAACTGGAAACTCTAAAACGCAGAGCGCCTCTCCTCCTCCAAAGGAACGCAGTTCCTCACCAGCAACGGAACAAAGCTGGATGGAGAATGATTTTGACGAGCTGAGAGAAGAAGGCTTCAGACGATCAAATTACTCTGAGCTACGGGAGGACATTCAAACCAAAGGCAAAGAAGTTGAAAACTTTGAAAAAAATTTAGAAGAATGTATAACTAGAATAACTAATACAGAGAAGTGCTTAAAGGAGCTGATGGAGCTGAAAACCAAGGCTCGAGAACTACGTGAAGAATGCAGAAGCCTCAGGAGCCGATGCGATCAACTGGAAGAAAGGGTATCAGCAATGGAAGCTGAAATGAATGAAATGAAGCGAGAAGGGAAGTTTAGAGAAAAAAGAATAAAAAGAAATGAGCAAAGCCTCCAAGAAATATGGGACTATGTGAAAAGACCAAATCTACGTCTGATTGGTGTACCTGAAAGTGATGTGGAGAATGGAACCAAGTTGGAAAACACTCTGCAGGATATTATCCAGGAGAACTTCCCCAATCTAGCAAGGCAGGCCAACGTTCAGATTCAGGAAATACACAGAACGCCACAAAGATACTCCTCGAGAAGAGCAACTCCAAGACACATAATTGTCAGATTCACCAAAGTTGAAATGAAGGAAAAAATGTTAAGGGCAGCCAGAGAGAAAGGTCGGGTTACCCTCAAAGGAAAGCCCATCAGACTAACAGCGGATCTCTCGGCAGAAACCCTACAAGCCAGAAGAGAGTGAGGGCCAATATTCAACATTCTTAAAGAAAAGAATTTTCAACCCAGAATTTCATATCCAGCCAAACTAAGCTTCATAAGTGAAGGAGAAATAAAATACTTTATAGACAAGCAAATGCTGAGAGATTTTGTCACCACCAGGCCTGCCCTAAAAGAGCTCCTGAAGGAAGCGCTAAACATGGAAAGGGACAACCGGTACCAGCCGCTGCAAAATCATGCCAAAATGTAAAGACCATTGAGACTAGGAAGAAACTGCATCAACTAATGAGCAAAATCACCAGCTAACATCATAATGACAGGATCAAATTCACACATAACAATATTAACTTTAAATATAAATGGACTAAATTCTGCAATTAAAAGACACAGACTGGCAAGTTGGATAAAGAGTCAAGACCCATCAGTGTGCTGTATTCAGGAAACCCATCTCACGTGCAGAGACACACATAGGCTCAAAATAAAAGGATGGAGGAAGATCTACCAAGCAAATGGAAAACAAAAAAAGGCAGGGGTTGCAATCCTAGTCTCTGATAAAACAGACTTTAAACCAACAAAGATCAAAAGAGACAAAGAAGGCCATTACATAATGGTAAAGGGATCGATTCAACAAGAGGAGCTAACTATCCTAAATATTTATGCACCCAATACAGGAGCACCCAGATTCATAAAGCAAGTCCTGAGTGACCTACAAAGAGACTTAGACTCCCACACATTAATAATGGGAGACTTTAACACCCCACTGTCAACATTAGACAGATCAACGAGACAGAAAGTCAACAAGGATACCCAGGAATTGAACTCAGCTCTGCACCAAGCGGACCTAATAGACATCTACAGAACTCTCCACCCCAAATCAACAGAATATACATTTTTTTCAGCACCACACCACACCTATTCCAAAATTGACCACATAGTTGGAAGTAAAACTCTCCTCCGCAAATGTAAAAGAACAGAAATTATAACAAACTATCTCTCAGACCACAGTGCAATCAAACTAGAACTCAGGATTAAGAATCTCACTCAAAGCCGCTCAACTACATGGAAACTGAACAACCTGCTCCTGAATGACTACTGGGTACATAACGAAATGAAGGCAGAAATAAAGATGTTCTTTGAAACCAACGAGAACAAAGACACCACATACCAGAATCTCTGGGACGCATTCAAAGCAGTGTGTAGAGGGAAATTTATAGCACTAAATGCCTACAAGAGAAAGCAGGAAAGATCCAAAATTGACACCCTAACATCTCAATTAAAAGAACTAGAAAAGCAAGAGCAAACACATTCAAAAGCTAGCAGAAGGCAAGAAATAACTAAAATCAGAGCAGAACTGAAGGAAATAGAGACACAAAAAACCCTTCAAAAAATCAATGAATCCAGGAGCTGGTTTTTTGAAAGGATCAACAAAATTGATAGACCGCTAGCAAGACTAATAAAGAAAAAAAGAGAGAAGAATCAAATAGACACAATAAAAAATGATAAAGGGGATATCACCACCAATCCCACAGAAATACAAACTACCATCAGAGAATACTACAAACACCTCTATGCAAATAAACTAGAAAATCTAGAAGAAATGGATACATTCCTCGACACATACACTCTCCCAAGACTAAACCAGGAAGAAGTTGAATCTCTGAATAGACCAATAACAGGCTCTGAAATTGTGGCAATAATCAATAGTTTACCAACCAAAAAGAGTCCAGGACCAGATGGATTCACAGCCGAATTCTACCAGAGGTACAAGGAGGAACTGGTACCATTCCTTCTGAAACTATTCCAATCAATAGAAAAAGAGGGAATCCTCCCTAACTCATTTTATGAGGCCAGCATCATTCTGATACCAAAGCCGGGCAGAGACACAACCAAAAAAGAGAATTTTAGACCAATATCCTTGATGAACATTGATGCAAAAATCCTCAATAAAATACTGGCAAACCGAATCCAGCAGCACATCAAAAAGCTTATCCACCATGATCAAGTGGGCTTCATCCCTGGGATGCAAGGCTGGTTCAATATATGCAAATCAATAAATGTAATCCAGCATATAAACAGAGCCAAAGACAAAAACCACATGATTATCTCAATAGATGCAGAAAAAGCCTTTGACAAAATTCAACAACCCTTCATGCTAAAAACTCTCAATAAATTAGGTATTGATGGGACGTATTTCAAAATAATAAGAGCTATCTATGACAAACCCACAGCCAATATCATACTGAATGGGCAAAAACTGGAAGCATTCCCTTTGAAAACTGGCACAAGACAGGGATGCCCTCTCTCACCGCTCCTATTCAACATAGTGTTGGAAGTTCTGGCCAGGGCAATCAGGCAGGAGAAGGAAATAAAGGGTATTCAATTAGGAAAAGAGGAAGTCAAATTGTCCCTGTTTGCAGACGACATGATTGTTTATCTAGAAAACCCCATTGTCTCAGCCCAAAATCTCCTTAAGCTGATAAGCAACTTCAGCAAAGTCTCAGGATACAAAATCAATGTACAAAAATCACAAGCATTCTTATACACCAAAAACAGACAAACAGAGAGCCAAATCATGAGTGAACTCCCATTCACAATTGCTTCAAAGAGAATAAAATACCTAGGAATCCAACTTACAAGAGATGTGAAGGACCTCTTCAAGGAGAACTACAAACCACTGCTCAAGGAAATAAAAGAGGACACAAACAAATGGAAGAACATTCCATGCTCATGGGTAGGAAGAATCAATATCGTGAAAATGGCCATACTGCCCAAGGTAATTTACAGATTCAATGCCATCCCCATCAAGCTACCAATGACTTTCTTCACAGAATTGGAAAAAACTACTTTAAAGTTCATATGGAACCAAAAAAGAGCCCGCATCGCCCAGTCAATCCTAAGCCAAAAGAACAAAGCTGGAGGCATCACACTACCTGACTTCAAACTATACTACAAGGCTACAGTAACCAAAACAGCATGGTACTGGTACCAAAACAGAGATATAGATCAATGGAACAGAACAGAGCCCTCAGAAATAATGCCGCATATCTACAACTATCTGATCTTTGACAAACCTGAGAAAAACAAGCAATGGGGAAAGGATTCCCTATTTAATAAATGGTGCTGGGAAAACTGGCTAGCCATATGTAGAAAGCTGAAACTGGATCCCTTCCTTACACCTTATACAAAAATCAATTCAAGATGGATTAAAGATTTAAACGTTAGACCTAAAACCATAAAAACCCTAGAAGAAAACCAGGCATTACCATTCAGGACATAGGCGTGGGCAAGGACTTCATGTCCAAAACACCAAAAGCAATGGCAACAAAAGCCAAAATTGACAAATGGGATCTAATTAAACTAAAGAGCTTCTGCACAGCAAAAGAAACTACCATCAGAGTGAACAGGCAACCTACAGCATGGGAGAAAATTTTCGCAACCTACTCATCTGACAAAGGGCTAATATCCAGAATCTACAATGAACTCAAACAAATTTACAAGAAAAAAACAAACAACCCCATCAAAAAGTGGGCGAAGGACATGAACAGACACTTCTCAAAAGAAGACATTTATGCAGCCAAAAAACACATGAAAAAATGCTCATCATCACTGGCCATCAGAGAAATGCAAATCAAAACCACTATGAGATATCATCTCACACCAGTTAGAATGGCAATCATTAAAAAGTCAGGAAACAACAGGTGCTGGAGAGGATGTGGAGAAATAGGAACACTTTTACACTGTTGGTGGGACTGTCAACTAGTTCAACCATTGTGGAAGTCAGTGTGGCGATTCCTCAGGGATCTAGAACTAGAAATACCATTTGACCCAGCCATCCCATTACTGGGTATATACCCAAAGGACTATAAATCATGCTGCTATAAAGACACATGCACACGTATGTTTATTGCGGCATTATTCACAATAGCAAAGACTTGGAACCAACCCAAATGTCCAACAATGATAGACTGGATTAAGAAAATGTGGCACATATACACTATGGAATACTATGCAGCCATAAAAAATGATGAGTTCATGTCCTTTGTAGGGACATGGATGAAATTGGAAACCATCATTCTCAGTAAACTATCGCAAGAACAAAAAACCAAACACCGCATATTCTCACGCATAGGTGGGAATTGAACAATGAGATCACATGGACACAGGAAGGGGAATATCACACTCTGGGGACTGTGGTGGGGTCGGGGGAGGGGGGAGGGATAGCATTGGGAGATATACCTAATGCTAGATGACACGTTAGTGGGTGCAGCGCACCAGCATGGCACATGTATACATATGTAACTAACCTGCACAATGTGCACATGTACCCTAAAACTTAAAGTATAATAAAAAAAAAAAAACATTAAAAAAAAAAAAAAAGAAATTATTTGGAAAGAAAACACATTTCTGACATTGTTTTGGAGATTATTAAGAAAAGGGCATTTGCTTTATAAAAAGTTCAGACCAGTGTTTCTCACGCTATGCTTCAAGCAACTCTGTCCTGATAAGATGACTTTGGAAAAGAAGGAGTCTGTGATCAAATAAATTTGAGACACGCAACATAACTTTTTCTCCTGGAGATTTCCAAAGCACAGTAGGATATTAAAGGCTCTGGTAAGTCCTGCAGTAGGGAAGCCGGTTCAACTTTGTTTATTTAGTGTTTTTCTAACTGATTTGAGCACATCGTTTTCGTTTATTTTCTGTGTCACACCCCTGTATAATTCCTTAAGGGAATCAACTTGAGATGTCAAGGTTCCATCAACTTTCCTGGAGTGTAGTTATTCCGTGAAGCAAAATATGCCCAAATGCACAAATCTGGCTTAGTGTGATTTCTGAGATGTCATTAAAAATGTTTATCATGCACCTTTTCCCTCCTATGACTCTTGCCATCAGAGCGTCCGCTGAAAGACATGCTCAAGTTTGTTTCTTGCAGGTGTGAGAGGCAGGAGGCGCTGGCATACTTTTTCTCTTGTCCCATTGATTTCAAATCCTGCTTATCCTTTTAGACTAGGAGTCAGCAAACTTTTGTGTAAAGGGCCAGATACTGAATATTTTCAGTTTTGCGGGTCTGATGGTCTCCGTAGCAACTCTCCATTCTGCCATTGTAGCGCCAAAGCAGCCCTAGACAATGCGTAAATGAATGGGCGTGGCTGTATTTCAGTACAGCTTTATTTACAAAAACAGGCAGTGGCACAATTTGGCCTGGGGGCCATAGTTGGTCAACCCCTATTCTAGATTCTGTTCAGAGTCGACCTCCTTCTTGCAGCCTTTCTTGGGGTTCCAGCCACTGTTCCTGCATTGGTTTGAACCTTTGTTTAGCACTTGCTTTATTCTGTCTGGCTGTGTTGCCTTTCATCTGTCATTGATGCTGTCTTGAGGGATGGATGGGCCCAGGGATTGCATTGTGTCTCTATCTTGTCTCTCTAATCAGGCTTTTCTTTTTTCCCTCCACTGTGGCCTCTCTGGCCATCTTTTAGTTCCTCTGCCTGCCATACTCCTTCCCCCTATTTCTCTCTGCCTAATTAACTCCTACTTTGGTGTAAGGTCTTAGCCTACTTAAGCTTTCCCTGACCTCATGGATTTGGTAAGATTTCCTCATTATAAATACTGAAAGCTTCATATACGTCGTAGACCTTGGCTCAAATACAGTTTCCTATTTGCTTTTATGATCAGATCATTAATGTCTGTCCCTTTCACTGGTCTCTAAGCTCCATAAGGGCAGGGATTCGGCTTCCACGTGCTTACTGTTACATCCTTAGCATATAGCCCAGTGCATGACGTATGGTAAGTTGCTCACTGAAAATTTGCTGAATGAATAAATGCATGAACTAAGGCTTGGATGATTGAACTCATTCACTCATTTACTTATCCCTGGCTCTGGGTTTTGTATAAGAGCTTGCACATGTAGCCTTAATAAGTTATTTAAGGAATACAAATTAATGACTTGTTGCTCTCAGTATCTAAAAGTGACATGACTTCCAGCTGGGGCTTCTTCTGGCATCTGTTAGAAATGTATGGATTATGCCTCATGCCACATCATTGTGTCACTTTCATCCAAACATTTGATTTCTTTTCAAATTGAACTCAGTTACAACTGCCAGGCACACACTTTACAGTAAATGATGAGAACGATTCCTTTCTACTGGGGAACCTTCAGTATCTATGCCGAGCAGAACTCATCTGGACATTAGCAACTAAGAGTAAAGCATTATAGTGTTCTTTAGGTTTAAATTTAAAAAAAAAAAGCAAAAGCAGCTTTTCAATGACAGTCAACCTGAGAAAAGCCACCAAGTGGAAAATTCTAAGTTAAGATGCAATTGTGTAACTAATTGTATTTTAGGACCTTTACAAAAGTCAGACCATGGTGAATTTGGGATGAATGGTGCCTTTTTCTTTGAAACTTAGGCTTCTTAGCTGGCAGGAACCTAATATGACTGAACTATCGTGCCTTTCCTGGGCATCTAGAGAAGAAAGCTTCAGCCTGGGATGATTTGGTGAATGGAGATCAGAGCCCCAATTCTGGGTTCTCATCCCAGGAAGAGAAAAGAGCTTCAAAGAGAAAACAGATGCCAGAAGGCCACACACAGGAAGGAAAAATCTCACCTGGGCTGGCATTGGATCCAGCTTGACGATTCTGGTGACTTTTTATTGTACTGGACACTGATGATGCCAGGGGAGATGTCTTTCTATGTGACTGAAGATTGCAGGAAGGGACAGGAATGGGGTCCTTTGGGAAGGCAGTGCCTCAACTGTGCTCAAAGGCAAATGTAGAGGGGGAGATGCCTTTGGAATGGGCTGCCAAGCATCAGAAATGATCAGACATGGAGTCTTTGGGTTGTGACCGTTCTAACATGCTGTTAGGCTATATGGGAATCTCAGGAGCATGTGAGTGGTGCCTTTACAAAGGTCAGCCCATGTAAGTGCATTTCACACTACAGCATCTTTGACTTCCCACTGAGCCCAGCACCCTGACGACCGTCTCCTTTCTATCATATGTCTGCTGTAGGCTGCAGGAGGGATGCATGTGTTCAGCATGGCTGCAAATTTCCAGGCAAATGTTTAGACACAGGCTAAGTGTAAACTTCACAATCTAGCTTCCTCATACCTCAGACTATTCAGGGCAGACACAGGTCCTAGGTAGGCTACCAGGTTCAAGTGCCTCTGTGTGCCAGCACCACGCTGTGCACTTTGATACATTATCTCAAGTTGTCATAACAGTCCTGAGGGGTAGGGGTAATTCCCAGTTTACAGCTGAGAACTCTGAGGCTTAGAGGGTTTGTGGTTTGCTTAAGGCCACCCAACAGGTCATAGGCATAGCTAAGTTGCAGAGATGCTGAGAAGGTTAAGGATCAGTTCTTTGAAAGACTGGGGTTTTCTGATTCCAGTGCCCCTTTAGAAATTCCATCAGAGATGGTACCTAATCCATATACCTCCTCAGTGTGCTGCCGACCACATTCCTCAAAGCAGGAGAGACCTCTGTGCTGGTCCATGGGGAAGAACAACAGCTGATTTTATGACTCTGGAAATCAGAGGTCACAGGACAGAGTTCTCTGATAGAATTCCCTGAGTATAACATTTTACAGATTTATCTCTGCTTCCATGTCTTCTGTCTTGGGGCTAAAACTGTCCACAGATTAGTGGTAAAATTAACGCTTTAGTGTCAGACTGTTTTTGAATCTGTGTTTCTCCACCCCCTGACTGTGTTGCCTTGGCAAGGAGACTCACGCTCTCTAGACCTCAGTCCCATCATTTGTCAAGGGGGATAATAATAGTTGTCTCCTAAGTTGACTGCAAGAATGACATGAGATAACAAATGGAAAGTATTGTGCATCTAGTAAATAGGGTGATGATGATGTCTGTTAATTCCCTTTGATCAATCTCAGTCTAAAGACAAATGTGTTCTACTACCAGGTTATTGAGATTTCCAGAGATTGAAGTCTCAATAACTTTGGTAGTAGAACACATTTGTCTTTAGCTTCATAGAAATATCAGTGTGGTTGGTGTTCCAGTTACATATTGCTGTATAACAAACTACCCAAGAGCTTGGTGGCTTAAAATAACTATTATTATATATCTCTCATGAGTCTGGAATTGATGGGGCTCAGCAGGGCGGTTCTTGCTTGGAGTCTCACAGGGGGTTACATTCAGATGTTGGCTGGAGCTGGACTCATGTGTGGGTTTGATTGGACTGGGTAACAGGGATAACTCACTCATAGGGCTGGCTGCAAACTCAATGTGCAGTTGACCAGAACCTATCATCCACATGGCCTCTCCCTGTAAACTGTGAATCTCATGGTATGGCAGCTGGGTTCTGAGAGGCAATGTTCCATGAGCAGACATTCCAAGAAAGAGGGAGCAGAAGCCACCAGCCAGTTAAGAGTTACTCCCAGGCCGGGTGTGGTGGCTCACATCTGTAATCCCAGCACTTTGGGAGGCTGAGGCAGGAGATCAAGACCATCCTGGCTAACACGGTGAAACCCTGTCTTTACTAAAAAACATAAAAAATTAGCCAAGTGTGGTGGTGGGCGCCTGTAGTCCCAGCTACTCGGGAGGCTGAGGCAGGAGAATGGCATGAACCCAGGAGGCAGAGCTTGCAGTGAGCTGAGATTGTGCCACTGCACTCCAGCCTGGGCGACAGAGCAAGACTCTGTCTCAAAAAAAAAGACTTACTCCCAGTACTGGCCCTGCGTCACTTCTGCCATGTTGCATTTGTCAGACATGGCCACCCAGATTCAAGGAGATGGAGAAAGAAACCTCACCTCCTTATGAAGGGCATGGCAAGGTCACATTGCAGAAGAGTTGGTGGGATGAGAGACATTGTCGTGACCATCTTTGGAAAATAAGATCTGCCACAGCCGGTATGCAGTAAGACTTCACACTTGGCCAGAGGGGCAGTGGCTTTTTTGGTTTAAATATGGGGAAGATCTTACTATTCAACTCTGGCATTAGTCCATTGGACTAAGTTATACTAGGTGACATTCTGAATGTGCTTTCTTCTTACCTATGAGCCCTCATCCCTGTGGAGCATGACCCACATCACTGGAACTGCTTTCCCCCATCCTACTCTTGCCTTATGGTGGCTAATTTTTCTCTTCCCTCTCCTGTTGACTTATACACAATAATTTTTAGTTCTCGGAAGTCTCTTCTTGATCCTTCCCTTCATAGTGGTTAAGATCAACAGGTACAGCCACATTGTTCAATATTAGACCACAAAGTGGCCCAAAGTTGTACATTTAGAATCCTAAGACTTAAAGTTTGTGGCCAAGGAAGATTTTCTGGTGGGAAAGGCCTGATACAAAATCTTTGAGTTATTTTGTCTAACCCAGTGGTTGTCAACAAAGGGAGATTTTAGTCCTAACAACAATTAGCAATGCCTGCTGTAACTTTTGACTCTCACATTGGGGTGGTGGTGATTGCTACCAGCATCTAGTAGGCAGAAACTAGAGATGATGCCAAATATCCTACAGTGTACAAGACCCCTTGCCCCACTCCTCAACAAAGAACTATCCAGCCCAAAGTGTCAGTAGTGCTGAGACTGAGAAATCTTGGTTCTGGCCTCAGCTATCGTTGCCATTGGGAGATACTTTCCCAGGCTACACTATTAAAAGGGAATCTCAGACATTGCTATGCCATTGGTAATTGACTGCATAGCAATTACTAGCTCCACGGTGTACCATTGACCTCAGTGCCCCACGTAAGGAGCACCCAGTTGCACAGGAGGCTTGAGGATGTGCTTGGACACAGAGATCAACTTCATTGTGCTTCCCAGACAAAAGTACCAATCTATGATTATTTCACTGAGTTCTCCTTGCATAGTTCAGATGCATTAATCATTGTCAGGAGTTTAAATCAGATTTTCTAAGTCATTGTTTGTGTGGTTGTCATTGTTTATCTCAATGAAACTGTAGGGCTCCCTGAACTTCTTTGACTAATCAGTCTCCAGCCCTCTGTTGCCTGTTAGGAGAAGGCCCAAACTGTGAGCAATTTAAGTTTGAAAACACATCCAAAGTGCAGTTTGAGAAAGCGCAGCAGAGCCAGGGACACTTTCCAGCACAATGCAGACTTTCATCTCCCTTACCTTGAAGGCATTTTTGTTAATTGTCCTTCATTGCATCAGCAGGGACCCCAGATAAATCCTTTAGAACCTGTGGTTGAATTGAGTGTGGGTGTCTGCTTATTTAATGCTTTGATACAAAGTTGAGCAGAGTGGCCAGGGGTCTGAAACCCCTGCTGACCCTTTCCTAGGTTTCAGCCTCACAGGAGCTTTGGTTGATATCATGTATAATGATGCTGCGTTGATGACAGGACCTCTCATATATGCCATTTGTACATCAAATTGCTTAGCGTGAAATCCATCCATCTCCATGGTATTGGGGTGGGGGCTGAGTTAATGTCAGCCAATCTGATGAAAATCACCTTGCCACAAACTTCCATACAAGCTGAAATCCTATTGCCAGGTTTTCCCTTTTTCCCCCCTTACAAGAGATATTAATTAACTACATTGCCTCAAAGTATTTGCTTTTGCGTGTGCAGTAGGATCTGTCATACTATAAACAGTTGCAAATGATAAAATAAATCAATATTTGTTAATGTTGTGATGCTTGCAGCATCCCCCAGATCTGCAAAGAATGATTTATATACTACAGCATTTCAAGCCTGACCCGTTTGGGTCTCAGAAAGCACTTAAAAAATAAATTTACCCTGGCCTCTCTCACCCCATTTCAAAATGGGTGACAAAGATGAAGTAATTTATAAGTCACACTTTTATTAATGCTTTTAACTTTCGTACACTTGGCTTTGTTGGCCTTCCCGTGGCATTAGTGCAGGCCGTGGTTGAATGGTAACCCTTGGCACTTTGAGGGGGGTTCGGTACAAATGATCAACTCATAAATAGGTGCTGGGCTCCACATTATCCTGCCATAAATTCACCAGACCTTTCAAGTACATCAAGTAAGAGCGAGGTGAACTAAGCATTTCTTTCGGCGTTTATAGACTAATGCAGTACTAATGAGTATCTGGGCAGAGGGTTCCCAGAACAATGTCCAGCACTCTGCAACAGGAATGCTGCTCGTCTCCAGGGAGGAGGAGAGCCTCATAACAGAGGAGTCATGGGCACCAGGCCTGTTTGTTTGCAAAGGAGCCAAGTAGATGTTCCTAAAGCTATTCGAACTGCTTTGCAGACCGAGCAGGTAAATGAGGAATTGACTTGAACTTCCCAATCTCTCTGTCAGAACCGCGATTTTAAGACTCGCCGTTAGGGTGTCTATAACATGAAAAGGAGAATAGGTAGAGGAACTCCCTGAAAGATGATAATAGCCAACTATGTACTTGAAGTCTTTGAAAAGGTTTGCAGGATTAGTGATGACAGGATATTGACCTGCCAGAGCAACTTTGAGAAGTAGCAAACTGCTGCTTTTCGCCCTCTCCAGAATATGGTGAATAAGTCAATGAATTACATTGATTAGAAGGTAGGGTGGGAAATAAGCCACTGAAATCACTGGCCCTGTTCCTTAGAATTACTTTGGACCTGAGTCATGGTATGAAACTTTCAGGCACACATTTCACTGTCAGCTCAAGAAATCGTATGCACTAATGCACGTGGCTGCATGTGAAGTGGTCAGCTGTGTGGTCACCCAGGGTGGAAGCCCTAAGCAAGCCCTAATTACTCCTTCTCCTTCCTCATCGCCATCCCAGTGATCACAAGTCACATAGCTCCACCTTTCCTACTGTCTCCCTTACTCATACCATTATGTCCAGTCCCATGGCTCCTGGGATGTGGGGACCTTCAATGTCTCATGCTAGGAAGCTCAAACTGTGCTAAAACTGCAACCTCATTGGATTTCTTTAAATCTTCTGTTTTGTCAACTCTCTCCTCAGAAACCCTCACTAATGGCCGACTGTCCACAGTCAAGTCCAGTTGTCTGGGTGTGAATGCCCACAACTCTCTGGCTTGTGCCTACTCTCAATCCAGTTCATCTTCGTTACTTCAAACCATCCAGTCTGGTCCTCTAGTGACCAGTTCTGAATCCATTCGATTGCCCAATCCTTTCTCTCTGTTTGGAAAGCTACTTTGCCTATTCAGTCCGTACCCCTGCCTGAGATTCAGCCCTCTCTCTTTTTCTCTCCCCCCCCATCTCTTTTAAAATCTTCTTTGTTCAGCCTTTTTTGGATCAAAAAGTTTTTTCTGTACAAGGCCAGATAGTAAATAGTTTTAGCTTTGTGGGCCATAAAGTCTTGTCATAACTGCTTATTTCTGCCATTGCAAAGTGAAAGCAGCCACAGATGATACATAAATGAATGAGTGGCTGTGTTCCAATAAAACTTTATTTATAAAGATAGGGGGTAGTCTGGACTTGGCTGGGGGGTCTAGTTTGCTGATCCATAACTTAGATACAAGTCATACTCACTTTCCTATGAACATACATGGCAAAGTTAACCCTTTCTCATTGACTTCCTTTTGGGAGCTTATACATTAAGATTATTTAATGTTTCATGACTCAGTCATCTTCACAACTAGATTTTAAATATCTCCTGCACAAATGAGTATGATCAGTCAGATACTTCAATGTAAAGTAACAGAGCTGAAAGATATTATCTAGCTCCACCAATGCACGTATGTATATATGTATGTATACATAACATAAATAGTGGGGTATTTTTGTGCTAGCTGGTTACTTAGATCCATATTCCAGGTCTCTCCTGTCCAATACAGTCTCTACCATTTTATTTTTATAAATGAAGACACAGCTATTGAGCCCACAAAGTAGTGAGGGTCACCCACTTTAGTTACTTGAAAAGTCGTAGCTTTCCCTAAGTCTCCTGATGATGTCATCTTCATCGTAGTGTCTTGGAAGAAATGCCACAGCCTTTATGAAGTTGGTTTCACTGGAGATTAGAAAATGGGTGCAGTGGCTCACACCTGTAATCCCAACACTTTGGGAGGCCGAGGTGGGCAGATTACCTGAGGTCAGGAGTTTGATACTAGCCTGGCCAACATGGTGAAAACCTGTCTCTAGTAAAAATACAAAAAAAATTAACCGGGCGTGGTGGCACATGCCTGTAGTCCCACTTACTCGAGAGGCTGAGGCAGGAGAATTGCTTGAACCCTGGAGATGGAGGTTGCAGTGAGCTGAGATCGTGCCATTACGCTCCAGCCTGGGTGGACAGAGTGACACTGTCTCCAAAAAGAAAAAAAAAAAAAGGAAAGACAGAAAATAGGTAAACAGTAGATGAGATTTCGGTTCATATCGGTTCTTCTGGATAAATTCTGCAGAACTGACATAATGTGCAATGTAGCTCGAATTAAGAGAAAGATTTCCCCTGTAGCTTGAATGTTGGAAGGTCACTTCTCATGGTCTCCTAGGGGCCATATCCTGCATGGGGTTTTCTGTTGCCAAGTTCAGGTTTACACTAAGTATAGATGTGGCTACAGGAGTCACGAACCTTGGTGAAAAACATTCAGGTATGCTTAGATCAGAAGGAACACCTACTCTGTTTGGAAGTGTGAGCTTTGAAAAGACACAGCCTGGTGATTTGTTTCACTGCAGAAATAAGTCAAACTGGATGAGATATTCTGAATAATAACAATAGATGCTATTATAATTGGCATCGTTCTCATTATTCTACTACTTGTTGAGTGCGTTCTGTAAGCTAGGCTTTGGGTTAAGTGCTTTGCACATGTTTACATCCGTAAGTTACACATTATCTAGCATTTCCCATTGTATTTGGAGAAATGTTTCCTAATATTTGTGATTATCACCCTACTTTTAAGTATGGTGATTAAAAAAATCTCTTGAGAGATTTTGGAGCAAGTTGACTTGATTGGAACATGATAAATCCTAGTGTTTCAGTATATGTGGGATGAGAGCTTTACTTTTAAGAAGTTGTGAAGTGGGCTGGGTGTGAAAGGCTCACTCCTGTAATCCCAGCACTTTGGGAGGCCGAGGTGGGCACATCACCTAAGGTCAGGAGTTTGAGACCAGCCTGGCCAACATGGTGAAACCCTGTCTTTACTAAAAATATAAAAATTAGCCAGGCATGGTGGTGGGTGCCCATAATCCCAGCTACTCAGGAGGCTGAGGCAGGAGAATCACTTGAACCCAGGAGGCAGAGGCTGAAGTGAGCTGAGATTGCGCCACTGCACTCCAGCCTGGGCAACAAGAGCGAAACTCCATCTCAAAAAAAAAAAAAAAAGTTGTGAACTATGTAAGTAAGATTGTGTTAAGCTTTCTTAAACAACTATCACGTATTTTAAAATTTGTATGTAAATGCATCTTTACCAAAAGTCTACCTGTGGAGCAAGTTTTAAAATTAAATTTTGAAGAAAGACCCACGATTACTTTTTCCTCTAAATTTAGAATGATCTCCACCATCTGAAAGCTGTGATTGGCTATAAGCCAAGCTAGAGGTCTTGTTTTGTTTTAATTTTTAAAACTCATTGCTATGTGCTAGGTTTTGGCTTTATGGCTTTACAGTAAGAAAGAGAATCTGTCTGGCTACCATTTATTGTCTCTCCATTTGGCAGTTGACAATGGTGGGGGTGGGAGAGGAAGTAACTCCTTACCAGCACTTTACCTGATTTCACTTAAAATATAAAAGCTAATGAAAAAAATGGAAGGTACAGATCCCATTCAGCATTCTTATCACACTGCTCTCTCTGCAATTATATACATTTTTAATTGCAGATATTACTTGCAAAGAGAAATAACTGGGCCAACAGATTCCTACATGATGATTAGGGAAGGCAAACTCACTTACAACTTAAGAGTGATACCCAATAACAGGAGATTGAAAGAAATGAATTGCTACAATGAGTTAAATTAAATTCAGCCCAACTAATAGTAGATTAAGCAAATATTACAAATTAAAACCAAAGCTCCAGACAAACAAGGGAACAAATCTTGCCTGCAGCTGAGCTGCCAAGGGACCCATCTGATAGCCATGATCTGTGTCTCCGCTCCGGGAAGGAGTTCTTGAGTATCGGAGGACCTACTGGGTCTGAGGTACAGGAAGAGGAGGGAGGTTATGCTAATGACCATTGGCACGGCTAGCAAGGCAGATTTCCGGCTTGGTGCAAGAGCTACGGCTGTCTGATGAGTGCTGTGGGATGGACTGCAGAGGAGTGTCTGCTTCAGAGAGCTTGTGTTTGGTAAAATCCTACTACGAGTGGGAAAATGTCTCTAGGTTTAATGAAGGAAGGGGTATGCAATGCCCACTGTTTTTCAGACTGCATGAGTCACATTTTTTTTCCTTTTTTTTTGTTTTACTGAAATGGACTTACAGAAAAGTACACAAATGATAAGTATGCAGTTCAACTGATTTTCACCTATGCAGCCAATTCCCTGATCAAGAGACAAAACATGCCCAGAGTTGAGAGAGGCCCCCAGTCCTGGCCGCTGTCCTCTATGGGGAACTAGTATGCTGTTCAGACATTGCAATTCACCCAGTTGAGAATCCTGGCTCGCTTATTAGTGCATTTTGTCTCTTGTCCAAACATTAACTTAACAGAGAGAGAGAGAGAGAGAGAGAGAGAAAGAGAAAGAGGTAGGGATGATACAGTTGGCAGGGGATGAGGAGAGAGAAGACAGAGAGACAGCGAGGGATCAGTTAGCTCTGAGAAAGGTGTTACTTATTCCTAGTGTGGTAGCTGAATATTTGCAGAACCAGAAGGAAAGACTGGATAAATCTTGTTTAGTTTTCCAGCTCTATTTAAAGTAGATTCATTGGAGTCCCAAAGCTGAGTTTTCACAGTAGGAGTAATATCTACCACTTAGTGCAGATAATGCCTTGTAGATATTAGCTAATTATTTCATGTGGTGCCCTAGTGAGAAGTAGGTAAGTATTATCATATCTGCTTTATAAATTGAGTTAACAGGCATAAGGAGATTAAGGCTGCTCCCATATTGGGAGTTTGCCCAAAGAGTTGCTGCCTTATCTGTCACCTTTGTGCCCAGTGGATCTTTAAGCTGCCTGGCAGTCTTCGTGTGTTCATCTGTTCTTTCACTCACTCATTTATCAAACATCTATTGAGCTGTTTTTCTGGTAGTATGCTAGGCTGCTATGCTAGGAGGATACTGAGATGAATAAGGTATAGTCTATAATAGAAAAGGGCTAGCTCTTACAGGGTTAAACCTTCAATTCCATCAGAGGGGCAGGCAGCTAGTATCAGTCTGTGACCTGGTAGGGATGAGGCAATAGGGAGTGGTGGGGACTGTGGCAGACTGGAGGTCCCTGCCCCATCTCTTTATTATGACATAATAACTGCCCAAACAAACGTGTCTATGATCAGGGGTCAACGAATGCAGTCAGTTTGCAAGACTTTCTGGAGGAGAAAGAACACCATTTCTATAGTGCATTGTGGTAAATATAGGAGGACAAGCAGTGTAATGGGAGAAAGGAAAGAAAAGAAATTTATTATGCCAGGAGGACAGAGGAAGGATATCAGGAGCAGAGAGAACACCCAAAGCGGAAGTGAGAGTGTTTCCAGGACAGATTTTCAGCCATGGGAGCTTAGTGTTTGAAGCTGGATGGATGCCCAGCCCATGCTTGCATCCTTTCAGTGATGGGAAATTCGTACCTAGAGAATACAGCCCTTTGGACATGTCTCCACTGCCCTGGTTGGTGAATGAGTGGGCAACAGTGTGGTGGTAAAGACCACCATAAGCCTCAGAATCAGCCTGTTTGGGTTTGAATTCTAGACCCTACTATTCATTAGCCATATAACCTTGGGGGTAGGTTATTTAATCTCTTCGTGCCTCTGTTTTCTTATCCACAAATGGTGATAGTAAGAGAATTGTTGCAAAGATAAAATGAAGATAAAAAGTTCAGCACAGTCTCCACACACAGAAACATTCAACTAGAGTTGTGTTCTGAGATGGTCAGAGCCAAGTGAGGCCTGGGAATTGGACATGTCTCCCAAGTGGTGGCAAACCACTGAACCACCAAAAGATAGCATCACAACAGAGAGAACAAAGTCATTATGAGATAGGTAGTCTCCTGCCTATTAGAAAGGGAAGGGGCCCGGGCGCGGTGGCTCATGCCTATAATCCCAGCACTTTGGGAGGCAGAGGTGGGCAGATCATGAGGTGAGGAGTTCGAGACCAGCCTGGCCAACATGGTGAAACCCCATCTCTATTAAAAATACAAAAATTAGCCAGGCGTGTTGGCGCGCGTGCCTGTAGTCCCAGCTACTCCAGAGGCTGAGGCAGGAGAATCGCTTGAACCTGGGAGGCAGAGGTTACAGTGAGCTGAGATCACGCCACTGCCACTCCCGCCTAGATGACAGAGCAAGACTCCGTCTCAAAAAAAAAAAAAAAAAAAAAAAGAAGAGACTGAAGGGATTGAAGATCAACTTTGCTTTCATGGGTATTAGCCATTCACTATGGCACTGATGTGCCCTGGGAAATTGAGGCTGTACCTATCACTTTTAGAGTTTTAGATCACCCAGAAAGAAGGACTAGTGGGGCTTTGCCGAAGGTAGATACAGATGTCTGAAATGGAGGGCTCTAATTCAGGTAAGAGCTAGCTGTGGTCTCAAAAACTAAGCCTAAAGCAAATTCTAGCTTGGTTTTCATCACAACAGAGATACAAAAATATTAACAAAATGTTAGTAGAGGGTAGGAGTTCTGGTACTGTCACACCATAATGTGACGATGCACTGAGCTTTGGATCATGAAATTTTTTTTTTCTATTTGATATCTTTGTATTTTTAAAGTTCCTTAGTGTGCCACACTGATTGTTTTTAATCTCAGGCCTCCTGTGTAGTTCATATAATCCTTTTCTTTTTGCTTGGAGGCAAGAGGCCCAGAGAAAGGAAGAATTTAGTATTATAGCAATATAGTAAATTTTTATTTATTTATTATAGGTATATTATAAAATTAGTAGAATTTTAGGGCTTTGGAAGACCATGGAGATGATCAGCTAGTTAACTAACCCCTTTTACAGATAGACAAGCTCAGAATGGTGAGTGATGTACTCAAGACCATACAGCTATTTAGTAACAGAGTCTAGACTTGAATTCAGTTCTAAGATTTCCCTGATAGTTCAAGCTCTTCCATTTTTTTTTGTTGTTGAATGACCTTGGCTAAGTCTTTTAATCTCTTTGAGCTTCTATTTCTTCTTTTGCAACAGGAATAATAAATGCCATAATTTATAGGGTTGCATTAAGGCTCAAATAAGATAATGAATGTGTGAAAGCGCTTTACAAACTCTCTATAAAGTGCTGTAAAAACATTAGATATTGCTATTGTCTGAAGTAATTTGGCAAGATGGTGAGAACTTGACAAATGCAACTCAAATAAAATAAATCATTAGATTTAAGAACCCTTAGAGGTTATCTAGGTTAATAACCAAATAATTAAAGACTTATCTTTTTAAAGAACCTTTATTTGTAAACTTTCTATGCAAATAGGAAAATTTTGATCTTCCCTGAAAGAGAATGTTTCATCAGGGGCCCAAATACTCCCAAGATTAATCCACAATCCAATTTATTAAAAATGGCAAGAGACTATTTGATTGAGAGCTACAGCTTCAGTTTTGCAGGGCTAGGCTTGAGTTATAGGATTTAACTTTCTTTTCAGGGTTAACAGGGTCAGTGGAAGTGGAGGTGGCGGGGTGGCTGTGCCCAGATTTAGGGCAACCTGGAAAATAAATACTGAATATTAAGCCTCATATATAGACTCTAACAGGCAGGACTTCATCCTAAGGCCAAAATACATGTGACCAACGTTCACATTCTAGATTTGCCTCTTTGGTGCAAAGGCTGAGGAGTTAGACACCGCAATGTGTGGAGTGCAAGAAAATGCTTTTATTCCCTTGAACTGCTACCAAGCAAAGCAATACAATGTCAGCATAGGTAAGTGGCCACAGGGAAGGCTGGGTGGGGATGACATTTTTACCAGGCAAAGTAGACTTTTGATGGTCTCATGATTTCTGAAAACTATAGGCAAGACTAGGTTAGGTAATGGAGTTTTTTGTTTTGTTTTGTTTTTTGTTTTGTTTTTAATGAGTAGAGCCTAAACAGAAACTGCCTTAAAAATCCCCTCCGTTTATTCCATGCATGTTCAGCAGCCCAGATCTGGAGACTGATGAGGGTGAGTTGCATGAGAGAGATGAAACTGTATTGAGACCCTTCCACCCTCTTCAGGATCCTGTATTCCACCGACTCCCCCAGTCAATGCACTTTCACTGTTAATAATTTAAATGATGAAGTAGGCTCGGTGAGAAGCAGCACCGTGAAACAGACAGGAGCTCATAAATCCGTGACAGCTCCAGCTTGGGTTTTGGAGCACCTGTGTGGATGATGCCACCTGCTCTAACCTAGGTGAGGAGGCGTGGACTCCTTTGAATGAAGCGGCAGGTCAGGCCATCTTTTCCCTACCGAGGAAGGGGCAGGCTTCCACACAGTGGCACCTCCCTGGGTCAGGTGCATTTTCATTGCCGTTTCAGGGAGGTTACAGTGTCACCGTATGCTGCATTTGCCCGGTGCAGCTGACTTGCATTACAGCTTTGATGATGCTTGTCACTGAAAAGAGGTTTCAGCCTCAGGAATAGTCTTAAAGCGGGCTTTTAATTCCTCCCAGGAACTCTACCTGCACCTTGGGATTGTGGCAGGGTCACCTCCATTCCGACAGCAAAGGAGAGCAGGAATCTGCCGTTTGGTACCTCCTCCCATCTTCCCATCAACCCCTGCTTTTAGGAAACATTGCACTTATTGCTTATTACAAATGCATTACAGAAACAAACCCAAGCCAAGCAACACAGATGACAGGATAAAATCTATCCGGCACTGGGTCAGTAATCAACTGTTATCAATGCTGCTTCTCTACATAGTAGTTTGCTGTGACTCTTAAACTTCTGGATGTCCTCAGGACTGGCTTCCTTTTTCCAGCAGTTTCTATCCTAAGGCTGCTCAGAATGCTAGGTTACTGTCCTTGTAGGTTATATACTCTGCATACTATATGCTCCCTTTCCACTCTTAATTCTTTCTCTTCTAAGTTGTTCCTCTAGCTCTGGAAACTCAAGCCTCTGCCTCTTTCCCCTCCCCTCTAAACTAATATGCTTAAATGGTTGTACATCACATAATCAAGGGTGTCTGCTTCAAGCTTTTAAATCTCTTACCCAGGCTCATCCCATTATGTATGCCACCTTCAGATTCATTCAGCTTATTTCCATTCAACTGACACTTATCGAAAGCTGACTAGCGTGCCATTGTCCACACACTGGACAGTGTGCCTGGGTATCTATTTCTTGCCTTACCTTGTATTCATGTATCCAACCATCTTCTGTATACCTGAAACAAAAAGTAGAAGGACTCCTCACTCACAGAAGCTTACAGGCTGGCTTTCTAACACATCAATCTCTTCTTTTTGTCTGATATTTGAAACTATTCAACATGGATAGCAATACTTACCACAGTAGCAAGAAAACAAGAATTTCAACTACTATCACTTTCTCTACCAAAATGAAATTCAACAGTCCTCCCTACAACATTTATTTCTCAATTATTCTCACAAAGAAGTTGTTTTATTTTGAAAATGAGCATGTGCTCATGATCTACATCGATGGTTTTAACCTTTTTCTTCCCTTTTTCTTCCCAAGTCTTCATCATGGAGTGTTCCCAGGAGGGAAACTGGTCTCTCTTCAGTGCCCACATCTTCCTGCCCATGCCCCACCCTTAATAGAAAGTTTAATATTGAGAGTTAGGGTTTCTGAGTGTAAGCCCTCTAGCATGGACATTATACCCTCGTTTTGAACCCTGAATCTTCCATTTGTAGGTATGCGATTTGAAGCAAGTGATACTTGAATGTAAAAGAGTGGTAATAATGGTACCAAGTTCATGAGGATTTCTAGGAAGATTCAATGGATACACGTAACCTAGCACAGGGCCTGGTACGATGCCCGTCCAAAATGTATGTTGGAAAAAAAAGACATTAGAGTCCCGCGTGAATGGGTGGGTAGGTGGGATGTCTTTTCTTAGAAAACTGATACTTTGGCTGGGTGCAGTGGCTTACGTCTGTAATTCCAACATTTTGGGAGGCTGATGTGGGTGGATTGCTTGAGCTCAGGAGTTCAAGACCAGCCTGGGCAACATGGAGAAGCCCTGCCTCTACCAAAAAAAAAAAAAAAAAAAAAAAAAAAAAATTGGGGCATGGTGGAATGTGCCTGTAGGCCCAGCTATTTGGGGGCTGCTGTGGCAGGAGGATTGCTTGAGCCCAGGAGATGGAGGCTGCAGTGAGCTATGATTGTGCTACTGCACCCCAGCCTGGGAGACACAGCAAGACCATGGATCATTTTTAGCAGCTTTTAACAGATGATGTTGGTGCAATTAGCTTGATGGTTATAGATATTTCTAAAACATATCTCTGGCATTTTCCTAAATTTGGCTATCAGTGGATTTGAATGCTCTTGGGCTGAAAAAAAAGGAAGAAAGCAAGGAAGAAAGGAGGGAAGAAGGGAGGGAGAATCAGTCAAAAGGTACTGGTAGTCAGATGGCCTTGTGTCACACGTGGGCAGAACAGGCTTGTATAGTAATGAAAAATGATGTATTCACACAACTCAACTTCTGGGGTAACTTCTATGATAATAGAGGCATCCACAGCTGAAATGCCAGCGGTCCCTGCTGCCTCTTCTCGGGTGCTCCAGCTGGATGTGGCCACTCCCTTTCTCTGAATTCACAGTGCTTCTTTGTACCCACTAAAACATTTCCATGACAGCTATTTTTAGTTATGGTTTTTCTCATGTTGCACCTGCTTCTAGACCAGAAGCTCAGTAACATTTCCTCCATCCTCCTCACCTCATCACGTGGTTGGTGGAATTGGATGGAACGCTCGCATTCCCTTGAGTTAGCCTCAGATCTGCTGATGGGATGATGGATTCCGTCTAGTTCACAGCCAATAACCACTTCCCCCAAAAGGGTCAGGGCAGTGCCAAAGCTGGAGAGGGCTTGGGGAGATGGAGAGGGCTCCCCTTGGTCTCATTTTCCAAAAGTGGCATGCTTCACCGATTTTTAAAAAGTGTAACATTTTGCATAAAGGCTGTTAAATGATGATTTTAAAAAAGGGCAAGCAATGAGGAAGCAAAGGACAAAGTGTCAGTGGGGAGGCCTTGAGACCTTAGCATGGGATGGCACATTGGGGCTCATTTGATTTACTTGACCCCCCCCACCAACCAGTGTTATTGGCTGACAACTAATCCCCATCCCCACCCTGCCCCTAAGCTTGCCCTTCTTGGGAACACCTGACTGTGTATCTGTACAAGGACTGACCCACTTTCCCCATATTGCCCCAAAGGCCAACACTGTATTCAGCGGAGCTAAAGCCGTGACCTCAGAGCCTTGCACATCTCACTCCGGCTCCATCTCTGATCTCTTGTTCTCTCACTGTGCTGTGGTCACACCGGCTTCCCTGCTGCTCCTCAATTGTGCCAGTCATGTTCCTATCTCTAGGCCTTTGCACTTGCTCTTGCCTCTGCCTGGAATTTTCTACTCCAGATGTGCTCTGGTATGGTTTGGCTCTGTGTCCCCACCCAAATCTCACCTTGAATTGTAATAATCCCCACGTGTCAAGGGCGGGACCAGATGGAGATAATTGAATCACTGGGGCAATTTCTGCCCTGCTGTCCTTGTGATAGTGAGTTCTTACAAGAGCTGATGGTTTTATAGGGGGCTTCCCCCTTTGCTCGTCACCCATTCTGTCTCCTGCCACCCTGTGAAGAGATGCCTTTCGCCATGATTGTAAGTTTCCTGAGGCTTGCTGAGCCATATGGAACTGTGAGTCAATTAAATCTCTTTTCTTTACAAATTACCCAGTCGCAGTTGTCTTTATTAGCAGCCTGAGAATGGAATAATACATGTTCCCTCATTTCACTGAAGTTTCTGAGCAAGTCACCTTCTCAGAGAGGCCTTCTATGACCACCTGAGCCGAAGAAGTACCCCCATCACCCTCTGTCTCTTTACTCTGCTATCCTTTTATTCACATGCCACCCAGCATTATATTATACGTGCATCTTTTTGTGGCCTCCTGACTAGAATACAAGCTCTAGAAGGGCAGGGATTTTAACTGTTTTGTCCATTGCTATGTCTCATTGCTAGGGCAGTGCCCTGTACATCATTGGTGCTTAACATGTTTGTTTCATCAATAAATGAATAAGTGATTTCCACCCATCCACTCCTTCATCTATTCCATGAACAGTGACTGAGCATCTACAATGTGCAAAGATGAAAACTTCACAGTCCTTACCTTCTAGAAGGTGGCAGTCTTGATGGAAAGATAGATGTGTGAAAATATACCAGAATGGCCAGCCACGGTAGCTCACACCTATAATCCCAGCACTTTGGGAGGCAGAGGCAGGCGGATCACCTGCAGTCAGGAGTTCAAGACCATCCTGGCCAACATGGTGAAACCCCATCTCTACTAAAAATACAAAAATTAGCCAGGCGTAGTGGCAGGTGCCTGTAATCCCAGCTACTTAGGAGGCTGAGGCAGGAGAATCGCTTGAACCTGGGAGGCGGAGGTTACAGTGAGCAGAGGTTGTGCCATTGCACTCCAGCCTGGGCAACAAGAATGAGACTCCATCTCAAAAAATAAAATATAATAAAAATAAAAATATAACGAATATATAAAGAGGTACTTATGAAAAAGTTTTGCAGGTGGAATGACAGAGCTATAGTTAGGGTATTTTCTCTGATTGTGTCAGAGGTGCAGCAGGAAATACATGAACACTAAGTATACTCGCTTAAGAATTGAAGCCATAAATAGTCATATAATAAATATATGAGTCTCTCTCTCTCTCCCTCCCTCCCTCTCTCCCTCCCTTCCTCTCCCTCTCTCCCTCCCTCCCTCTCCCTCCCCTCCCTCCCTCCCTCCCTCTTTGGTGTGGGTGTGTGTGTGTGGTGTGTTAAGTGTGTATGTAGTATGTGTATAGTGTTTTGGCCATAGAAGATTTCATAGAGTTTAGAGAAAACTATAATGACTTTGCAGTGATGTTAGAATATGTCAGAAAGGTGAAGTATTCACAGTTTTCACCCCAAATGAAATAGAAGCAGCTGCATTTCTCCCAGGTGGGTCCAGGCATTGTGCAAGATCCACATATTTTTCAATAAAAGACTCATATTTGCCATGATGCTAGAAGCTTCTAATGGGCCTCTGAGGGTTGTAAATTATATCAAATGAGTTTCCAGATACTAAGCTGTTGTTTTTTAAGGGATAGAGAAGGGAAAGAAAGGTGCGGATAAAGCTTTCCTTGGCCCCTGAAATTACACCTCTTTCAACTGCATTTAATCAATGTTTCTGACTGCTTAATGCTCATCCATTCAACAAACATATACTGGGTATCACCTATGTGAGAGGTGCCATTTTGGACTGCGTGGCCATCCTTGGGTGGCTTGCCATCTGTAGGGATCTTATTGGTAAAGCTGTTAGAACTTGGTGTAGTTTTTGTTTTTCAGTATTTTAATTGTGTTGTTACTGTTTTATCACATCTTAATTGTAGCAAGCGAAATAATATATAATTATGTGTATAGAAGGTAACTAATGTTCCACTCTTCCTCCTCGTTCCTCCTACCCCTTGTAATTTATGTTTCTAGTTTTGTTTTTGTTTTTGTTTTTTGAGACAGGGTCTGCTCTGGCATCCAAGCTGGAGTGCAGTAGCACAATCTCGGCTCACTGGAGCCTCAGCCTCCCAGGCTAAAGTGATCTTCCCACCTCATCCTCCCGAGTTGCTAGGGCTACAGATGTGTGCCACCACTCCCAGTTAATTTTTGTATTTTTTGTAGAGACGCGGTTTTGCCATGTTGCCCAGACTGGTCTCATCCTGGGCTCAAGCCATCTGCATGCCTTGGCTTCCCAGAGTGCTGGGGTTACAGACATGAGCCACTGTGCCTGGCTGTTTCTAGTAATTTGATGGATATCTTTCTGTATCATTATCTTTGTTCACAGACACACACGCAGAAAAATTGTTCCTTTTATTTTACTTTATAAAACTGACATTACACATATTACTCTGAAATGTGCTTTTAAAAACTTACTAACGTATAAAGAACATCTTTTCAAGTCTTGTTCTTTTTAGTAATTGTAATTGCAGAATAAGTCTAACAAAATATAGACACCCATTTGCCTATTCATAAGGCTTTAGGTGAATCAAGATTTTTCAAACATAACATTCAAGAATTAAATAAACATCCTTCTACATATTTTATTATATATTTGTGCTTTTACTTCTGTTCTGTTCAATAGGCTCTCATAAATGTGATTATCATGTCAAAGGGTAAGTGAATTTTTAGTCTTTAATAAGCACAGCTTGATTATTTTCCTTAAATCTTGTAGCAATTTATATTTCCTTCAGTAATATATTGGAGTATTTTCATTCTTAACGTTATCCCCAGCGCTAGCTATTATCAAGGTCTTAAGTTTTGTCAACAATGACAACTGATATACCTCAACACTGAACATACCTCAACTGAACATACCTCAACACTGATGTGTTATTGTTGCTTTAATGACATTTGCGGGACTGTCTCTGGAGTTGGGTATCTTTTGTACATTTCTTGACTATTTGCATTTCCTGTTCTATAAATTTCTACTCGTATCTTTGCCTGTTTTCTTTTGAGTTGTCTTCTTTCTTATTGGTTAATAGGAGCTTCGCATATTAGAAATAATAATGCTGTCCTGGTACGGTGGCTCATGCCTGTAATCCCAGCACTTTGGGAGGCTGAGGCGGGCAAATCTCCTGAGGTCAGGAGTTCAAGACCAGCCTGGCCATCTCTACTAAAAAGCAAAAATTAGCTGGGTGTGGTGGCGTGTGCCTGTGATCCCAGCTCCTCAGGAGGCTGAGGCAGGAGAATTGCTTGAACCTGGGAAGTGGAGGTTGCAGTGAGTCGAGATTGTGCCATTGCACTCTAGCCTGGGCAACAGAGTGAGGCTCTATTAAAAAACAAAAACAAAAAGAAATCATAATGCTTTGTTGATAATTTACTCTAAGAATATAAAATATAATATATACCTGCTTATTGTAATAATGTCTATTGTTATTTTGTTCTTGTTTAGAAAACATCCCTCTTCAACCTTTAGTTCTGGTGTCCATCAAAAAAGGGCAGAGCAGTGTCCATTTCTAGTACTTTGTGCCTACAGTGTGACATTCAAGTCTAGTACTGTCACTTACCCCAGGCAGAGCTGCGACCTGTATTAGTCTGTCCTTTCTCATTCTTTTCCCTGAGTTTAGTGTAGGCTCACCTGCCAGCCAAACACCTTGTGTCCTATCATCAGTGTCTGGGATACTTCTGCTAGAAAATACTGGGGATTCTTTCAACCACAAAATGAGACTTTTGAAAGTCATGGTCATCAAAAGATAAATTAGCATTTCCTAAAATCTCAAGCCATTGCTTACACTGGGAAACACCCATAGCAAATTATCTAGAGTTTGGCATGGGGCTCACTGGCCCCTCCCTTCCCTGTGGAGTCACATTTTTGATGGCCTTCGCTTTGTCACCTCTTGGTCCCTCCTTCCTGAAGAGGTCATCAGAATTGCCTAATATCTCTGACAATTTGATACTATCATCCTGGGAGTGGGGTTTTATGAAGAATCAACTTATTTAAAAAAAAAAGTCACACATTTTGCATCTAACATATTGTTAAGGCACAGTTTCCACAGCCCGGGGCTTTAAGGACTTTGGTACATCACTGCGGTCACTGATGCATTTGTTACCTTTGACAGGACTGACACACTGTCCTTCATAAACAAGGATGACTTCAGGATGCATGCTTTCAGGTGGGCTGTTCCTCTAACGGCGAGGAGAGATCCAAATTTGCACACATCTCCCTGCCCTTCTTTTGACTAAGCTATTAGAGAAAGCCAGAATGTGAGAGCTGCAAGGAACTCAGGCAAGACAACTGAGGCAGAGAAAGTAAAATGAACACGCCCAAGTTGCAGAGCATGTTGTTGCACACTAAGAGTCTTTGTGGAATCGGGACAACTGTAGACACAGCAATGACCACACTCGCATATAAAAACAGGGTCAAGTAGACCCATCAGCACATGTATCACCATATCAGTGGGATGCTGACCACTTCTGGAATTTGTAAAGGTAATTCAGAGCCACGCTTTAGAGGAAGAAGAGGGTCTGGACTTCTGCACTTGTTTTGTAGTGGTTGCAGAAATGGAAACACAGGGAAATGAAGTGATATGCCTAAAATTAATGTAGTAATTAGCAGCAGTGTCGAAACTCAAATTCACATGCCCTGATTTTTTGATCTAGTCCATTCTTTCCTGGTTTATGCTGTCTCCTGGCTGGCAGAATTAGTTGCAAACCAATTTTTTTGGAGGACCAGTAGCTATCAGAGGAAAGGATTGAACACCGCCTTCATGTGTAACCCTTTAACCCACCTCCTACCTAAGGAGGATTATATTGTTTCATTTATTCGTTCAGAAAATATGTATTGGTCATTCCCTGTGTTAGGGGCTCAATAAATATTTGTAGAATTGTATTGAACTGGTTTGAATTGCTCAGGCACCAGAGATAGGGGCCTGAGTCAGTAACTAAGGTTTTGTTTTACCAGTGGGGATAAAAAAGGCAGCCGATGAAAATAAACAAATCCCTTTTTAACAATTCCACTAAAAACATATGCTATATAATTGAATATAAGTACAAATAGAAGGCACCTGGTACAGCTTGTTCCAACTTCTCTTTTATTAGAATCTAAGTGGTAGCATTCATTTCCAGGCAGTGTCAATGCTGTTGGTTTTGCTCATTACGGGGAGGTTATAGTTATTGCACTCTAAAGGGAGGAGCCTCACGTTTATAACTACCAGGGCAGGCAAGTGGCCGAAGAACGGAGACACATGAGCTGATGGGCCTTTTACAGAGTCAGTGTGTCAGAAATCATCATCAAAAAGCAGAGTGTCCCTTCCCCGTGGCCTGCTCTCACACAGAAGGATGGGTGCTGTTTTTCTTTTGGGGGTAGACGGAGTCTGAACTTCAGCCCAGAGGATGCTGGCTGACTCCGGGTCAGGTGCCCAGGGGCAGATGGAGTTGGGCAGCTCAAAAGGATGACACGACCACAGTGCTGTCAGACTCAGAAACCAATTGAGAAAGCCCCAGGGGCTGTGGTCTTGGAGGAGCCCTGATGTTTCATTATTTTAACTTTAACTGGCAAGAGTAGAATTTATGGACAAGCTTCAGAACAGGGGGAAAGAGGAAGAGGAGGAGGAGGAGGAAGAAGAAGAAAAAGCACAACATAAATAACAATAGTAGGCCCAGCACGGTGGCTCATGCCTGTAATCGCAGCTCTTTGGGAGGCCAAAGCAGATGGATCACCTGAGGTCAGGAGTTCGAGACCAGCCTGACCAATATGGTGAAACCCCGTCTCTACTAAAAATACAAAAATTAGCCAGGCGGGTGGTGTGCATCTGTAGTCCCAGCTACTCGAAAGGCTGAGACGGGAGAATTGCTTGAACCTGGGAGGTGGAAGTTTCAATGAGCTGAAATTGCGTCACTGTGCTCCAGCCTGGGTGACAGAGTGAGACTCCATCTAAAAAAAAAAAAATTACAATAGTAATTTATGGGCCAACAAAAAGCAGTCTTGCGCCACGGTGGCAGTCCTTAATAAATACATGTCTGAGGCTTATGAGGTTGTAATATCCTCATGTTTGTAGATGATTTCTATAGAAGTCATTGTTTTATTAAACAATTATTAAATAATTATTAAACATTGTTTTATATTAAAATTTTTAATATACAAATTAACTCTTTTTTGTAGAGACAGGGTCTTGCTATGTTGCTTAGGCTGATCTCGGGGAGATCCTCCTCGGCCTCCCAAAGTGTTGGGATTCCAGATGAGGGCACTACACCTGGCCTTAAGTCGTTGTTGTTATTATTCGTGTACGTTATGTGCATCCTATGTGCGTGTTTGGTAATGAAAGACAAAAGTCAATATTGGGACTTTTGATTCTCTTAAATGGGAGAGTGAGATGCTTTTTGTCTCCCACATTCTTCACAGCTTAGCTGGAAGCAATTTCAAAAAGACAGGAGATCGCCTTTGGGGTTGATTCTGTCTGATTTCCCCTTCTGCTCAGGAGGTTTCAAGGAAGAACTGGAGCCCAAATAGAGTTGCTTTCCTGCATCCCTTTCTTCCTGAGAGGAAGCAGGGGAAGGCTTTTTTCTTCCCATGGGAACCTCAGTGTGGAGTCTTTGCTGTTTCCAGGGGATGTGAGCAACAGGTGCACCAGGAGCCTGGGTACCAGCTCCCTGAGTGCAGCAAGCATCTCTCTTCCCTTCTCCATCTTTGCAGATGAGAATGCTGCCTGCAAGGGAAGGCCAAAGAAACCTGCCTCAATTCACTCTGCTGTCTGGATGCTCTGTAGCCTCATCCTAAATGCCTGATGTCATCCACTGTCGTAATATGGGCCTACTTGGGAATTCACCTATGGAGTTTTAAATAAGATACACATCATTTACACTCATATAGCATCTTCCCATGTTCAGAAACACTTTTATAGATATTACATATTTAGTCATTGTATCAGCTCTTTGAAGTGGCTATTACTCATTGGCATTTTATAGATAAAGAGATTGAGGGTCGGGGAGGTGGAATGTTTCTTAGGGTTGCCTTCTCATCTCACCTCTATCACCTCATTGGTGCCTCCAGGGTAATACAGCATTTGCCACAGGGCTGGAGACAGAGCTTGCTTTTTTACCCCATTGCAAATTCCAAATAGACACATCAGGTTCGGGGCAGCTTTGATGACATTTAGTGCTTAGAGCAGCTTCCACTGAGGAGCATGGACTTAGGAAAGCTGTATTCTAGGAGTCTGTTTCTGATTATTTAATGTTAGCAGGACATTTGAAGAAGCCAAAGAATTTGTATAATGATTCAGACATCAGGCAGGGTTTTCGTGTCCTAAAATCTCTAGGAGGGACGGACAAGCTCATCCCCCTCCAAACACGTCCCATGAGAATGAGATGCCCTTCATGGTGTTTCTGTACATTTCCAAAGGGCTTAAGCACCCTGTGGTTACCCCTGGCCCCACACTTGTGCTTCTGCTGAATCGGTTGATGTTGGAAATGGTCTTGACGTCCTTCTGTCATCTGTGATGTACAACAGAGCTGAGGAGCTCAGCCAACTTCCTGAATTTCCTTCAGACAAGCTATTCCCACAAGATGTGTGCCTGTGTGTGTGTGTGTGTGTCTGTGTGTGTGCACCTGTGTGTAGATTGCACTGAAGCTTTGGGAAGACGGGAGAATTTACAGATCAGTATCTGGGTCCTTTTATGGTTTGGGTTCCCATTTCCTTTTTTTGGGGGGTATCTCTCCTCTCTCCTTTTCCTTTTTTCCTCACATGCACCTTCTCCTTAAATTTTGGCCTGTTTTAAATGCATTTCAGCTTAGCTACCCCCCACCTTGTTAACTTCTCACCCATGCCCTCAAGGTCTCACCTTTCCCCCAAGCATCTCTCCAAGAATATCTTCCCTAAAAAGAGAATTCCGCCTCCCCACCCCCAGAGGAATTCTGATGCCAGCAGAGACCATGTTTTCCATCTCATTACTTCAATAAATAGTAACACAACAAACCAAAGCCCAGTCTTGAATGCACAATTGGTCTGAACATTATAGTAGTGACAACAGTGTTATTACTACCTTATAGTTACTGAAAGTCTCAGAAGGACCGAGTGCGGTGGTTTCTGTATATAATCTCAGCACTTTGAGAGGCCAAGGCAGGTGGATCACTTGAGGTCAGGAGTTTGAGACCAGCCTGGGCAACATGGTGAAACCCCATGTCTACTAAAAAAACACAAAAATTGGCTGGATATAGTGGCGAGCGCCTGTAATCCCAGGGAGGCTGAGGCAGGAGAATCACTTGAACCCAGGAGAAAGAGGTTGAGTGAGCCAAGATTGTACCATTACACTCCAGCCTGGGTGACAAGAGTGCAATTGCTTCTCAAAAAAAAAAAAAAAAAAAAAAAAGTCTTCAGAAGGCTTGTCCTATACATAAGCATGTTTTATCCACAAGTAATTCCTATTATTCTAATTTTTAGACGAAGAAACTGAAGGTCATGCAGAGCCAGAAATAGAGTGCAAGCTTCCTGACTTACCCATGGTTCTTTCTCCACCGTACCAGTGTAGATCCAAATCTCTACCAGCCCCTGCCTCTACCGTGGTTGGCTTCTGAATTTCATTGTCATACAATGAATCATACTTGAAAATTTCAGGCATTCTCTGGCCATCACAGATTTATAATTTCCACTGACCTCCCTGGGCCTAAACCTCTGCGGAACTGGCTTTTTGCATTTTGACAATCCTAAACATTTAACCAGCAGCCTGTGTTGGACTCATGGGCCCTCTGCCATTTGTTGCTTTGTGCAGTTCCAGAAACACAGGTTCATGAGGGCTCTGGCCCTACAGGAGCAGGTCAGGAAACTGCTGCAAATGTGTAACCTGATTCTTTAAAACTCAGAGTAATTTTAGCCTCAGCACTGGCTGCTTCATCTTGGATGCTACAACTGGACTGCATAAACAGTGCTTCACTACTTCTGTTTTGTTGTTGTTGTTGTTGTTTGTTTGTTTTTTTGAGATAGAGTTTCACTCTTGTCACCCAGGTTGGAGTGCAATGGTATGATCTTGGCTCACTGCCACCTCTGCCTCCTGGGTTCAAGCCATTCTCCTGCCTCAGCCTCCCAAGCACTTGGGATTACAGGCATGTGCCACCCTGCCTGGCTAATTTTTTTTTTTTTTAGTAGAGACAGGGTTTCGCCATGTTGGCCAGGCTGGTCTCGAACTCCCGACCTCTGGTGATCCACCCGCCTTGGCCTCCCAAAGTGCTGGGATTACAGGCGTGAGCCACTGCACTCAGCCTTCACTTTTCCACATAACATTTCTTCAGCCTGGAAGCTCTTCAGTGCAAGGGATCCAGGACATGTTACAGCCCCAACAAGGAAGGGGTTAATGTTGTTTTACCCCAGGATTTCATGAACAAGCTGTGAGCCAGTTTTGGGTCCCCTTTGCCATCTCTTTATGTCGTTGTCCCCACTCTCTCCCCGAAGCATGCATTATCTGGACCATTAAGGAACCCATCAGCAGAGGTGCCATGACCTCTGGCTGACCTTGACCTGCTGCTGTCCTGCCTTGCACTCCAATTACTGCGATATGTGGAGGCAACCACAGGCTCGGAGCCCCTCTAACGCTCATAGCTTTGTCAGGTCCTCACCTCCTCTCACTGGCATCGGGTGACTTCTAGATCCTGCCAGGGTTTCTCTTCTGACATGACATGTGTACTCATTCTGAAATGAAAACTACAAAGCTGCAGTTGGTCTCTCTTATTGGAAAACTGTAATTTTCCACTGCCTGGGCTGTTTTCCTTGGATGATGGGCTGCAAGAAGAAACAGTGAGAATATGACAAGATTGGTTCATTTCTTTGCTACCAGCAACATTATTTTTTCTTACTGTTCAGGCATCTAGAGTTTTGTTGACTTGATACTCCCCAGTCTCTTTGCATCTGTCTTTTAGACCTCATCTTCATCCCTAAATTGGCAGTGGCTGTGCAAAAGGTTTAATGGTTTGGGTAATACTTTGTGCTATTTTAAATAACTATTTTTTCTCTGAGCATGAATAATAAAAAAGTTATGCTTTGTATTTTAGAGGCAAAAGAAAATTAGGTACTTGTTACATAATACAATCATGACATTATATAACACATTTTTCTACTGGAAATAATGTCCCAAGCTCTGCTGTTCCCCAATTTGCTGTGATTCACGCAATGGCCGTTTGTTAAACCCATCTATTTACCAAATTCAGGGCTGTATTAGGCTGAACCTTATGGATTTGCCAATTTTATAGATTAAAAGCATTGAAATATCAGCAATTTTATAGGGTCCAACCTACACCAGCAGCACAGGGCAAAATCTAATAGGAAGTGGGAGAGGCCATCTAATCTATCCTCCTGTGTCCAGGCAGAATTTGTATTTCAGTCATGCCCAGAGGGACCTCTTAACTCACACTTTTAAACATCTGTTGTCAAAGAATTGAAATTCTGAATGCAATTCTGGGTTAGTTAAGGGATTGATGATCAATGTCAAATCAGGGAACAGGTCATTCTGGAAACTGGGCAGCAGTGGCCACAGTCGTTGTTCTTCATGATTCTGTAGGACACCTGTCATGTCGTACTGCTCTTCCTAGGGACAATCAGGGTTTTAATGAGATAGAAAGGTTCTCTATTCAGGATTTTAATGAGATAGAAAGGTTCTCTATTCAGGGTTTTAATGAGATAGAAAGGTGGTTCTCTGTTCTTGTCATCTCTCATCAGCCAAGCCTGCATTTCCAGGCTCATCGAAAACCAATGAAGACTGACTCTCGTTTGCAACCTGCCTGAGCTTGTGCCTCTCAGGTCTTGGCCCTGAACATGGTGATAGCAGCTGTTACACAGCCTGCTTTGGCTGCCTGAGCAAGAGGGGTCCTCAAAACGAAGAGAATGAATCTGCTCTATTCAAGCAATGGAATTTCCAGACAAAGCAAAGTCATGGGAATAGTCTTTGGAGTCTGGAGAGAGTTTTCTTGGCATATGTATCAGAGCCAGATGCTCAGGGTATTTGATCCTCCTCCCAGACTCCTGGCTGCGGTCTGAGCCTGGGACCTCTGTGTACTACTGCTCCTTTGGCTGGCAGCTCATGACACTGAGAGGAGTCAGTTTGAAGTATGTGTTTGCTTGAGCCAATACTTGTTCCAAGCACTGAGCTTCCTTTCCAAGAGCTGATTGTTTTGTTGCCGATAAAAGTGCAGCCAACCAGTCCTGGGTGTGTTTATGAATAGCATGTGAAGGCACAATTTTTAGACACTTTTTTTATGGTAATGAACAGAGGCATCTCCCTTCATTTACCTAGAACATGAACTGAGAACTTCTGTACCCCATGACATTATTCCAAAATGAAAGGCACAAAGTTTGGATGGGGGAGGTATGATCACAGAGATTTCTATGTAATATGTAAACCCTATTTAAATGAGATAAAAGCGTCTAATCGATAGCCCTTTATAGACTCCCATCTGTTGCAGGAAAAGGTATAGAATAATTGGTTAAATAGGAAAGATGTAAAGCTGTTGAGTCTGAGATCTGGGTTCAGCCACTTGATGTGAATGAGTTTGCACTGTCTACTCTTACAGGGCCTCAGTTGCGTCATTTGCAAAGGGGGGGTCCCTATGTCCCCTCTCAGGATCGCCTCATGGTTATAAAGCACAGTCGTGGGAACAACAATAATTTGAATAAAGGACCATGCAACCTAAAGGTGTTGAGTGTCTTTTACCCTCTAGGGTGGTTCTTATTAGACATCTCATTAGATTAGATGGCTTTGCCTGACTGGACAGAAGGCTAGGCTAGTATATGCCGCAGAAGTGAATGTTTCTTGAAATTGATGAGCAGCTTGGAGTCCCTGCCAATTTCTCACCTGGCCGTCAGGGAGCAGCTGTGGTGGAGAAGGGCTGGGAGGGGGTCTGGGGTGGCCTAGGGGTCTCCTCATGGAAGACACTCCTTCACAACCAGCCCTCGATGTCCACCCTCCTGTAGCTTGTGGTGACCGAGGGAGCTCCTTCCAAACCCAGCTTTCTGGGGTCTGATGAAAGCCTGCTCCAATCACTTTCCCGTGGCCTTTAACCTAAAAAGATTACATTTCGCGGGGGCGGTTGGAGAGCAGGCGAGGACCAGCCTGCTGTCAGAGGACAAAATCAAATTTTTATGTGATGTTGCTGCATTAAAAGGGCCAATCTCGTGTCATGTAACATGTGAATAATGGCTCTAGCATGTGATGTCAAAATTTTCCACACGCCTCATAAATAAATCCAGCCACACCCCTCCCCCCAATCACCACCCAAAGGCTATCCATTTTTGAACCTCAGCTTGCATCCCAAATTAAGAATGCGTTCAGAGTCAAGGTTAAAGGTACAGTATCCCCTTTCAAAAGGCACATGCCAGCGTCTCTGCTGAGAATGAGAAATAACATTTGAAACAGGCTGTCAATTGTCGGGACTCCTCCTCCTCTTATTCCTCTTCATTCCAAACCTAACTTTTCTGAAGGTCTGATCTTTTGGAAAAAAAAATAGATGCTGTATTAGGGCAAGACTTGATGAAATTTTTTTAAAGAAAGCCACTTGAATGAGATCTCTTGGCAGGGAGGAGAATCACACAGTCAAATAGTCCAGTGATCTTCAAGAATGAAGGAACTAGATACAGCACAGCTACAATTAGTATGAACCGCGTAGTCAAGCAAAGTGCTTTTTATTGCAAGGAGCATATTTTCGTTGGAGATATGTTGGCTTGCATCAAGGTACCAGGCACAGATGCTGACATTGAAGCCTGGAAATGATGATGTTTGCCAAGGAGATGCTTCCTTTTCATTGTCTCACGTGACCAACACAGGTGGCTTTCAGAAATAAGAATCCAAGCCATCCTTAGGTATCACTCTCTTTCTTTGAATCTCAAAGATTGGTCAACAGTCAATGTACAGAGAAATTTTTTTCCTACAAAATTCAGCTTGGTTGAAAGCTTTCTTGCTGAAGCAAAGCCACATCTTATTCCCCCTGAAGGAAAGAATGCCTTTTTTGTTTGTTTGTTTTTCCATTGTACAGAGGGACAGAAGGAAGAAATAGGAAGGCACAGGAGGGCTGAGAACCAAGGCAAAGAACAAGAGGGAAATTTGGCTTAATTTTCATATAAGCTGAAGTCCCCCTGTCTGCTGTCTGCATCCCTCCCTTCTCTCCCCGTCTCCCAAACAAAGGCAGCATCTTTCTCAGATAATGCCGCTTGTGTCAGAAGCGAACATTCTGGGAATGTGCAGGGTGACCTGCTCTCTGTAACAAACGTCAACCCCAAACCATACAGAAGTTGCTACATCTGTTTTGGCTTTGTTCACAGCAGAGAGGGGAGGGGGGGGGTGCACTGTATGGTCAAGGGCCAAACTACATGTCATATTTCATTACCTTCATTAGCTACTACAGAAGGCTGCCTTCAAAGAAAAAGGTTGGTATTAACCCTTGAGCCGCCAGCCTTTTCGAACAACCGTTTTCACCTTCACCCACCACTTGCCATTCTCCATTCGTTCATGCTGTGGGCTCTGATTTAACTAAACTGTAAATCAGCCCTTAGGTCCACAATTTCACCCTTTTAACTTAAAGGAGGCAAGCTACTGTTTTATCCTAGGTAGCTACTTACAGGACGGCTGAACATCTGGAACCTATTAGGACAAATGCGAGCGTAAACCCAATGGGGAAAGTGTATTTAGAATTAATAAAACTTTCCTCTCTTATTTTGTCCACAGTTGTCTTTTTCTCTTCCATCTCACATTATTTCTGTGATTTAGTATTGCCAGCTCCTTTCTTGGTTGCTGCAGTGAGATAAGATCATGTGTATTGCTGCCTAGATATTTTTGTGGCACTTCTTTTGGCGTGCTTTATTGTGGTGACATTGGACTCACATGGTCGCCGCCCCTGGAAATGAGTTCATTCCCCCGTATTCATGTTGCATTTCTTAAGGCATGCTTTACAATGGCGGAAATAAAAGTGGGTGAATACATAAAATAGATCTTTATACTGTATGACTATAAAAATGCTCAGTTTTCATGCTGCGTATTAAATGCATCATGATTCTATTTTAAATCATCTGTGGGCAGCATATGTTGTTATTTAATCTTATGAAGAATGGCTAGTTGGCCAGCACAGGTCAGAACACACCTGGATGGTAGAATTAGGAGTCTGGAATTTTGATTCTTCATTCTGGCTCTGCCATTGATTTATCACCAGGCATTAGACAAAGTTCTTGCTCTTAATTTTCCCATCTGTAAACTACGAATCATTATACTACTATGAAGGCTCTGTAAGCTTGAATGGCTTCATACTTTGAAAGGCCTGGAGAAGACAATACTTGAGAATACTATGCCATTTAGCATACTATAACACTCATTTATTTTCATTAATACATATTTGAAAGTTCTAAACCAGTGGTTTGCAAGTGCGGTTCCCAGACCTGCAACATTAGCGTTATCCGGGAATTTGTTAGAAATGCAAATTCTAGGCTGGGTGCGGTGGCTCACGCCTGTAATCCCAGCACTTTGGGAGGCCGAGGTGGACGGAACACGAGGTCAGGAGATCGAGACCATCCTGGCCAACATGGTGAAACCCCATCTCTATTAAAATACAAAAAATTAGCTGGGCATGGTGGTGTGCGCCTGTAGTCCTGGCTACTCAGGAGGCTGAGGCAGGGGAATCACTTGAACCTGGGAGACGGAGGTCGCAGTGAGCCAAGATGGCGCCGCTGCACTCCGGCCTGGCAACAGAGCAAGACTCCATCTCAAAAAAAATTAAAAAATGAAAAATAAATAAATAAGTAAATGCAAATTCTGGGCCCGGGTCAGGCTTACTGAATCAGAAATTGATGGTGGAGTAATTCCGATGCACACTACCGTTTGAGAACTACTGATCTATACATTTGGCGTCAAGCTTGGGACTCTGCCAGTCAAAAGAGAAGTTGGGGCTGGGCACGGTGGCTCATGCCTGTAATCCCAGCACTTTGGGTGGCTGAGGCAGGAGGATTGCTTGAGTCCAGGCATTTGAGACCAGCCTGGGCAACACAGCAAGATCCTGTCTCTACAAAAAATAGAAAAATTAGCCAGGTGTGGTGGTGCAAACCTGTAGTCCCAGCTACTTGGGAGGCTGAGGAGGGAGGATCACTTGAGTCCAGGTATTTGAGGTTACAGTGAGCTGTGATTGTGCCGCTGCACTCCAGCCTGGGCAACAGAATGAGACCCTGTCTCTAAAATACAACAAAAAACCTGAGGTTGGAGTGGAAGGTAAGCACAACAAGAATTGTACCTGAAACTGGTGACCTCAGGAAGCCGCTCTACTCTGGTGAGGAATGTGTGGGCACGTTCCAGTTCTGACTGGTGGAAGATGCCAAGGCAAACTTGAGTTTCTCATTTTCCAGGGAACTTTGTAATTTCTGCTGAGCAACTTTGGTGCACAAAACTCAACAGCCCATGGCTCAGTGTCCATCTAATGATGGTTAGGATGCAGCTTCACATGCCAACAAAATAAAATTTCCATGAAGATTGGCAACCATCACCAGAATAAGGCCACCAGCCTTGCATTTGGAACTCAAGTGTACTCAAGGGCAAAGTGATGCCACAGAAAGCACCTAGAACATCTCTGGAGTTGGGACAATAAAAGGAAGAAAGTTACTTTGCAGATTATACCCTTTGAGGTGGAAAGAGAGGAGAAATGGCAGAAAATAATGTTTAAAGTTGAAATTGCTTAGCTCTCAGTGGCTGAGTCATAAGCATCCACCTTTTCACATTTTACAAGAGTTTTTATAAAAAACAAGCACAGAACAGATACCCACTTTTGTAAACCAGTAGCAATGTGTAAATTGCAGATGCAAGAATATATGTTGTAAGTTGGTTTTTAATAGACAACTGTATCTAGTGCCACTTTTTCTCTATAATGACGGTTTCCAAAAATGAAAAAAAAAAAAAGACACTCCCTTTTTATCCCCTTTTGATGTTTCAGATCCCTGTAAGATCCAGGATACATTCTGAATTTGAGAGAAGTGCCAACAATTAGGACAATTTTTTTGTTACTATTTTTAACCTCAGAACAGCCAACCCAATTCTCCCTCCTCTAAATTTGTCCCTAAGTTTGGTCCTACAATGAGACCTTTTGCATGGCAAGTTTCAGCCTGGAGCAAATTTTTATGGCTGAATTATAAACCCTTGAAAATAGGGGTTTATAATGGAAACGCTGACACAACCTTAACTCCAGCGGCGAGAGTGCAATGCGATAATAAATGAGGCAGAACGGCAAAGTGCTGCTTTGAATTTATCATTTAGTAGGAGAAAAAGGCCTTGTTTACTTCTCCTTTTTCATCTTCTTCTCTGCTTCCAGGACTTGGAACCATTATTTTGAAATGTATTTTATAATAAAACCTCAGTGGTTATGTAGCCCGGGGCTTGAGTGTCCATTTTAGAAAGAGAGAGAGAGAAATTTTTGAAGCCCAAGAAGCACATTCTGTTGACTGGATACGGTTTGACTGTACAATTGCTGCCTGGCAACGTATTTATTACATATCTGCCCCTCTGCTGTGATCTAAAAGCACCCCACACATAGGATCTGATTTTGACATATCTGTAATACTAGCGGTAAAAATAATAATAATATTTGCAATTCCTTCTAGCACTTTTATTCCAGACATCAGTGTGTTTTGAACCTACAGATTACAGCCTTTGAAATCAGTTATGTCATGAAGTTTAATATCTTTTCCCAGCCGGGCACGGTGGCTCACGCCTGTAATCCCAGCAGTTTGGGAAGCTGAGGTGGGCGGATCATGAGGTCAGGAAATAGAGACCATCCTGGCTAACATGGTGAAACCCCGTCTCTACTAAAAATGCAAAAAATTAGCCGGGTGTGCTGACATGCACCTGTAGTCCCAGCTACTCTGGAGGCTGAGGCAGGAGAATCGCTTGAACCTGGGAGGCGTTGGTTATAGTGAGTTGATATCACACCACTGCACCGCAGCCTGGGTGACAGAGTGAGACTCCATCTCAAAAAAAATAAATAATAAAAAAATCCATATCTATCCATATATAAAATACCTATATGATAGATATCTATCATATAGATATCATATATATCTACAAGATATCTGTATATGTTGTCTATTTATAAGATATATATGATATATATAAGATATCTATATATAGATACATAAACACACTGATGTCTGGAATAAAAGTGCTAGAAGGAATTGCAAATATTATTGTTATTTTTACCGCTACTATTATAGACATGCCAAAATCAGATCCCATGTGTGGCTCACACCTGTAATCCCAGCACTTTGGGAGGCCAAGGTGGGCGGATCTCCTGCCTCAGCCTCCCGAGTAGCTGGGACTACAGGCACGTGCCGGCACACCCAGCTAATTTTTTGCATTTTTAGTAGAGATGGGGTTTCACCACGTTAGCCAGGATGGTCTCTATTTCCTGACCTCATGATCTATATATAGATATATCTATATATAGATATATATATATTTTCCTATTCCCCTACATTCCCATTTTGTAGATAGAGAAACTGAGGTGATTTATGATTTGTGTGATTTCTTTCAATTCAGTTGTTACTAGTTGTCTGCGTGCTAAGCACTGGGCTGGGGATACTAAAAAGCATAACCTCTGCTCTCCCAGAACTTACGACCTAATGGGCAGAGCAGACATACAACACACAAGAGTAATGATGTGAGGCATGATAACAAGAGAAGTCTGTTGTGAAGTCACTTTGTATAATAATTTGGGTATTCACCTACCCCCAACCCTGACACGATCACTTCTATTTCTTCTGAGGAGTCCAAGGACACGAAGTCTCTTATATAAACCTGTGCTGGGTGTTTTGCCCTCTCTACTATTCTCTCCAAGCCCAGGGGATGACCTTTATCCACTGAATGCTACCTTCCTTTGCCATTTAGTTTCTACTTTGGTTTGTCCAATAAGAGTGCTCAGCAGAAGAATGGAAGGCAGGAGGAGAGTGAGGTCGTGGTATTTTACTCTGGTTCTTCCCTACCTGGCTCAGAATTGGTTGTCTTTCTCTACTGAAGCCTACAGCTCCTGTGTGCCACCTTCTCCTACAGCTACTGTTCTTGCCAGGTTCTGGTGGCACCTTCAGATCTAGCGGTGGTGAGGGCACCATGTTGTTTTTTAGCTCCCAGAGTGCTCCACTGTTCCTTCTGGGTTTCCTTAAACTCAGCTTGCACCTCTGCAAACAGTCCCTTTGTTAAACTCTCTTCAGCTACCCCAGTGGAATGCGTGTGAATTGCTTCCTGCTGGGCCCTGACCGATACAAAAACTGGACAGAATGATGTGCATTCCCCTACATTCTCTCTCTCTCTCTCTCTCTCTTTCACACACACACACACACACACACACACACACACACACACTTTAAGAAAACAGTGACAGTGTTTAGGCAGAAAATTTATAGAGTAGGCCTATCCAGTGTTGGGATTTGTGGTGAGTACATTATGAAGTCACTTCTTATGATTCCTATGCCAGATAGTGCATCCATCATTCAAGGCGGCAAGCCCCTGAAATTACATCAGATTTACCACATAATAAACTTTCATTAAGATGAAGCTACATGAAACTTATTTCCCTTCATTCCTAGGACTAAACAAATGCTGTTTGAATACCTAATGAATCCAGGTCTCACCCAAATTGTTAATGGTGGCATGAGGATTTTAGAGAGGATGCAACCAGGAGCCACAGAACATGCCAGGCCATGGAACATCCTGGACAGCTGAACAGTACTTATATTGTTGCCATCAGTTTTCTTCAGTCATCCAAAATGGGACGCATGGGGCCGCTTGCTGAGGTTGATCCGTGCTTGCACCCACCATACAGATTCCTGAGTGCATTTTAATCACAGTGTGTCTGGTGCTTTATTGAAGGGTTTACACTGTCTGGTTGCTTTTCCCTCCTCTGATATTGCACTGGATAAATCAGTGATGATCATTTGTTAGCATTCCAGAGAGGAAACACCCCAATGATAGGATGGAAATGCTTTGCCAAAAAGCATCTCCTAAGAAGATGTAACTCAGAAACATGGCAGCTTGAACACATGAGTTTCTTTACCCTCTCCCAAAGCCTTACTAAAATGACAGTTAAAGTATGAAAAAGCATACAATCTTGAGGACAAAAAGCATAGAAAAGGAAATTATGGCACAAAAGAAATGTCACTAAAATTCTAGAAGCTGGACTGATGGTAACTGATTTAGTGGATGACAGAAAGATGAAACCACATGCCTGAAAAAGACAACACCAAGAATTGAGCCAGTCTGAGGTGCTGGAACATGAAAACCTCAGCTATTGGAGGCTCTGGCTGCCTCTGTGGGTATGGGTACGGGAAGAGCTAGGAATAGGACAACTGGCTGGAAGTTGCATAAAAGACAGTCGATCCTCTGGACTCTCTCACCCTGTTCTTCTAAGCAAAGACCTCTTTCCCTAAATTCATCAGAAGCCTGGAGCTTTGGAGAGGCTGAACAGGCTCTGACTTGGGGTATCAGGCACCCATGGAATAGGGATGTTATTCCATGCACATGGGAATGAAATGAGGTTGGCATCTGAAATATTGAGACCTCTTTGGCCCCCCCTGCCACTTGGTTAGGAGGATATTGTTGTCCAGGCTTATCACCTCCAGGCTGGAATTGAGAGGATTCCTCCTTCTAAGGAAATTCACCAGCCCAAGATAAAAGATGTACAGATACTGTCAGCTGAGATCCCGAAGAAACAACCAGGTCCCTTCCTGAACACAGAGACCACCAACACAACACAGAGCTTCCAACAGTTTTTTTTTATGTGTCTCATTTTATAATATGAATCAATAGAAAATGCTTATCCAGACATTTGAGGGAAACTTTATGACAATTACAGGGGGAAGAAAAGAGAAAAATGAACTCAGAGGAAACAGAAGCAGTGCAGAAAGTAGAAGAAAACATATAAACAAAATTAAAGTATTCAGAGACACAAAGGAAGAGGCCACATCCATGAAATAAGAGTAGGATGCTGTTAAAAAAAAAAATCATTCTGGCTGGGCACGGTGGCTCACACCTGTAATCCCAGCACTTTGGGAGGCCAAGGCAGGTGGATCATCTGAGGTCGGGAGTTCGAGACCAGCCTGACCAATATGGAGAAAGCCCGTCTCTACTAAAAAACACAAAATTAGCCAAGTGTGGTGGTGCATGCCTGTAATCCCACCTACTCAGAAGGTTGAGGTGGGAGAATCGCTTGAACCTGGGAGGTGGAGGTTGTGGTGAGCCAAGATCGCACCATTGCACTCCAGCCTGGGAAACAAGAGTGAAACTCCATCTCAAAAAAAAAAATCATTCAAGATTAGAAATGGTTACAAAGTACCCAGGCAACAAATGAATATGGCAGAAATTTCATATAAACAAGGATTAAACATTTCAGAGAGGAGAGAAGACCTAATATGAATAACATCAGCTTTCCCAATAGAAGCTCTGGAAATGAGAAGATAATAAATGTTGAGTAAAAATTATTTCCAGTGTAGAACTTAATGCCCAGCCAAAGTGTTGCTTAAGCATGAGGGTAGGATTTACCCTGCACCCACCACCCCACCTTTATACCGATAAAGATGGAAACCTAAAAAAAGAACTCATGAGTATTCAGGGAATAGGTGATTGAACACCAGAAGGAGGCAAATGGAATTCTCAGGATGATGGTGAAGAGACATCTCAGAGTGACTGCAGGGCAGAAGCCTTTTTAGAAACCCAATCTAATTTACAGCAATAAGACTAGAGCTCTAGATATCTCTGAGAAACAAAAAATGACTAGGATATATAAGATAGATTGTCTGATGTATTTAAATTTATTCACAGAAAATTCATTTATGTGGAAGAATTTGGGGATAAATTTTTGGTAGATACATAGAAAACAGAGCAGACAGAAAAGCAAGGATGTTACTAACTCTTGGAAAAACAAAAAGTTGGTACAAAAGAACTGTAGTTATAATAAACCACATGGCTTATTTGTGAATAATGTTTATTAATACAATTATAATGTATACAGCAAATAGTATTGTAACTAAAAACTGTTACATAACTATATAATGAGAATGTTATGTGTGTTCATGTGCACACATGATGTACTTACAAATTGTAAGAGATTTGAATCCTCGTTTTCCATAGTTTGAAATCAAACAATATTTTAAGAGAAAATCAGGAAACATTAGTAAACACAGATTAGTTAGAAACATGGAGGCAAATACCAGAAGAAACAACTAAAAGAGCTGAAAGTGGTTTCCTCTGGGAAGCAGGAATTAGGTGTGGGAAGAACGTGAAGCATGGGACCACTATTCCTCATTAGAGGACTTATGGAACTGCTTGGCTTTTTCAGACTATATGTGTGTGTGTGTGTGTGTGTATATATATATATATATATATTTTTTTTTTTATTTTGTTAAAAATAGTTTTTTAAAAATTTTTTTAATTTTTGAGACATAGTCTTACTCTTTCACCAGGCTGGAGTGCAGTGGAGCAATCTTGGCTCACTGCAACCTCTGCCTCCTGGGTTCAAGCAATTTTCCTGCCTCAGCCTCCCGAGTAGCTGGGGCTACAGGCACGTGCCACCACCCCCAGCTAATTTTTGTATTTTTAGTAGAGATGGGGTTTCACCATGTTGGCCAGGATTGTCTCGATCTCTTGACCTCATGATCTGCCTGCTTTGGCCTCCCAAAGTGCTGGGATTACAGACGTGAGCCACTGCGCCCAGCCAAAAAATAAATTTTAAAACAATTTTGGAAGACAGCATCTGTCTTTCTTTTTTCTTTTTTGGTCATGGTTAAGGAAGAGACCCATGATCATCATGTATTGCTATTGCTTTCTAGGTGTCAGGCACTAGATATGTTAAGCATGTTAAGCACATCTAGTAGGTGAAGCACTTGATATGTATTTTATCGTTTAATCCTTTCTACCATCCTGAGATGTTATCTCTTTTATTCCCCTTTTATAGATGATGGAATTGAAGTTCAGAGAGGTTAAGTAATTTACTCAAGTCACATAGCTTTGTATGATTCCACAGCCCAAATGCTTACCTGTCTCCTTTTTTTTTCTTTTTTTTGCCTGCCATCTCTCCAAAACAGCCAGGCATCTTCCTGTGATTTGCTGCCCTCACCATTTTCTCAGTGAGGCTGTGCTCATGCAGGCATCCCATCTAGAGAACATCCTTTCTTGCTTTCCCTTCTGTCTCCTTTCCTTGTTTTCTAAAGACACCCAGGGTTTGACAGGTTCCTGTTCTTAGGAACAGCATCAACCTGGTATGGATGCTACCAGCTGAAACAGGTAGAGTCCAGGGTGAGGTGAAACTCAGTGCTGAGGACAACTCTATGTAATTTCCTACTTCTTACTAGCTGTATGACCTTGAGCAGGGCATCTGACTTTAGTTTTCTCATCTGGAAAATGGGATGATAGTAGTAACTATCTCATCAGATTGTTGCAAAGATTAAATGAGTTAATCCATATAAAGTCCTTACCACTGTGACTGGTACATAGTGTTAGCTGTGGTTATAATTTGCAATCAGTACTGATTTACAGTTGACTAACAATGGACAGAAAATATATGAATCTGAATGAATCAATCATCAATTTCCTAGAATAAAATGGGAAACTTTCCCACATGCTATAGGTCACAACTTTCCCTCTGGGGTTTTTCCAGGTTAAAAAAGCAACAACGAATTTTGACTGTTGTCCACCTTAAACTCCCATTCTTTCCTGGGTGTCATCCTTAGATGGGGTTCTCCAGAAAGAGAAAGAGCATGAGGTGGAGACTTGTGTAAAGGAGGTTTTGGGGACATACACTGGGGAACAACATGACTAAGGGAGGGAAGGAAATGGGATTGGACACAGGAAAGAGTTCAACAGTGGCGTAGTTGCAGCAGAGGCCTCAGCAGATCCCATACGGAGTTCTGAGGCTGGGTTGGCCATACAGATTTGTCTCTAACTGGGGAATGAGGGTTGGGCCTTTATAAGCACATTAACTAGTCATTGGTTGCAGGTTGTGCCTGGGGTGGCTCATCTTGGCCCGGTACTCAGCTCTGAGCCATCAAAGCCAACTCTCCGGGCAGCTGGAGAATAAGTGCCTTAGACATGAAGCTGGGAGTGGGCTGCTCACCATGGCCTCCATTTCAGTGCCCCCCTCTCTCTCTGGCAACTAGCACTTCCATATTGCCCCAGCATCTGAAGTTGGGGAAAATAGAGAATCCCATAGAATTATGTATCCTGAAGTTTTCACCTATTGAGTTAGTTGGAATAGATTAGGTTGTGCTGTGGTAACAAATTAACTCCCAATTTGCAGAAGCTTAACACAACAGTTTATTCCTAAGAAACAGTGCATATTTCACTCAGCTCAGTGTTGGATAAGGGTCTGCTCCATGTAGTGATTCAGGGACCCAGTCTTTCAGGTCTGTCATCTTGCAGCATACAACCTGGAACCCAGGATTTCCTTTATTGCAGACAAGGGCAGAACCAGAGGGTCATGCGCCAACTTTTAATGCTTCTACTCAGCAGTTAAGCTTGTCACTCCTGCTCAGAGCCCACTTTTCAGACCTATTCGTTTGGCCTCGTCTAACCACAAGGGGAGCCACAGATAATCAGTGGGCAGCCCATGCTTCTACTACACTTCACTCAAGGATATTCATGTTCTCTAAGGGGAAGGATGGCAGATGAATAACTGCCACCAGAAAAGAGCTAGGCTTGAAGCGTCCTTCAAGTCCTCCTCTAAATTAGGGACCTTAAATAGCTGCTCATGAGTAGGCTTCCAGGGATAATGGGCCCTTTAACATTGCATGTAAAATTTTGCATGTGTTATACATATTTCTGGGGTAGAAAGTCTGTAACTTTTGACAGATTCTCCAAAGCGTTCTGTGACCTAAAACAAGTTAGAGGTCTCTGCCTTGTAGGTCACTACCTAATGTATCAGCACTTGGATTCACCTACCCAACAAAACAGAGGCTCAAGCTTTATCTCTCCATAGGTCTCAAGATTTACATTTGTCATTTGGACACAGGAGCTCCGTGTACGGTTAACTTTGTACAGAGCCAGCTGAGCATCTAAAGCACCATTCCTGACCAAAGAGAGTCTTTCTGTAGAGATCAGAACTCTGCACTGGGCAATGGAGACCCTGCCTGGGCTTTAGTCTGAACTTTTCTCAACTTCCAGGGTAGCCTTCCTTGTTTATTTTATTTTATTTTATTTTTGAGATGGAGTCTCGCTCTTTCGCCCTGGCTGGAGTGCAGTGGCACGATCTCAGCTCACTGCAACCTCCACCTCCTGGGTTCAAGCGATTCTCCTGCCTCAACCTCCTGAGTAGCTGGGATTACAGATGCACACCACCACACTCAGCTAATTTTTGTATTTTTAGTAGAGACGGGGTTTCACTATGTTGGTCAGGCTGGTCTCAAACTCCTGACCTCGTGATTCGCCCACCTTGGCCTCCCAAAATGCTGGAATTACAGGCATGCGCCACCACGCCCGACCTCTTGTTTATTAAATAGAGGATCAAGTTAAAGATGGTTTCTTCCAGCTCTAAGTTCCTATGACTCTGGCTATAATCTATACTGAAAGTCAGCACAATTCTTCTGTAAAGGACCCAGTAGTAAATATTTTTAACTTTGGAGGCCACACAGTCTGTGTTGTAATGACTCAATTCTGCCACTGTAGTGTGAGACAGCCATAGATGTTATGCAAATGATGAGTGTGGCTGTGTTCTAACAAAACGTGACTTACAAATACAAGCAGTGGGCCATAGTTTGCCAAACCATGATCTACACCAGTGGTTCCCAAAGTGTGATGCAGGAGTAGCAGCAACGTGACCTGGGAACTTGTTAAAAACACAAATGATCAGGCTCTAGCCTTATAATCGAGCTGCTTAATCACAATCTTTGGGGGTAGAGCCTTACAAAGGCCTTCAGGTAAAATTCTGATGAATGTTGAAGTTTGAGAATCATGGATCTCACGGAAAAAAGCATCGTGATTCCAGATTTATACAGCTACGTTGCTTGCTCTCTTGCTCAGGTAATGAGGCAGGGAGTGTTAAACAAAGTAACTAGGTTTAACACTCCGACTTCCTTGAGAGCTCCCAAATTATATTAATTTCCTCATCTTCCCAAGCAAATGGTCCCTTTCTCTTTTGTTCATCATAATCACTGCTAAAGCTTTTAATATAGAAGAAGCAAAAGCTGTAGCTTTTACATGCAAGTCTTCTTCATTATTGTTATTGAGTAACTGATATTACCTTTCATGTGTACCCAGGGACTTCTCTGTAAATAGCAAATAGGTATCTAAAAAAGCAGCCTTTGAATAGTAATAGCACTTGGCAGTTATGTTGCACTTTCATGGCAGGCACTCTGCACATATATCCACTCTTAAAATATGAAGTTATTCACAAATGGAAAGAAATTAACAGAGAATGATGAGTCTGCATCAGAATTCAACTGCAATGAGGCCAGGCACAGTGGCTCGTGCCTGTAATCCCAGCTCTTTGGGAGGCCCAGGTGGGCAGGTCACTTAAGGCCAGGAGTTTGAGACCAGCCTGGCTAACATGGCGAAACCTCGTCTCTATTAAAAATACAAAAATTAGCTGGGCGTGGTGGCGCATGCCTGTAATCCAGCTCCTTGGGAGGCAGAGGCACAAGAAATGCTTGAACCCAGGCGTCAGAGGTTGCAGTGAGCCGTGATCATGCCACTGTACTCCAGCCTGGGTGGCAGAGTGAGACTCTGTCTTAAAAAAAAAAAAAGTTCAGGCACGGTGGCTCATGCCTATAAACTCAACACTTTGGGAGGCCGAGGTGGGTGGATTACCTGAGTTCAGGAGTTCGAGACCAGCCTGGCCAGCATGGCAAAACCCCATCTCTACTAAAAATACAAAAATTAGCCAGGCGTGGTGGCATATGCCTGTAGCCCCAGCTACTCAGGAGGCTGAGGCACAAGAATCACTTGAACCCAGGAGGCGGAGGTTGCAGTGAGCCAAGATCGCACCACTGCACCTGCACCCCAGCTTGGGGGATAGAGCAAGACTCTGCCTCAAAAAAAAAAAAAAAAAAAAAAAAAAAAAAAAAAAAAAAAAAAAAAAATTCAAATGCAGTGAGTTTTGCTGGTTTACAGGAAGGAGTCCCTGGTGGCAGAAGCTATCTCAGTCATGACTTCATAGTCTGCGCTAGGTGAAGAGAGAAAAAAAAGTCTTAGAAAGGCTTGGGATCCAGTGCTTTGGGAGGCCAAGGCGGGTGGGTCATGAGGTCAGGAGATCAAAACCATCCTGGCCAACATGGTGAAACCCCATCTGTACTAAAAAGACAAAAATTAGCTGGGTGTTGCTGGTGCATGACTGTAATCCCAGTTACTCGGGAGGCTGAGGCAGGAGAGTTGCTAAATCCTGGGAGTTGGAGGTTGCATTGAGCCGAGATTGCGCTATTGCCCTCCAACCTGACGACAGAACGAGACTCTTTCTCAAAAAAAGGAAAGGCTTGGGATTACTGTTTCATCAAAGGTATCTTTGTTGTTGTACAACGGGAGCATAACGCATTTCTGCTTTCACTGTTGACTGGTGCTTCTCTGCCTTGGAGTTTCATTTGTGGAATGATTCGTGGTCCTAGTAGATTAGGACCTTATCTATCTTTGTGGGTCTTAAATGTTTCACCTTGCCCATGGCAGACACGGCAGGGTAAATGAGAGAATGAATAAATGAGCAATGTGTGGGATTTTAGGACCCGGGAGAGGCAACCTCATTCTTTGGATTTTCTTCTCGATGATTCCATACTAGAATGAAACACCACCACCTCCTCCTCCTCTTTCTTCATCATTGTCATTGTTGTCTTTTTCTCAGATGAATTCTTTTCATCACTAACTTAAAAATTAATTTCTGGGCAATTACTATAACTGAATAGTGTTTCATTCCAACATAGCATTATTGTATTTACTGATTTTACTGTGGTGGTCTTTGAATGTATGAATTTGAGCTCAGTCGATAAAGAAAAAAAATCACCCCCAGAATTCCCAAGATATACTTTGGCACATGTTGGGAGGCTCGGGAATGCTATAGCCATATGCTGGTTTCTGTGTTCCAAATGCAAGACACGGGTTCTGTGTGCCACTCTGGAGCCATCTGGTGGGGCTTCCATCTGGACCACCCACCCCCACCCTAGGGCGGAGCTGGGGACACTCAGGCTTATTCTAGAGCAGATGAATCCTAGGTGTTCAGAGAAAACAGTTTTAGCTTTTCTCATTTTCTACTCACTTGTGCATTTTCCATTTAGAAACTTAACGATTAATATTCCACAGAAGAACAATTCCTACTTTCAACTTCCCAGATGCTCCCTAATATGAAGTGATCTTGACTTTTCTTCGGCTCAGGCACAGACTGTTAGTCATTGTTTTTGGATTGATATGATTTCTGGTGTTATTTGGAGCCAGCAATCCTGCATTGCCGTCTTACCATTGTATTTTCATCAGAAGAAACTGTAAGCTCTTGGAAGGCAACAGCAAGGCGCTTCAGACCTTTCTAAATCCTTTAGAATTTAGCGCTGTGCAGAGGCACATGCAGGGGAAATGACTGTCATTTTGAATAGATAATAAGCAAATGCACCAGTGGTAGGTCTCACCTATTAGGATTTTTCCTAAGTCTGACTTTGGAAAATAGTTAGAACCCAGCTTAAAACAGCAGCTTAATACATATTGCTGCTACCACTGAGGGAATTATTGTGATTTTAAACTTGTATTTGAAGAACATGTTATTTTGCAAAATATTTTCACCATCCATTCAATACAACTTTTGTAGACAAGGTAAGGTAATTAACAGAGAAATTGAAATCTCACAGAGCAATTTTCTAACTTGTCACTTGGTGATCAAATGAATAAATGCCCAAATGGTAAGTGACATCAAAATAGATTTAGGACTAGATTTCATTTTGAGTTGAAGTCCAATGCTTTTTTTTTTTTTTTTTTTTTTTTTTAACACTCCTTCAACAGTAAAGGTAGTGGTTTATGTGGTGTCTCTTAGATGAGAGTTGTTGCATAAGAATTATTGGTATAGCCATTTCTCTTCCTCAGCATGGGTCATTTTCAACATCTGCTCTATTTCATGGGAGTGAGCTTTTAAAAAATATTTATTTTGTTTGATATTATTTTTTTCATTTTCATTTTTTACATTTTTATTTCTGGAGACAGGGTCTCACTCTGTCATCCAGGCTGGAATGCAAGGGCATGAACATGGCTCAGTGTAGCCAGAGTGAGTTTCTGGGAAGTCAGCTTAACATCCAGGAATTGACTTTGCTATTTTGTGACATTCCATCTTTCTCAATCCCTTCCAGATACTCCCTTTAGCTACAGAGAAAAAAAAAGTCCCAGTTCTGATTCTTGCAGTTGTTGGCAACCTGAGGCAGTAACCTGCCTGAGCCTCACTTTCCTTACATGCAAAATGGAGATAACATGTCACCCAGACATAGCAAGTGTGAGGATTAGATGAGGTACTGGATGTTAAGTGCTTAGCACCATAACTGGCACAGAGTAAGTACTCATTGGGTATCAGCCATTGTTATCATTGATACAGTTGGAAAGATGCACGGAGAAAAAAAGATTTGGGGACAGTGTCATGTATGTAGTAGAAATGAAATAAATAAATGTTTTCTTAATTCTGTTAAATTAGATTTAACTAAGCTTTTTTTTTTTTTTTTTTTTTTTTGAGACAGAGTCTCACTCTGTCGCCCAGGCTGGAGCGCAGTGGCGTGATTTTGATCTTGGCTCACTGCAACCTCTGCCTCCCAAGTTCAAGTGCTTCTCCTGCCTCAGCCTCCTGAGTAGCTGAGACTACAGGCACGCGCCACCACACCTGGCTAATTTTTTATATTTTTAGTAGAGACGGGGTTTCACCATATTAGCTGGGCTGGTCTTGAACTCCTGACCTCATGATCCTCCTGCCTTGGCCTCCTAAAGTGCTGGGATTACAGGCATGAGCCACCGTGCCCAGCCTTTAACTCACCTTTCTAAAGGAGGCTCATTGATCCAGGGAGTGGCGGAGGACAGGGATCCTTGCCCTGCACATATGAGAAAGGGAAATTGTGGCAGGACCACAGCAATTAGGATCGATGTGTTAGATGGTGTGTGTTCCTTCTTACAAAGCGTGGTGATGCTAGCTTGTGAAATAGGGGAATGCAATACCTCCTCTACGTTCATGGGAGAAGATGAAGAGTAATCCTAGCTCCGGATGTTGCCTTCCTTCCAGGAGGAGGAGATTGGCCCAATTCAGGTACACAATGTGCATGGATGTAAATCTGATAATATTGTTCCTTAAAAAAAATAAAGCAAGCAGGCCGTACTGATTGCTTATATGGACAGCTGGCACACCTTAAGAAGTGCGAACGGTTCAGGCGGGAATGTAATAAGGCCTAGGAAAGTGGCAGCATGAAAGGGATGACCTTTATTTGCAATCATGGCTGAGATTTACAGTTTATTACTGATAGCTTTTATAAAGAGCCATTCAGTTCAGAGGTGAGAGGTTTGTCATCTGGAAACGCAATTAACTTTACCTTATCCCAATCCCCCTGGTCTTAGTGTGAGAGCCGCATTCGAGCACTTCAGCAATATTATGATTTCCCCTCTAATTTCATTTCTGTCTATTGCATCCCCAGGTCCCTGGCATTAACGCGGTTGCATATTTTTACTATTATTATTTTCTATTATTGCTACTCCCTGTCGTCGATAGCCAGAAGGCACTTGTGTATGTTTTTTTAAAGATCTAAATTATTTGATTTCTGAAAGAGGAAACCTTAAAGCATAAAGCCTTTTTTAAACCACAGCAGTTAGAGTAGCGCATAGAACTGGGGCATGTCGTCTTAGCTGTCTGAAATTAATTACGGAAATGGAGAGGTTGTGGGAAGGTGGAGTTGTTGTTTTACATAAAGACGGGACCCTAACAATTTAAGCTCTCCTAGCCCTGCACACTTCAGTCATAGACATGCTGTGCAAAGAAAGTCGCCTTCTCCCCATGCCTGCTCAGACCCAGGAGGACGTGGAGGAAGCACAACGCGATTTGCAACATGAAAAAATGAAAGCGATTTTGGCATCCCTGCTGTGTGTGTATGAGAAGTCCCGAAAGGTCTATTTTTGTTTCACAGGTTCAGTTTTATGACCCTCTCTTGTCTGTTAAGTCAGGTCTGCAGGAGTTTAAGAGCCAGACACAAAAGCAAGAATTTAGTACCTTTTGCCAGTTGGTTTAGGTTATTTGAAATATAGCCTAGTATATTTTCCACACTAGGCTGCTGCCAGATAGATCAGAAAAAGGAAGTGGCTCCAAGAGTCTACATCCTCAGATTTTTCAACCTCTCCAGAATTGAGGGAGAGGAGCAGGGTTCTACTGGGGGCCCCATCACTTAATGGCACATTGTCTGAGACTCTGGCAAACCCTCCTCTGCCTCCAGAAAGCCCCTACACCTGCCTTATTAAAAAATGGAGCAGCCTTTTACAAATTTCTAAGGCTCTATCTGAAAACTATTTCCTCTGGGGTAAGGTAGAGCCGAATAATTACTACCCCTGCGTTTTTCATCTGGATTTTATTGTGGCTATTATTTTCATCAGTGTTAGAGGTTAATATCCCTATTTTTCCCCTCCACTGCCTAAATATAACTGGGGCTCAGCACACGGCCAAACCAGGTAGTGAAGGAAATAGCATTGCCTCCAAAAGAGGTTTGGATTAGTCCGTCTGAAATGAGGGTTTGGGGCCCTAGGGTAAGAATTATCGTGCTGCAGCTGATAGAGGATAGATTTAAACCCATAGTATTTCTTTTCTCAGCTGAGGGAGGTGGGGTTAAAAGATTCAGAAGGTGAATAGAGCATGAAACGATGCGCTTATATAACTATATTGGTGCTACAATAGGATGGCCTCACTAAGAATAAAAGCATCTAAGAGCCATTTTTAATAGGAAGAAGGAAAAGCGGAGACCTCTCAGTCATACCTTCTTAAAGAACTCTTTGCAGTCGAAGCAGGGTTGAAGGTGCTTACCTTGAGGGACTGTGCTAAACCTGAGAAGGATATTCTCAACGGCGCTTTCCCATAGGAGTACCTTGAAAATTTACTTTTGGAAATCTCATGTTTTGAATCTTGTTTGTCCCTTAAGCTGTGTCTATACTTGAAAAATGGAATGAGAAGAGGCGGGGATGGAAGCAGGGTACTATTTCCATGGCTGCTAGCAGAGTCCAAGAGATGATATCTGGGGTTAGACCAGGGTCCTGGATTGGAGATAGGGAGACGTAAAAGGATGTAAGATGAATTTTGAAGGTAGAGTGTTCAGGACATACTTCCAGATTAAATGTGATTAGGAGCAATTCATGCAAGGTTCAGGTCTCGAAATAAGTCCTGTGAACAACTTCCTGGAGCAAATGCATTCATTTACATGCTCACTCACAGTTCCAAATACTAGAGTTGAAAAACCACTCCCATTAAGAAAACCACCGTTGTCTGACTGATAAACCGAGGTTGTACTCAGTTACCATCGGTGGCTTAGTGATGTTGCCCAGCTGTTCCTTGTGCAATGGATGCCTCAAGCTGTAGAAGGTAATGGTGCATAACTATTTGCCTTACAAATGGCACCATCTTTGGGGGGTGCATAGACAAGCATATTTGTTACTTAGGATTAGCATCATCAGTGGATACAGTGGTATAAAGATTGAGTCTGGAGGTAAGTCAGGTGCTTACAAGTAGGAAGAACAGAGCATATGGGTATTTGTTTGGATACCTCTGGGACACCCAACTCTGGGGTCCTGGTGTGTCATGGGTATGGTTGTTCTAAAGCCAGCATGGACTGTGAAGGCAGCAATGGTGGTCATGAAAGGGATGAGCTCAAATCCCCTTTCTCTCAGCCTTCATTCATTCACCAACTACCTAATGAGCTTATACAAGCACCATGCTAGGCCATGGGGATTCTACAGTGAATAGTAAAATAGACAATGTCCACCCTTACCCATTACAAAAATGAATTTGGAGAGTTTTTGGACCAAGGAGTCATGAGTAAATAATTAAAGTGAGATTAATAAAAGCTTAGTATCTTTTTAACTTTTTTTTTTTAGAGACAGTATATTGCTCTGTCAGCTAGGCTAGAGTGCAGTGGCACAATCATAGTTTACTGCAAACCCTGGGCTCAAACAGTCCTCCTGCCTAAGCTCCCGAGTAGCTGGGACTACAAGCACATGTCACCGTGCCTGGCTAATTTTTTATGTTTTTGTAGAAAGAGGGTCTCATTATGTTGCCCAGGTTAGTCTGGAGCTCCTGGCCTCAAGAGATCCTCTTAATTTAGCCTCCCAAATTGCTGGGTTTACAGGCATGAGCCACTGCATCTGGCCTCTTTTCAACTTTTTAGAAGTGTTGTACCAGGGAATGTTGGAGTCCCCTGGTACTGAGCTCTAAACCTTCTCTCCTTTCTTTACATTTGCCCCCTAGGTGTTTTCATCAACACCCATGGCTTTATTTACAACTTCACATAACTAACACTGAAATTATGTGAAATGTCACGTGGTTCACTTCTGCACTGTGCCCAAATGCTTGCTCACATATCTCTACCTGAGACAGGCCTTCCCGGATGGCCCTCTCTCTGTCCCTTTCCTTGCATTCGGGCTTTCCACGGACACATTATTATGTAGATACTTGTTAATTGTTTCTCTCATCCACTGGAATGGAAGCCTCAGGTGGACAGATCCTTATTCACTGCTTATCCCCAGAGACAGGACCAGGGCCTGGCTCATACTGGGAGCTCAGTAAGTGTGTGTTGGATGCATAAAGGTGAGGACCATCTGTTCTCCATCTCCACTGATACAAACAGTTTGATGATAATGGAAAATGTAGCACAAGGGATGGGGAGAACTACTGCCTGGTGGTGAGGTCTGAGGACCATAAAGAAAGGGAGACTGTGGGACACAGCTGCCTGGGGTGGCACCCTCCTCTAGAACTTTCTGTGATGGTGGAAATGTGCCATATCTGTGCCGTGCAACACGGTAGCCACTAGCCACTGTGGCCATTGAGCATTTGAGATGTAGCTAGTGAAACCCAGGAACCAAATTTTAAACTTGATTTGATTTTTGTTTGTCTTATTTCCATTTATTTACTGATTAATTTCATTAACTTTGAGTAGCCCCATGTGGCTAACAGCCCCTGCACTGATCAGCCTGGGTCTAAGGACCCAAAATCCTCTACCTAGGATAGCATGACACAGCCAAGTCCTGGAGCTGAGACCAAAAACAAATGCTTCTGAGTTTAGAAATAAATGCTCTGAGATCTCTGCAGGTAGTGGCAGTGTGGGAAATGAGTCATGTCTTTCAAGATGCCTGGAGATTCTCCCAAAGCAAGAATTTTCTAAGAACAGTGTCTGATATGCGGTAGTAATTATGCATATGTATTTAGTGACAGCCAGATTAGATAGCTCAGAAACACACACCCCCCATATGAAGTTATTATAGAATCAAATGGCCAGGTGAAGAATACCATTGAGAGACAGGAGCTGCAGGCCGAGGATGAGATGCAGTTGTGCTAAATACACAGTTCCTTACTCAGGCAGGGATTCAAACAGCCAAGATCCAAGTGAGAAGGAGACTAGCTAACTGCAGAACGGACATATCTGAAAGACACCTACGGCAGAAAGTAGATGACCACCCAAACGAGGTATGCACAGTGATATGGTTTGGCTGTGTCCCCACCTAAATCTCATCTTGAATTCTCACATGTTGTGGGAGCTACCTGGTGGGAGGTAACTGAATCATGGGGGCAGGCCTTTCCCATGCTGTTCGCGTGATGGCAAGTAAGTCTTACAAGATCTGATGGTTTTATGAGGGGGAGTTTATCTGCACAAGCTCTCTCTTTGCCTGCTGCCATCCACGTAAGATGTGACTTGCTCCGCCTTGCCTTCCACCATGATGTGAGGTCTCCCCGGCCATGTGGAACTGTGAGTCCAATAAACCTCTTCCTTTTGTAAATTGCCCAGTCTCAGGTATGTCTGTATCAGCAGTGTGAAAACAGACTAGTACACACAGCAATTCCAATTCCATTTTCAAAGGAAAGGTCTGTGGCGAGGGGGTGGAGGTGGAGAACTGGATGGTTCTGCCTCACCCAAGAAGATTCTAACCACATCTGGAAAGTTAGCTGTGGCTCACATCCCCACAGTTTAAGAGGGAAATAAAATGTAGAAGAAAGAAAAGAAAGGCCACAAAAATGATATGAAGGTTGGGAGAACAAACTTGAGTGGACTGACTGAAGAAGTAATTTATATCCTCCCAGAAGAAAGGCCTCTGTGGGGGAGGTGACCACAGTCTATAAATACTTTCAGGGTAACCATATCAATGAGAGAAAAGGATTAGTCACCATCTTCCGGGATGGCAGGGACCAGGAGCCATGGCCTAAAGTGAAGCGAGAAAAAATATTGTAGCCATTAGTAAAAAAAAAAAAAAAAATTCTTTAAGGCAATAAGGACTGGACAGTGAGCAGAGTTCTCTAGGGAAGGAAGCCAAGTCCTGTCACTACATTCAGAAGTGATTGAGTGAGATAGTAATGGAAATGAAAGGAACATCAGACTAGGTACTCTTATGTCCTGTGAAATAATTGGTCTGATAGAGCCAGAATCTGCCTTTGGCTGTGGCGCATGTGTGCAGCAGCCTCAGAGGAAGGTAAGACCTCAGCATGGTATTTCTCCAGACCTGTCAAAGCAGGCCAATGAGGAAAATTCCTTACTGACCATTGCTTTACATAGGCACTGAGTTTAGAAGTTTCATGTGGTATGACCTCATTTGTCCATGCCCTCCTCATCTGCATGCTTGTTTTTTCTGACCAGCTCTGCTGTGGGAGTTAGGCTGAGTCAGGGACCAGGGTGCCAGCTGTTGGGGCGCCATCACCAGGATCTCCTGCTTAAGGGGAAGATGATCCTGTAGTACCACTTGGAAACTTCCAGGATTCATCCTGGCCCTACTGAATCCACATAGACAAAGCAGGGCTGTGGTAACATTGGTAGGGATCATCAAAATGCTTGAATTCACCCCTTGCCTGTTTTCTAAGGACTTTCTGAATTGATCATCTCCTGCATTTTCCCGTCATCACCCCAGTCTCTAGCATCCTTGACCTTTGTGTTCCAAGGAGCTTTAGAGCTCATCTTGTATTTTTCACAGTGAGAAAACCAAAGCCCAGAGATGTGAAGTGACTTGCTCAAGATCTCACAGCTAGTTAGGAGCTAGACCAGACTCCTGAATCCCAGTCCTTTACCTTCTTCATGACAATGTCTTACCTTGCAAGGGGAGAAAAGTGATCCATCCATCCGTCTAACACATAATGGTATTTATTGTGCTCTATAGAAATGACCTCTATATGGCTTTGTGTTAAACTCAGCAGCTATGTTGGAGAACAAGTTGAAATATGCGTCAGATACAGATTGTAGCTTCAAGCATGATCATCTTCAAAGCAGAATGTTCCTACTTTGAGGGGTGCAGAAGACAATTCATTGGAGATGTCGTAAGAAAATGTTAGGGCTTCTATTTACACTTATTTGGCCTCATCCTTGGAAAATGTCTACTATCTTGTTCCAGATAGCAATGCTATTTTCTTGTTTATTTTGGTTGATCATCTCAATATCTTACTTTTTATGACTCTTATGCTTGAGAGTGATATTATTATCTAAATGTTTTGTTTGACATTGATATTAACACATAACTGACCATCCTAGAAATGTGGTGTTTTCATTTCTGTGGTGGTTGTAACAAATTACCATAAGCATAGTGGTTTAAGGCAATACAAGTTTATGATTTTATATAGTTCTGGACTTTAGAAGTTCAAAATGGGTCTTCGTGGGTGAAAATTGTTTCTTTCTGGAGGCTCTGTGGGAGAATCTGTGTCTTCTCTTTTTCCACCTTCTGTGACTGTCCCCATTCTTTGGCTCATGGTTCCCTTCAACTTTCAAAGCCAGCAATGGCTGGCAGAGTATTTCTAACATTACATCACTCTGACTCTGATTCTTAAGTCACCCTACTCCACTTTATGGGCCTTTGTGATTACACTGGACCAATTGCAATCATCCAGAATAATCTCGCTATCATCAGGTCATCTGATTAGCAAGCTCAATTCCTTCTGCCACCTTAATTCTCCTTTGCCATGTAACGTAACACATTCATAGATTTCAGGGATTAGGGTGTGGATACCTTTAGGGGACCATTATTCTGCCGACCATGGATGGTAGTCAGTCATCACATCTGAGTGCACTATGATAATAAACAATGTAATATCACTACTTTCTTTATTCACACACCTAAGCCATCTTTTCCTTTGGAGCTGTAGCTGTGCAGTGGGGAGAGAGTTCTGTTTATCACTGGAGCCAAATAAATGGTTCAATAATGGGCAATTCAAAGGGATAGGGATTATGGGTAATAACCCTAGGATTCTTCCATGTCCTGAACCCTGGGTACATTTGTAGGATAACTGGGTTGTTGATATGTCAACAAATCTCCGGCAAAAAATGTGTTTCCTTTTAAATATCTTTCAGCTTCAATAAAGAAGTAGTTTCAGTGGTTAAAAAGGTAGAAATTCCCATTTTACATTTTAAGTCACTTTTTAGCTGTAATAGGTTTTTGGATTGTCATTGATTTTCTGTATTTGTAGAAAACCAAATAACTGCCTAATCTGGAATTCCTGCATATAAATATAGATGCTCATTCCTATTAAAATTTGTATAAGAATGGTAGCATGGTACTATTAATTCTGCAAGCATTTGATGAATTTGTGTAATATACTGTACATTACAAACTAACACAACACTATTATGAAATGTCATTATGACATTTTCCAGGTCATATTTTCAATCAATCTGAAAGAGCTCGTTAGGGGCCTAGCAGCTTGCAAGGGTTTGCTAGGTGGCTTACAGATTTACTTAAATCCTCATGAAGTTTATGATCTAAGTCAGAGGGGGCACCATATGTGACAGTAGAAAGTACTTCTAGTTCTGATTCTGTTTTAACTAGCTGTGTAAAGTTGGGAAAGTTTCTTGCTGTCTATGGGTCTTAGATTCCCAGTCTACCAAGTGGAAATGTTAGCCAAGAACCTTGTCCAAGGTCAGGGTCAGGCTTGCCAGATTCAGCAAGTAAAAATACAGGATGCCCAGTTTAGTTCGAATTTCAGATAAACAATGAATCATTTTTTAAGTACATGCCCCAAATATGGCATGGGGCATATTTGTACCAAAAATGATTCATTGTTTATCTGAACTTCAAACTTAACTAGGCATCCCATATTTGTGTTTGGCGAGATAAAGTAGGTTTCTGGTATGTGGGTTCACTCTTCCTTTCCCTCAGCTGGAATAGTCAGTTTCCTAGCTTGTATGAGTACAGCTTTCAGTTTCTCTCAGTGCAATGCTGTAGGTCGCCACTACTCATCACTTATAGTTGGCATGGATGATAAAATCCAGGCTCAGTAAATATCTGTGGAATGAAAGAGTAGTTGGTATCCCTAATTTAATCTGTTATCTCAAATCTATTTCTAAAGTTTGATGATTCTATAACATTTACATAGTGTAAACAGAAATAAAGACAGACAACAGGAATGTATTAATACAGACAAGAACAAGGTTATGGGCAATCTGTAGAGAGATTGATTTGAATGTTTATCTCAGGAAGGATTAAGGTGACACTCAACACCTCTCTTTTCCTATTGAGAGGTAATAGCTTAAAACAGAATATAGGATTTCAGGTCTAGCTTAGATTTTAAGAGTAATACATTGTAGAACTATCATAGGGGTTGGGCTCAGTAAATACTGATTAATAATATAAAAGTAACATTGAGTAATAACATAAAAGTTCAATTTTTTAAGTGTTCTGGTACTTTCCATTGGTGCCTCCATGTCTGCTCCCATCCTTTCTTCACCCTCCTTTGTGCCCAGAGGCCGACCAGAGTAGGCCATGTTAGTGGGTCTCCTTGCTTTCTGGTTTCCAGCTGGATTTGACAAATGGGAGAAAAGTCCCATCAAGGGATTGAACTTTATAATCTAAGACAGAGGGAACACAGTCTTTGGATCAAGACTGGATTAGAGAGTGATAGGAGGGAAAGGTTGGGGTGTTTATTCCACAGTAAGTGGCCAAGGGTTGGTAGCATCACTTTGACCGAAGGCCCTGAATCCTTTCTGGTACCCTTCTCATGTGGCTACTCTTCTAAGGTTGTAGGAATTACCCGTGTGCCATGCCTCTTCAGATCTAGGGATGTAAAAGCTCCCTACGTTTGCTAGCATTAAGGTGCTTCACCCTGTCTTGTTTCCTTAAACTCTGCCTCACCTTTGCAATTAGTCCCTTTGTTGCAATCTCAAATCATTTTGAGAGTGCCATCTGCTTCCTGCTGGGGCTCTGACTGGTACAAATGGGTACTACTATCAGCTGATTACGTAAGACTACAGGTCTCACAGAGGTTAAGTCTCCCATCGCAGATCACATAGCTCATAAATGGCAGAACTGAGACCCAGTACCTCTAGGTGAATTTGAAAGAAACAAGAGAGAAAAGAATGGACACAGGAAGATCCACAAGAATCTGGTCGTGGTCTTGGAACTATGTAATATATTTCTCTTAATTGCCCTGGAAAATATTACAAGAAAACAAACCTACATCACCATCTATTATATATCTTGTTTTCTATTTTGGGAAGGTCAGAAAAAGAATTCTTCTTTTGTGTTTATTCTTTCTTAGCTCAAGAAAACTGAGAAATAAACAGTAAGGATAATCTCCAAATCTTATAATTCTCATGTAGTACTCTCTACTTTACAACATGATGCTTCTGGTACCTGCGGTCCTCATCACTTTTCCTCAAATCCAAATAATTTTACCTTATAAAGAGAAGATTCTTCTGCTGAGCATGAATGTATTCTTGATAAAGCATTATTATGGACAAGGAGAGTGATATATTAGGTTGGTGCAAAGGTAATTGCAGTTTCTGCCATTAAAAGTAGTGGCAAAGGCTGGGCGCAGTGGCTCACACCTGCGATCCCAGCACTTTGGGAGGTGGAAGTGGGCAGATCACTTGAGGTCAGGAGTTCGAAACCATCCTGGCCAACATGGTGAAACCCCATCTCTACTAAAAATACAAAAAATGAGCCAGGCGTGGTGATGGGCACCTGTAATCCCAGCTACTCAGGAGGCTGAGGCAGGAGAATTGCTTGCATCCGGGAGGTGGAGGTTGCACTGAGCTGAGATCGCGCCAGTGCACTCCAGCCTGGGCAACAGAGTAAGACTCCATCTCGGAAAAAAAAAAAAAAAAAAGTAATGGCAAAACCCACAATTACCTTTGCACCAATCTAATACTTAACACCATAAATGTCCTCTGAGATAATGATTTTGAATGGCTTGGAATTAAGTCACTTTTCTCAGATCAGATCATTTTCCATGAGCTTCCTTTAGTGCCAGCTAACCTGGGCACAGTGAGTGGCGACAACTCCTGGGGACCCATGTCACTTCTGGTCTGCGGTCCTGTCCTGAGTGATAGGTGCTTTAAACAGCTGGACTGACTGTTATGTTTCCACTCACCTTCTTATGCATTTCTCGCTTAGTCCAACATCCCGCATCATTCTTTCTCCACCAAAGCTAGCTCCAGAGCTTCAGCTCTTCTTGAATTTTGTCGTTTTCTAAGTTTCTTCTTTATTCCCATTGATACTTGCTAGGATAGGATGCATTGGTGGCCCCAGATGCACAAGTGATATTGGCAAAGCAGAAATGGGCTATGGATGTCAAAGAGATGCTGCTGTCCCTTATTCTTGGATGGAGAAGTTTGATGATACCCAGAAAGATCCAGTATGTCCTAAAAGACCCAAGAGAGATGTATAGGCAGTCACCCTGGCGATATACCTGGGCCATTTATTTCGCAGAAGAAACAAGAGATTTTAAGTTAAAATATCTTAAAATTGTGATACAAGGAGTCAACAGGCCTTTGAGGACAGGTAGGGGTTACATTACCTAAGAAAAGTTGCTGCTGCATGGTTTTATTTTAGCTAATTTTATAAAACTGGATTTTATGCACGCTGTCACTATGAGGGACTAAAGTGACATTGGAACAGAATGCTTTTTCCGTAACGGATTTTACTGGGGGCAAGGGGTGGGATTGGGAGAACTCTTTTCTTCAATGCCATATGATGCATCTGTGTGAAAAAATTCTGCTCCAGGGACTAGATAGGTCAGGAGTTTTAATTTTTCTTTTCTCCCCAATTCCCAAAACCTGAAACTGTATTGAAATGAACTGAGAGTAAGCCTCAGGCTTTATTCTACTCACTATCCATAGAACTCAGTCACAGTAGCCAGTCTCACGTAAGCCTCCTGGCCAGTGGTGTGGCCAAGGGTTGAGGCAGAAACACATGAACCAGGTTTCAGAACATACATCTCCATCCGGAAAAATAGAGCACCTTTACTTGGCATTGAAACTTCTTTCACAGTTGTATCCAAACTAAGCCCATTATTTTTTGTGGAACTCAAATTAGACCTGCTATTTTCTGTTCTGTGTGGAGCAAAGAATTTGGGCAGTGTTTTCCCAAGTTAGTTTGGACTGATAACTGGCCTTGAACCAAAAATGAGCTGAATGACTCTGGTCACTACTGAAATGAATATGTAACTGACTCAAGTCCCAGGTGTCCTTTCCTGATGTTTGATTTAAAGTCTAAATGGAGGCATTGGGCCCAAGAGCCATGAACAGTTGATCCACAGCCTTAACTAGCCTCACAATTCTTTCTATTCTATCTTGTGTAAATCAAGTACATAAGCAGGATATTCTCTTCACAGGTAGTTAGATCAGTGTATAAGATCAGATTTACTGCATGCTTCACAAAGTTCATATTTCCCCCATATACACACATTTTTAAAAAGGTAAAGATATTTTAGTAACTCAAAATGTTTCCCATTCAAACAAGACAGATTAGCACTGCAAAAACAACCACCACCCATTTGCTCTAGAGAATCTGTCTTTTTTTTTCTAACCCTTAGGTAGTGACTTCGGTTGCTTGGGTAACCCATGAGACAGATCAATCAATGTGAATGAGTTTTGTTTTTTAAAGCATCATCCTGGAAGCAGGAGGGCAAGGCTAGGATTTAAGGGAAATGAAGGTGGCCTTTTAGCAACTTTGAGAAGGAAACGAAAGGCAGACATTTCGGGGAAGAGGAAAGAGGAAGAAATAAAGTTGGGGTAATACCCTAGAGAAAAATGGGGATGGGAAAAGAGTCTTCAGATCAAACTGTGTATCCTGATCCAGGCGTTGAGATAATCCTGAACTGGTGAGGCATTGACTTCTAGAGGACACAAAACAGAAGATTTAAAATCTGGCTGCCTGTCAAATCCAAGACGCATAGGTATCAGAGGGCTAAGAGCTGGAGATGGAGATGAATTTAGGGAGAAGCAGGGTGGCTTAGGCTCATAAACTTTGGGACCTCAAGTCACTGGTTTGTGTCTACGTGGCAGTATTACAAAGGCTGTCTACTGTTTTTGCTTTTAGAAAATTTCCCACCTGTTCTTTCTTTGGTTGTTCCTTTTCTATACCTTCATTTTGGCCAAGCATCCTATATGGCTGGACTACGAACATAGAGAGCTCTCCTTCCTTCTCATCTTGAGCCAGGGATCATTCCCTTTTGTATTGGCTGTTTTCCTTGGAAGCGTGAAGCATGAGCTTTAATCAGTTTACAGAGCCGCTGACCTAATTTTACATCTGCAATAAGATCACTATGAATTCTCTGCTTCCCTATGGAGGATAAAGCTCTGCCTTCCCCCTCCCCTCTGCAGTCTTTCTTTGTGATGGACGTTAGAGAGCCTGGCAGGTTCTGTTCCACACTGCATCTCTCCAAGAGCAAATTTATTTATATATTAATTTTATATAAAAAAGATTTCTCATAGGGAGCCAGAGATTGAATCACAGGCAGAAACCTGATTTGAGGTTGAAGGCAGGATGGCAGCAAGCAATGTCAAAGAGCAAAAGCGTTGGGGGCAAGAAGTGAGCAGGGATTGGAAATTTGCTTCCAAAGAGCTCTGTACCTCTCTCCCTCTGGTGTCTGACACACTGGCACAGCTTGCGTATTAGTTTTCTATGCCTGTGTAACAAATGATCACAGATGTAGTGACTTAAAACAATACCCATTTATGATCTCACAGTTTCTGTAGGTCAGGAGTCTGGGGCCCTGCTGAGCTAGGTTCTCTGCTTAGAGTCTCACAAGGTTGAGATCAAGGTGTTGGTTGGGCTGTGTTCTTATTTGGAGGATCTACTAGGGAAGGATTCACTTCCAAGTATGGTCCTCCCACCCCCTGCCCCTGGTTGTTCACAGAATTCATTTCCTTTTGGTCGCAGAATTAATGGCAGCTTGCCTCTTCGAAGCCAGCAAGGGAGAGGGAGAATCTTTGCTGCTTAGTCTCTGACCCCAGGACCCTCTTTTAAAGGACTTCCCTGATTAGGTCAGGCCCACCTATGATAATCTCTTTTGATTAAAGCCACCTGCTGAGAGATTTTAATTATATCTACAAAATCTTGTCACCATTGCTATATTCTGTTAATAAGAAGCAAGTAACAGGTTCCACACCCATTCAAAAGGAGGGAGTTATATGAGAGTGTGACTCATTGAGTGTCACCTATGGGTGTGTCCTCCATACCTCATCAATGCTCCAAGATGCCCAGGGTCCCCAAAAATGTCACCGTTAACTCCACCCTATTATTTTAAGCTATTAAATGTGGTGAAAGGAACAGGAAAAGAAGTGTCTTTCAGAATAGCTTACATTTCCTTCCTGCTTGGCAGAATCATTTGTGAGTTCACATAAATGGGTTCATGCAGATAATAACCAAGAAATGGGAAGACATTAATTAGAATTGATTTACAATTACACACCTCACTCAAGCCCATTAGTTACATTCTGTTTTTCAAAATTGCTTTCATTTTGTGAGTGTGCCAGACTTTTAAAGATTTGGTAAGACTTGATGTCAGCCTTCTCCAAGGCCTTTAATACATGATAGGTCAGTTGCCAAGAGGGATAATTTTTTTTTGTAATTAGGAAATAACATTTTAAACACTGTATCCTGTACACTGAAGACTCCTAGTTTGTTTTCGTAACATCTTAATTTTCACAGACTTAATGTATGAGAACTTGAGACAAGGTAAAGAGATTAAGCAATATTTTATTACAATACATTAGTGGGGAAATATTTAGGGGAAGGAATCCCACTTCCTTTTTAAAAAAAATTTTATTAATATTTTAAGTTCTAGGGTACATGTGCAGGATGTGCAGGTTTGTTACTTAGGTAAACATGTGCCATTATGATTTGCTGCACCTATCAACCCATCACCTAGGTATTAAGCCCAGCATGTATTAGCTATTTTTCCTGATGTTCTCCCTCTCTCTGCTCCACTCCATCAGGCCCCAATCTGTGTCATTCCCCTCCCTGTGTCTATGTGTTCACACTGTTCAGCTCCCACTTATAAGTGAGAACATGTGGTATTTGGTTTTCTGTTCCCATGTTAGTTTGCTGAGGATAATGGCTTCTTGCTCCATCCATGTCCCTGCAAAGGACATGATCTCATTCCTTTTTATGGCTGCATAGTATTCCATGGTATATATGTACTACATTTTCTTTATCCAGTCTGTCATTCATGGGTATTTGGGTTGATTCCATGTCTTTGCTATTGTGAGTAGTGCGCAATGAGCATACTTGTGCATGTATCTTTATAATAGAATAATTTATATTACTTTGGTTATATTCCCAGTAATGGGATTGCTGGGTCAAAGGGTATTTCTGGTTTTAGATCTTTAAGGAATCGCCACACTGTCTTCCACAATGGTTGAACTAATTTACATTTCCACTAACAGTGTAAAAGCATTCCTCCACAGCCTCTTCAGCATCTGTTGTTTCTTGACTTTTTAATAATCGCCATTCTGACTGGCATGAGATGGTATCTCATTGCGGTTTTGATTTGCATTTCTCTAATGATCAATGATGTTGAGCTTTCTTTCATATGTTTGTTGGCCACATAAATATCTTCTTTGGAGAAGCATCTGTTCATGTCCTTTGCCTACTTTTTAATGGTGTTGTTTTTTTTTTTCTTGTAAATTTGTTTAAGTTCTTTATAGATTCTGGATATTAGACCTTTGTCAGATGGATACATTGCAAAAATTTTCTCCCATTCTGTAGGTTGTCTGTTTGCTCTGATGATAGTTTCTTTTTCTGTCAGAAGCTCTTCAGTTTAATTAGGTCCCATTTGTCAAGTTTGGTTTTTGTTGCAATTGCTTTTGACATCTTTGTCGTGAAATTTTTACCCGTGCCTATGTCCTGAATGGTATTCCCTAGATTTTTTTCTAGCGTTTTTATGGTTTAGGGCTTTACATTTAAGTCTTTAATCCATCTTGAGTTAATTTTTGTACAAGGCATAAGGAGGGGGTCCAGTTTCAATTTTCTGCATATGGCTACCAGTTATCCCAGCACCATTTATTACATAGGGAGTCCTTTTCCCATTTCTTGTTTTTGTCAGGTTTGTTGAAGATCAGATGGTTGCAGATGTGCAGTCTTATTTCTGAGTTCTTTATTCTGTTCCATTGGTCTATGTGTCTGTTTTTGTACTGGTATTATGCTGTTTTGATTACTATAGCCTTGTAGTATAGTTTGAAGTCAGGTAGCATGACACCTCCAGCTTTGTTGTTTTTGCTTAAGATTGTCTTGGCTATATGGGCTCTTTTTGGTTCCATATGAATTTTAAAGTAGTTTTATCTAATTCTCTGAAGAATGTCAATTGGAGTTTAATGGGAATAGCATTGAATGTATAAATTACTTTGGGCAGTATGGTATGGTCATTTTCACAATATTGATTCTTCCTATCCATGAGCATGGAATGTTTTTCCATCTGTCCTCTCTTACTTCCTTGAGCAGTTGTTTGTAGTTCTCCTTGAAGAGGTCCTTCACTTCCCCTGTTAGCTGTATTCCTATGTATTTTATTTTTTTTTGTAGCAATTATGAATGGGAGTTCATTCATGATTTGACTCTCTGCTTGTCTGTTGTTGATGTATAGGAATGCTTATGATTTTTGCACATTGATTTTGTATCCTGAGGCTTTGCCGAAGTTGCTTATCAGCTTAAGAAGCTTTTGGGCTGAGATGATGAGGTTTTCTAGATAAAGAATCATGTCATCTGCAAACATGGACAATTTGACCTCCTCTCTTCCTCTTTTAATACCCTTTTTTTTTTTTTTCTTTTTCTTGCCTGATTGCCCTGGCCAGAGCTTCCAAATACTATGTTGAATAGGGGTGGTGAAAGAGGGCATCCTTGTCTTGTGGCAGTTTTCAAGGGGAATGCTTCCAGCTTTTGCCCATTTAGTATGATATTGGCTATGGATTTGTCATAAATGGCTCTTATTATTTTGAGGTACATTCCTCAAATGTACCTTTCTTTATTGAGAGTTTTAACATGAAGGGATGTTGAATTTTATGAAGGCCTTTTCTGCATCTATTGAGAAAATCATGTGTTTTTTGTCTTTAGTTCTGTTTATGTAATGAATTACATTTATTGATTTGCATATCTTGAACCAGCCTTGCATCCCGGCAATCAAGCCAACTTGATTATAGTGGATAAGCTTTTTGATGTGCTGCTAGATTTGGTCTTTCAGTATTTTGTTGAGGATTTTTACATTGATGTTCATATTGGTCTGAAGTTTTCTTTTTTTGTCAGGTTTTGGTATCAGGATGATGCTGCCAGGTTTTGGTATCAGGATGATGCTGCCAGCTTTTGGTATCAGGATGATGCTGGCCTCATAAAATGATTTAGGGAGGATTCCCTCTTTTTCTATTGTTTGGAATAGTTTCAGAAGGAATGGTACCAGCTCCTTTTTGTACCTCTGGTAAAATTCAGCTGTAAATCCGTCTGGTCCTCGGCATTTTTTGATTGGTAGGCGATTTATTACTGCCTCAATTTCAGAACTCGTTATTGATCTACTCAGGGATTCAATTTCTTTCTGGTTCAGTCTTGGGAAAGCTTATGTGTCCAGGAATTTATCCATTTCTTCTAGAATTTGTAGTTTATTTCCATAGAGGTGTTTATAGTATTCTCTGATGGTATTTCTGTGGAGTAAGTAGTGACATCCTCTTTATCATTTTTTATTGTATCTACTTGATTCTTCTTTCTTTTCTTCTTTATTCATCTAGCCAGTTGTCTGTTTTATTAATTTTTTTTTAAAAAAAAACAGCTCCTGGATTCATTGATGTTTTGAAGAGTTTTTAGTGTCTCTATCTCCTTTAGTTCCCCTCTGATCTTGGTTATTTCTTGTCTTCTGATAGCTCTGGGAATCCCACTTTCTACTTTTTTTTTTTTTCCTGTAAGACCAAGACAATCCCAAATATCAGTTAGCTCTGGTAAGCAAAATTCTGCCTTTGGAAAATGGACTCGTTCTCCCTTTGATATTCTTCCTTCATTCACAAAACTCAAAGGGCATAGCTTATAGAATTGGGCCCATAATACTGGAAACCAAAGTATCCTCCAGTTTAAGGGTTTATGAGAATCAAGGATCCCATTTCAGAAATAAAGCCTCAGGGGAAGGAATTTAGAAGACTTGAATGAGTAGGGAGTCCTTAAAGAGTTTATCTCACCTAAAATAGTTTCTATTTCTGCCTCCTCTTTTTAACTTTTCTTTCCCCATACTTCTCTGTAATTCCTAAAGCCAGGTTTCAGGGATAGCTCTCTGTCTTTCCTATTTAACAAGAATTTTTAGCAGGGTGTATGGGCTTCCCAGTGTACATTTCTCAGCTTCCCTTGCAGCTAGGTATGGTCATGTGACTAAAATCTGGCCAATAAAATGTGAATAGAAGTGATATGTGCAACTTCCAGGTCATGTCCTTAAAGGAGAGGGACAGGTCCCTCCTTTGCTTTATTCCCTTCCCACTGGCAGAATGTGATGGTGCAGGTAGAAGAGGGATCACCCACTTTGGCTCATGTGATGGGAGTCACGTGTTAAAGACGGCAAAGCATCAAGAGAGAAGGATCTTAATTGCCAATAAAAATATGCGGCCACTACACCTACCCTAGACTTTCATGTAAGAGAGAAATAGACTTCTGTCTTGTTTAAGTCAGTATTAGTTTTAGTATCTTGGTTAAATCATCCTCACCTATGTCATAACAAATATACCAGCTTAACAAGTATGAATCACCAATGGCATCAGGGGAAAGCACAGTGGTTAACAGTGAGGCTTTGGTATCAGGTAGACCTGGATTAACTTGTAATGCCCATGCACCACCCACATCTATGGCTGAGCCTCAGTTTTGTCTTTTGTAAAATGGGGATAATAGTATCTGCCTTACAGCATACTGTATAAAACCAAGAGGTGAAGATCCAATGATATACAAAATAGATATGGTCTGCATTCCTATAGAACTCAAAGTGCGAGGGGGAGATACAAAACTAAGCAAATGCATAAATAATTCCAAATTGTAGGTAGTGCTATGGACAAGCAAAGGAGAATAAGAGCAGAGGACTCCCTACAGCAGTGAAGTCCAGTGAGAAGGAAGCAACCCTGAATAATGCATCCCTGTGACCCTGTTAGATCCGCCTGTGTATTCAGACCAGGCCACTTATCCTTCCCCTAGCTCTTAGCAAAGCTGTAATTAAAATACTTGAATTTTGGGTGGGCTATCCCCAACAACCAGATGGTATGCCCCACGAAGGCCGTGTCCATGTGTGTCTTGCTTGTTGCTGTACTTATGAGCCACCCTGTTATCAGCTGAGTAAAGAATGACTAAACAATTAAAGCCTGGGTTGCACATCTCCTAACAGAGTTTAGTTGTATTATCTTCAAAGAAGACTGAATTTGAGCTAGGTTAGAAAACTGTTATCTCTGAGAACTCTGTGGTGAAGTTGCTTTATATCATTAATATTGACTACTGAATTCTTAGCACTAAGCACAATGCCTCACTTAGAGTCGGTATTTAATATCTGTTGAATGAATGAATGAATGAATGAATGAATTTCTAGTAACATTTCAGTTCCCACCATTAGAAATCTCAACACAATGAACTTTGTAACAACCAGGGCTGTGCAAAGGTGGAATGGGCCCCTTTGGGAAGAATTGAGCTCCTTATTTCAGAGGCATTTGAGAGAATTGTTCAGGATTTTGGGCAGGACATCATGTTCTGAACAACGGGTCATGTCTTGCAAATGTCTGCCAATCCTGAGAGTGTATGTGCATTGTTTGTACCTGGGGTATTTGAAACTTATGCTTAAGGAGCTTTAGGCATTTTTACTGAAATAATTTCTGTGTTTTAAAGTTGCTTACCTGAAGCTTTATGGAGTATAAAGATAAACTGAAGGCTGACTTTTGTCCCAGTGAGTCACAAAATCAGAATGGCATCAAGGTTTCCTGGGCTTCTTGGACACAGGAGAGCGGATAAAGGTTGTCACATCCACCTTGAGACCAGACACATGGTCCAGGTTTGATCACTTCACGCTGGTGAAATGCTGCTTCCTGCAGGGAACCCTCCAACTCTGTGCTCCAATAATAATACCATTTACATATTTTCATCACAAATGCCCTCACATAATAATAATATCGTTTGGGGTCTGTTTCCTCCACTAAACTCTGACTATCTTGTTGGTGTCTTACTCCCATTTTATCTCAATGCCTAACACATTGCTTAGCCTTGGTGGGTGCCCAATAAATATTTACTGAATTAAAAAAAAACATTCCCTACTGTCCTCATGGGGAGAGAGAAGGGGAAATACTTTTCTGATTTTCATAGACGAAAAAACTGAATTGTAGAAAAAGAGTAAGTTGCTGCAGTACTGACATCCACAGCTGATGTTCTGAGAATCTGACTTCTGGCTTGGCCTTCTTATGGAGGCCGAAGGGATCCTTATTCCTAATGGGTAGTGGTATTGCAGAGTTAGGGTTGCTATCCAGTCTGCAGTGGAAGCACACTCACAGACACGAGGGACCCCACGGAATTCCTGATGAGAGTGTGAAATAGACAGACTTCTGCTCTTTGTTTCTCTGTCCTCTGCATGTTACAGGCAACCCTTCCCTCCCTTTCCACCCCAGCCATACCCATCTTTTCCCATTACTGGCTTTCAGAAGCCCCCTGCCCCTCACCGTTTCAGATTCCCACAGCTGTTCTTCAGAAGAGACACTGAAGCATCTGTAAGCCCACGTTTGTTCCTGCATTTCCTTATGGTGACTAATGGGTAACACCTGTCCCATGCATTCCCTCTTGCACTCTTACGATTGGATTTATCACTGCAGTAGTTTAACCATAACTAGAAAAATGTAGCTCTCTAAAGTCCCCATAATGTTGAGGTTCCTAATGTGGTTTAAGTTATTCCTTGCGTCATAAATAACATACACGGCACTATTATGGACCAATACCCTGAAAAGAAAAGGCACCAAGATCATAAATAATACACACAATAGGGGCTTGAGGAGACTCAGCAAAATGCCCTGGGGGGAGAAGGAGTGGGTTCCTGATGTTAGGAGCGGGGGTGGGGCAGGGGTGGTGGGGGTGGGTGGTTTCTAGGAAAGCCTGGGCTTTCCGGACCCAAGCTTAGAAATGTCATCCTATTCTTGCAACTCTTTCTGATTCAGCTAACCTAATTGTGCAGCCGAGGGGTTGCACCTGGTCAGAGGCCAAGGTCAGCTTGGTCTCCCTCCCCAGTGAAGGGCGGGAGGAGGATCAATCTGCCTGTGCATTTGTCTTGTCTTGTACACACCCTATTATTGCCAGGAAGGGGAAGAAGACAGACGCAAGCTCATGTCGTGTGAATGATCTCAGGCCCGGCACGGACCAAAAGCCACCTTTCACGATCACATTATTTTTCTCATCCATTCTAGCCCGTGTCAGTCATTCCATTGAGAGTAGCTGCAATTTTTACCGGATTAGGCCTATCAGATTATACTCTAAAGATGAAGAAAATGCTACCCCTCCAACAAAAACGGTTTCCACTTTACACTCAAAAGCTTCTTATTCTTTTTGCTTTGAGGGAAAGAGAAAGAGAGAGTGAGACCATGTGCAGTGCCCTTTATTTGGACTTTTATCTTAACCTGGGAATACCTGGTCTTCTGTTTTCTTCCTTCTCATGTAACTCTTCATTGATTTTCTTTAAATCAAACAAGCTGCCATCACAGACTCTTACAAAAGAAAGTCAGCCATGGAGGAACCCTGGGCTTGGAATAGAAGCCAATCTAATTTTAGTTGCCGGTGAGCCTCTCTAAGCGGTGGAGAGTGGTCAGAAGTTCATCTTGGCATGTGCTATCAGGACCCAACAGGAGCCAGCCACTGTCACCCGGCCGTGGGAGAGGGGCGAGTGCCTCGCTGATGACAAGTTCCACCATCATTTTATGATGAGGAAGCTTGTCTGCTCCAAGTAGGTCTTTCATCCTCTACTTTTTAAAAATTAAAATTGCTTCTGATTTATGGATTAATCTCTTGCCGACATCATGGGTGGGGGGTGCAGTGCTTCATTTTGATAAGCAGCTGAGCCCCAAGCTCTTGCTTTTCTTCACGGGAGGTTCGATTCCTTGCCTTTGGCTGAAGTCAGAGGCTTGGGCCGACTGTGAGCTGTCAGGACAATTCCCAGTTGATGCCTGCAGGATTCCTAAACTTCACAGACCATCCTACTGAATCTTGTTATAAGGATACTGCATTTTAAAAAAAATTGAATTGTTTGGTTTGTTCATACTAATAAGTTCTTGTAGGATTCTTTTAAAAAGGAAGATGTAGCATGGAGAATGACTCACACACTATGCACTGTCTTGAAAAACAGTCCAGGCCCCATCTACTTATTGATATAATTAAAACTGGATTAAGAGGATAGATTATAGAGTTTCTAAGGCCGTTAGGGAGTTTAAACTCCAGGATTTTCCCATCTTTTTTTTCTTCTTTCTACTCCTCTTTCTCTTATTCAGGTTTATATATGTCGTTATATCCAACGTAAACAGGTGAGAGTCTTAGAAACGGAAACTGGGTTGGCAAAAGGGGAAAATCTCAGGAGATAACAAAGGATCTTTGAGTAAAAGGAGATGTTAGAGATTAATCAGGGAGTACGGATGAGTGGTTAAGCAAGCGGGATCTAAAGTCAAGTTTCCTGGATTCAAACCATCGAATGATGAATGAATTTATCATTCATCCACACTGGAACTCCCTGAACTTCAATTATGTTGTATGTAAAGTAGAAATGACACAAGCATCTCCTTTGTAAGGAGGGTGCTTTGAAGATTAAACAAAATTGTATGTTTAAAGTGTCCATATAGTAAACTTTCAATAAGTTATTGTTACTATCATCTAGTTTAAACTCTTGGGTTTGGGGGGAAAAGGAAACTGGGGTTCTGAGAAATCGGTGAAATTTGCCCAGAAATGCAGAGCTATAGGCAGAAAGACCCTGAGTGAACCTTCTTTTATATATATTGTGTCATTTTAAAAAACCCTCTGTCATTAATCTCTCCTTTTTTTTTCTTCATGTAAAGTTCGTGTCTTCCCTCAACTGAAACAAATAATGTGTAGAAAAGCCTGTCTCAATTCAGATTCATAAATCCAAGGCTAGTCGGAAGTAAAGGTCTGAAAAACAAAGTAGCCTCTTGTGAGCACCCAGAGTGGGATGTAGGAAACATTTGTTTGTTTACTAGGATACCTCTGTCTTACTACAAACAATATTCTGGTGCAGAGGAGAGCATGTGGCAGCTGGGGCTGCAAGGTCGGCCCAAGGACGGTGGAAAACCAAAGATGCTGGTGTATGCCATGATTCTCGGGGGTACCAGAGAGGTACCTGCTCAGCACTAGTGGTCTGTGGCCACTGAGATGTAAAACGTACAAACCTCTCTCTTCCCGGAGTCAAGAACTGGGTTTCAGTACAGAATTCTCTAGCCTGTGTCACCCTCCTTTGCCTTTAAAATGAAAAATAGTTTTGAATTGAGACCATATTTGGATAGGTCTACAACACACCCAGAGGGGAAAGACTAAAAGCAGTAAGATAGTAGATCAGGCTGCGGACGTTTTTTGAGTAGAAATACTTGTAGCTCGGTTGATGTGAGTTCTGTAACTGACCAATATATTCATGAGTCAGTAAGTTTGGGAGAACCTACTGTGTTCCTAGCTGTCTGCCAACATGGTATGAATTCCAGAGGAGTTTGCAGTGTGGATGGAAAGACAAAATACACAAGACATTTGGGAGGCAGTCCAAGAAAGTATAAAATTGAATCAGATTTTACACACACACACACACACACATTGATTCTTACTATTTTTCTCATTACTATTTGCAGCAGTTATAGTCTATAAAGACACAACAAACACTGAATTAGTAGATACTGCATTATTTCTTCTAGGGGAATTACAGGGTTAGAGATTCCTGTCCATCTCTGGTCATAATATTTTGTCAGCCTATCAATATGTAACCTTGTTTTGTGAGTTTTTCTCTTAAAAAAAAAACACCTTATTGAAAGTATATTGTTGATTAATTAGCATTGAACTTGATGCAGGACAGGCGATCCCTAAAATTGGGGCTTAGCCCAGTGGCAGTGGGGGTTTGTCTTTGCCCAGCAAAGCATTTGAGGGTGAGCTGGTGGTGTCAGACAGCAATCTTTCATTGAATGGTACTGCTACCTTGCTGAGCAGGGCTAATACACAGGCAGTGTTCCCAGAGCCAGCACCTTATGGGCTGTTGGCAACTGTATTTATACCCACTTAAACCCACTTTTAATTACATGAAAATTAAGGAGTGGGTTAAAGTAAATTGAGGGAAGGGTTATTTAGGACCTTCTAGGAAAGGAGAAGTAAATTCTGGGTAATCGCCGTGGCAAAGGGGTGGTCACTTCTGGATTGCTGCCACAGTATATGTGGACTGTCACTGCACTAGTGGGAGTGTCTCATGCAAGTGAGCAATGAGGGCAGCTAGGGATTGCTTTGGTCACCCTTTGCTGGTTTCCTCTGGTTTCTTCACTTTATCCTGTCTGGGCCAGATCCTGTTTTGGTCAGCAGAGTTACGACCGGAACACAAGTCTTGCCAGCCTTCTACCTCAAACTCACAGCCAATAGCACTGTAACTCATGCCTGAATGTAGCTTATGGAACACATGTCTTAAGGCACATCACAGCCTTCTTGTGCTTAGGAACGCTAACCCACACTTCAGCACTGCACTTAGGGGTCATTTTAAGCAGCAAGATCACCAACAATACACACAAAAATGCACAGGTCCACAAATGACCCATGAAAGTGCCTTAAGTATTGAGTATGGAGTTACAAATATATTGTAGCAAGTATGCAAATTCTCAGATAATGAGGATCCGCTGTACCTGCAAATGGTACCTGGTTTTATTGGAGGTACCTGCAAATGTTATCTGGCACTGCAGGAGGATGTGAGGAGACATACCTTCTGAAAGAGTGTCCATACTAGGGAGTACTGGGAGATGATGTCGGATATTGGTTACTTTTGCCCTCCTGGTATTCATTTCCCCTTGTCCTGGTATCCCTTGGATCTTTGTGCAGGAAACACACTCACTAGTCGACATGGTTTTGTTAGGGCTGATTCTTCCCCCAGCTTCATGGATAGACTGACCCAAGTGTGGCCAGCCAGGCGGTTTTGTTCAGGAGTTGGCCAAGGAGACTCAGCTCTGGGAGTGTTTTCCTGCTGGGATTGATAGCTGCCAAAAGATGAAACATGGAGCTGTTGGGGACCAGGAAGAGAGAGGCCATCTGAGAAGAAAACCAACACAGGGAGAAAGAGAGGAAAAGAGAGTAAACAGAGACAGAGTATGGGTGCCATTTTTAAAACATGCCTCAGTGCAGCCATGTCTGAAGGAAACTCTGGAATTTGTGATTGTGTGAGCCAGTGCGTTTTCATGCATTTTTATTTCCTCAGATAATCCTAGTTGGGTTTCAGCCAAAAGACTGGGACAGTAAATAGATCTCCCAGTCAAAGGATTTTGAGTGAGGAGCTGACACCCTCTCAAACTAGCTGAAATCAAAAGGAGGTCGTTATAGACCACAGAGACGCACATGGAATCCAAGCTCAAGACATTTACCTGGGCCTTGGGAAAACTGGAATTGGAAGCTGAAAGCTGGGAGTTACTCTCCTACGTATAAATGGCACCATGGATCAGCTCATCTTTGTTTCTCTCTGGACCACAGCTCCATCCTCCTTTCTCTCTTTCTCTGCTTATAGATCTTATGGCCAGGCCTGTGCCCTGGAGTTTTAACATTGTTCCCCTTGTCTTAGCCACCCTAGTTTCTCAGAATCCCTGTTCCAAATCCCCGAGAGAATAACCCGATTGACCTGGCTTCTTTTCTCATAAGACCAGGCTGTAGATTCTTTCCCCAGATAAGTTCCTGCCTCAGATCCAATTGCTGTAAATTATCAGGTAGTGACTATAGGAATGCAGTCAACAGGCATCTCTGATACAAGGGAGGCTGGATCTGAGGAAGTGTCCAAAGCTAGATGGGTGCATTTGGAGTTGAGGTTGTGGAAGCAGGAAGATAGAGCTCTCAGAAAATAGCTCCTACTTTATGATTCTCTCAGGACCCCTAACTTCTAATTTCTGAACAATGAGAAGATAGGCCTATAAAACTATGCATTTGTATTAATAAAATCATTTTATTTTTATTTAAAAAATGTTACTTAAAAATATATACATGCAGAAACATGCATTTAAACATATGTATGTACATAAACATATATACACACACACACATAAACACATATACACATATAACCATGTACATGATTAGACATTCGTTTGTGATCTTTCCAGGTACAATGTTGTCCAATGATCGAGAATATACATGCATATTTTTAAAAACTAGAATGGATGATGACACGGTTTCTTAAAACCCTGTAATACTTTTCTGGTATACTGTGTTTTTTCTACTCATGGCTCCCTAATTTAGTTTATGACTATATGTTTCTATATTATCTATTCAAAACATTGTACTCAGTGCCAAATAGAGTATGGGCACTGAGTACTTGTTGAATAAACATTTGTCAAATGCACAAGTGAGTGACTTTGTGCCCATGGATTCAAGGACTTCTTGCAGTAGGTCCTGGGTTCTTCCCAGAGGTCCTCAGTCCGTATCTTTTGAAAAATAGTTTTGAGACATACATAGTTTCTGGGAAACCAGGTCTGTTTATTCCCCACAACAGAGTCACCACACTTCAATTAAATGGATGCAAAATACTGCCTTTCTATTGAGTTTTCTAATGGATACAACTCTAGATATTTCTCAGAAAAATGCCCAGGCCAGTAGACCTCTAGGCCCCATTTTGGATTTTTATGCTCAGTAGATGGTTATCATAGTCCCTTAGGTTGTTATTTAGTCAAATTATGTTCATTTTATCGCCTGTGCTTTTCCTCATATTTCACTCCCTTTGATTTGTTTTTCTTTTCTTTTCTAAATTCCCATCAAGGCATCATATTACCCCTAATTGCCTGCAATGTTCCGAGTCTGGTCTCATTGCTGACACAGAGACAGACTCTCTTAGCCATGGTTTGGGATGCCCCTGTGTGTGTGGCTGAAAATTTTACTAGCTCAGAGAATTGCTGAGCTGCAGTGCTCGCCTTACCTCCTCATGGCTTTTTTCCACTAGCTCACTATTTTGTTGTTTTCTTGATTACTCCCATCCAGGAATCCCCTTCAAGTTAAATTCCCTCTTAAAGTTTATTCATCCCCAGATAGATCATCTGCATTTTTTCAACCAGTGCCTCATTGTGTTATTTTTGACATCTGTTACTAAGATCCACACATAGCGTGGTATTGTGTGCCAGTCTTCCACTGCTGTTAGGAACACCTCCCAATTTAGTGTCATCTGCAAATGCGATTATCATGATAATAGTAATAAGATCTTCCCCTCTCTTTCTTGATTCTTAATAAAGTTGGTAGAGTAAAGCAGTGTCTTTGCAGATCGTACACTCCAGACCCGCTTCTCACAACTCTGTCAATTTCCACTCATTGCTGAGCTTGGTTTAGGATCTGTTTTTTTCTTCCTGGGACGATACAAAAAGATCCATCCAGCCTTCCCTTTATGGAAGGACTCTGCAAATGCAACTTACCAAACCTAGGGGAAGCTGTCAGCCTTGGTTTCTTTCTCCCTATTGAGTTCCTTTCTCTCCAGTTCCATCTCAGAGGTAAGGTGCATCCCTTGACTCTCCACAGGAGAGTATAGATTGTTAGCCATTGGATGGATGGGTGAATGGATGGGTAGTTGGGTGGCCAGGTGAGTAGATACATAGGACACTCAGGCACTAGCCTGTTTACTGCTCTGAGGCTAGTAAGTATGGTTTGGGAGGCCAAGGAGACAGTTACTTACCACTGGTTTTATGTACATCATAATGTTCTTTGAGTAATCCAGTCTTCTTTCACGTAGGGTACAGTTCAGGGCCATCCAAGGCTGCCCTTCAAGTAGGGAGCTTTGACATCTTCTAAATCAAACCTTGTATTCATGCTTTCAGCTCCTCACATTTTGCATTTATCCACTGCATGAAAAGTCAAACATTGCAGTTTGTGATGCATTCCAGTGCACGTGGCATTGGTGTCCTGCCTTTTCTCTTCCCTGGGACACTCCAACACAGTTATACGTAGTATAGTGTTAGGAAGGGTTACCTGGTGCTTTATTTTCTCACTGGTTGGTCTTTGTTGTGTTATTCTGTATCTCTTTTGGGGTTTTTTAAATACTTCATAATAACAAAAAAATAGAGATGAAGATATGGACTCTGCCTTCAAAAGGCTTCCTGTTTATCAGGGAAGACTTGCATAGTAAATAGCTGTAATAAATTATGAGAAAGCACTACAGATGAGATGGGTCTATAATAGTTCCAGAGATGAGGGAACCCTGCCTGGAAGGTAGGGTTCCTACCTGGAAGTGGTGGTGGTGGTGGTGGTGCTGTTGCTGGTGGTTGCGATATTATCGGGGTAGTGGGAAGGGAGTGATATAAACAGGATAAGCACAGGAATTATCCTCGGTCTGACCCTTGAAGGACAAGGAAAGTTCACCAGGCAGACAAAACAATAAGGGTATTTTAGGGAAAGGGCATGGCCAGGTAAAAATACAAAGTGCATGTGGGAAGTGGTCCAATATGGCGGGATCTAGTGTATTTGGAAGGCTGAAAGATTGGTAGTTTAGAAAGGTGAGTTTGGGGCCGGGCATGGTGGCTCACACCTGTAATCCAAGCACTTTGGGAGGTTGAGGTGGGCGGATCTCCTGAGGTCAGGAGTTCAAGACCAGCCTGGCCAACATGGTGAAACCCTGTCTCTACTAAATGTACAAAAATTAGTCAGGTGTGGTGGCAGGTGCCTGTCATCCCAGCTACTCAGGAGGCTGAGGCAGGAGAATCACTTGAACCCAGGAGGCGGAGGTTGCAGTGAGCGAAGACTGCGCCATTGCACTCCAGCCTGGGCGACAAGAGCAAAACTCTGTCTCAAAAATAAATAAATAAATAAAAGAAAGGTGAGTTTGGAAGATTATGCATGCCATTTATACTAGGCAAAGACACTTCCATTTTTTCTATAAGACCAAGGGCTCTTCAATGAGACAGTGATATAATCTGATTTTAGAAAAGCTAGCTAGGCAGCAAAATGAATGTAGATAAGCCTGGAGGTAGGAGTGATTGGTTTTGAAAGAGGTATAGGTAGAGACGTTGGGAAGAATATACTGAACAGAGGGTATAGCATGAGCAACAGCATAAGGGAGGAAGATAAGGTGCATTTATATCAAAGAAATAGAGTGTAAGTCTTAAAAACATTTGGAGAATGTCAATGAATGAATGAAGCTGGAGATCTTGAATGCCAGCTCAGGAAATCTGAAATTTATTTACATGATATTGTGGACTAACATTAGGTTTTTTAAAAGGGATGACTTGAAGTGTAATTTTAGAAAGATTTAATAGAAGTTTATGGTAGATGGAGGCAATCAGAACAGAAGCAGAGACCTGTTTTTCTTTTGTATGACATGTAGTTAGTTTTTGGGTTTTTTAGTTTGGACTTTTGACTTAATAATTGTCAGTATCTCTACCTTATAAATATTATTATTTTTGCATATTCTGATGTTTTCATCTTTTTCCATTTCATTGATGAAAAATCCCCGTGAAATTTCAAAATGTTAGATTCTACATTTTCTCAGGAAAATTCTGAAACATTTGGAGTGGTTCCTACAACCCACTGGATAGACTATTATCCCCAACATCTTTTGCTTTTATTGAAAGTATTTGTAAACAAAGGGCAGAAATCTCCCTAAGAGGTATTTGACAGGTTCCATTTAGCTTTATGATAACAAAATTGACAGTTTATGTGCGAGGGTATAGATCTTTGATTCCAGATTATTCTCTGAGAAATAAAGGGTGACTACCAGTTTTGGAGGCTATGCAACTGGTCGTGGTATTGACATCATTTAATAACACTTGAAAAATACTATGGGACATGTGTGTGTGCGTGTTTGGTTGAAGAAATTCTCTTTTGGCAATATTAAATTTGAGATGGCTGTTGGCCATCTAAATGGAGAAATCAAGTTGTATATATACAATAAGTATATATCTACACATACATACATTACCTATACCTATACTTATATCTATCTGAGGGAGATGTCTCTCAGGAAATGTTTTTGGGACTAATCAACATAGAGATTTTCTGTTGTTGTTGTTGTTAAATCCATAGGACTGGTTAGATCACCTAGTATATTAGTCAGGGTATGCTAGGTTCTGCTGCAGAAACAAACAAATCTTGGAAATTGTAGTGACTTAACCAAGTAAGATTTATTTCTTGCTCACTCAGAGACAGATGCAAATGTTTCTGGGTAGGCAGTTCTTTAAGCAAAGATCTAAAGAATTTTTTCTTTTCTTTTTTGGAGATAGAGTCTTACTCTGTCACCTAGGCTTAAGTGCAGTGGTACAATCATGGTCACTACAGCTTCAACCTCCCAGGCTCAAGCAATCCTCCCAACTTAGCCTTCTAAGTGGTTGGGACTACAGGCATGAGCCATCATGTCTGGCTAATTTTTATTATATTTTTAATAGAGACCCTGTGTTGTCCAGGCTGGTCTTGAACTCCTGGCCTCAAGTGATTCTCTTACTTAAACCTCCCAAAGTGTTGGGATTACAAGTGTGAGCCCTTGCACTCACCCCTGTAAGATATATGAGCTGCTTCTACTGTGGGACACTACCAGTAGCAGAGCAGATCTACTTGGACAAACTCATTTGTGAAACAAAGGTGCTCCATTTGTTTTCTATTAGTTCTACTATTTTTGTTATTTTTAAAAAAGATTGATAAAAAATTTAAATTCAACTTTAGAATGCATGGAATGTTGATAATCTAAAACACAGTCCTTATTAGGAAAAGTGTGTACTTTGGCAATAAGGAAAAAAGAAGGCTAGTCTCTTAATAGTAGGAAAGTTTAGACTCTGGGTAATTAAATATATGGGAGATTTTGGTCTGTTTTGTTTTCATATAAATGATAATTTCAGGGCATTTGTTATCTTACTTAAGGAATGATTCAGACTGCTGGATAATTTGGTTAATTTAATCTTGATGTTGGGGAAGCCCAAACAGAATCATGCCATTATCTAAATGGCTGTCAGCTCCATTGTTTTGATATTTTAAGAAAATTGGTCCTCCATACAGGAAATCGTCTCATCTCTGAACTCCCACTCGTCACAGGACAGAAGTCCCAAGGGGGCTGAAAATAAGCCCCTGGACTCCCCAGAGGGACTTTTCTAATTGTTGGCCCTGGAAGATGACTCTGTATTAAGTATTCTGTCAAGAGACTATGAAGGTGCTGTATTTCTATTTCATACCTGGGAGTGGTTTAAAACTAAGTGCTATCAAGCCTTCTTTTGTTCCGTATATAAGAAAGAGATTTATAATAAAAATCGTAAATAAGAGACAAAGGAACCCTGAAGTTTCTTTTTCCTTCTCCTCGCTTTTCCCTGTTCAGTGATAGAACAATTTATGAATCTGACAAATCCTCCCCTAGATAATGGTAAGAGTAACATAGTGCTCAGCTGAGTGACTCCAGGCCACTGAAGTTTATTAGACTGTGGAGCAACAGCGGCAGGATTGATGCAATAATCAAATGATATGCTTGATTTGGGCTCTCCCTGTCTCTCTTCCCACCCATTCCCCTCCCATTTCCTTCCCTCCCTTTCTTTCTCCCACCTGTACTTAAAAAAATAAAAAAATAAAAAAATAAATAGAGGGAATTTGAAATCGAATAGGTTGGCAGGGGTGGACTCCTGATTTCCACAAGTAACATTCATTCAGAAAGTATGAGAGTCCTGTGCCAAAAGGGTAAATGAAAATAAGGAACATGGCCATAAACACATTTCAACTAAATTTTTGGTTTGGATCTGGGTAACCTAAGAGGAAGAGAAGACTAATCCAACTGCCACACTCTTAGGCCAAGCCTGAATTGTCAGGACACCAGAGACATAATCAGAGGGTATCGATAACTTGAGTTACACCAACACCAATGGGTCAGAGTTGGCAGGAAGACAATAATTTAGACAGGAAAGTAGATCATGCTTTGAAAACTATGGGATCCATAGGGCATGTTCATGGTAAAAAGAAAGGTTTTCAAAAGTCACTTAATCCATTGTCTCAAAATGACAGGTGGAAGGCTAAATCTGGCTATACACGCATTTGGTTTGAACAGCACTATTTTGTAAAGTTGAATTTTAATGCCTTCAAGGGAGATTTTCATAGTCTACTGCACTGGACTTCACCTCTCCCTATTATCTTCTGTTATTTCTGTGCATATATACTTTAGTTCCTGACCCATGAGGGCCTTTGTGTCTGACCCAGGAGTCTATGCCCTGCTCCTTGTAGGACCATGAGTGACTCTTGATTGAAAAGAAAAGGTAATCTTAAACTAGCCTCCTTGTCCTCTGCTCTTAAGGAGATGGAATTCAGTGGAAATTGCTAAATGTCACCATTGTTCAGGAGACACTGAAGAAGTCAACATATTATGAAACAACTACTAGGCTGACACCCAGCACAAGAGACCTTCAGCTTTTTCAAGACAGTGAAGGAAAAAGGTCTCTCAAATATCAAGAAACATATTTTATAACCAGAAAAGTCTGTGATGAATGGGGTAATAATATTCCACCCTTCCTATAAAGAAAAGTGGTATGGACATTATTGCTTTTTTGGACACTGCAGCAACTGTATCACTCATTTCTGAGAGGTTGTCAAAAAAAATTGAAGGGTTTAAATATATGACCTTTTACAGGAATTACTTCCACAATAGCTTATTCTACCAAGTCCACTGAAGTTGTGGTTGCAACAATGAATTTCCTGTTGTGAGATGCAAATTGTGGGCTAATTGCAAGATTTAATCCAATCTCGTTTGGGGCAGTTCTTGAAAAATTGGGTTCCTGCTGCACTATTTCATGGGTCAGTATCAAATATTCTGTCACGAAGATGAAATAACACGAGGAAATTTTTAAAGAGGGAGAAATAGTAATATTCAGAATGCAAAAGCTGTCAGAAATATCGACTGGTCTTGAATCAAATGGGTTTTGCTTTGTGAATAAAGGTGGTAATGAGACACGGAAGTCATCCAGACTATGCAGAGCTCCAGCAGAGGCTCCAAAAAGAGGGGCAGCAAAGATGCCAACCAGATATGCATAATAAAGTAGAATGAGGAAAATAAATCTGTGCCTGTTCCCTGGTTAGTAGTCACTCTTATGCAAGACATCACACTGTTATACCTGTCTAGACCTTGCATGTGATCTGGCCTGAAGGAGAGAATTTCAGAAATACCAGGGTGAGGCAGGAGAAAATGTTTACTGAAATAGATAATTGAAAGCTCCACTTCTAGCCTGTCAGTTTGGCCAGCTGAATAATTGCATCTGAAGCCCCGAGTAAACTCCATCTCTAGATGAGTTGTTCCGATTAAATGGTGTCACCTGTAGTCATTGACAAGTCCCTGGATTGTCTCTGTCAAGCACCATCTGTGCACACCAGAGACATATCCAAAGGCTACTGGCAAACATCTTTAGATAATGAGCGTAAATTAATAACTACTTTTGTACGTCACGAGAGATCATGCCATTTTAATGTTATGCCCTTTGGGTGAACAAATGGGACAAAGATCTTTTAGATACTAATGAATAGTGTCTTACAAGGATTAATTTGCCCAACTTTTTGCTGAGTTGGCATCACATGCAATGTGGTCTGATTTGTTGGATCTGTGGCGGGGGTCGGTTTGCGGAATTAAAAGAGGGAGAGTTTTAATTTTGAGCATGAAGACTGTTATGTAGAGAGGATGTCATTCTGGATCCTTAATGACTCAGCTTTTCATGGGGTCACCCAGTAGAGTTGTCCAGGCTGTATTCACATTCACATAGATTTTGGTCTAGATGCATGGCGCCCCCTAGAGTTGTGTCTGCAGCTGTTTGCAGTGCTTCCATAAGCTTCTGAGGGCTCTGTCCATCATTTCTTTCCAGGTGACAGCGTGGAATACCAATGGTAAGTGTAATATTCCACTGGATTAACAAGAATTTGGTTCACAGCAAGGATTTATAGTCATTCTGATAACAAATACGGTACCTCTTTTTCTTGTATATATATATGTAGGAGTTACCTGTGTATGTATGCATTTTCTAATAAGAACTTAGATATAAATTTTTAGCTGTCATACTTCCATATATTTAAAGTATAGGTAATTGTCAGCATTGTCTAGAGGACAGAGAAATAGGCATTCTCTTAAATTCTTATCTGGTAGCATATATTGTTAGAGCCTTTTGACTTTTAGGAAAATTTGGAAATAGCTATTACATGAAAATGCTCATATCCTTTGACCAAACAGAAATGCTTCCATAAGCGTTCAAATATATGTATAAGTATTGTGTATTGTAATTTGCGATGACAAAGACAGTCAGATATTTACACACATCCCAAAGTGGGAATTTGATGAAATCAACTGTGGAATGTCTGTCTGTGCTGTAGAATGCTGTGAAATGATCAAAGAGTGAAGCAGATTGCCTGGCTGGTACACAGTTGGTCGTATTTGCAAGCAAGAGTAGCAAAGCTATCTGTTTATAAGAACCAACCTGAATTATATCATTAAGTAGAAAAAAAGCAAGTTGTAGTTCAATTTGTAGAATATGATCCCATTTATATAAAAATTCAGTAAATGAAAATTACACACTCTCACTTTATGTGTGGAAACAAGTCTGTATGAATAACTGCACTGAATAACCTCTGGTTATCTCTGAAGGATGAAATTATAAAGGACTCTCATTTCCTACCTCCTACATTATTGTAGTTTAAAAAAAATTTGATGATGACATAAATAATGACAACTTTTTCCATTTGTAATTAGAAATAAACCTGCCAGTTTCCTTATTGAAAGTGCATTTGGAGTTTCTGTTGGTCACATTAGATCATGAATTCTCATGGAAAGGTGTATACCCTAGGCAACAAGTTGCAGTCTCACACTGGGTGATGAGACCACCCATGAACTAATTCCTAGCTCTGTAGAAAAAAGGGGAACCCTGATTCTTCCCAAATAATGGTGACCACAATCTTTTTGCAGTGGTTACTTGCTCTGTATGCTTAAACCCAAATTTTGATAAGGTGCTGTTATATACATATATTCCCTAGAACTCACATTCTAAATGGATATGAACCAGGTTGACCATATCTACCCTCACCCCTCCAAGAAGTCTTTGTAATTTTTATGTGTCACTAAAGGATCAAAATGATGCAATTTGGAATATTTGCCCTGGACTAATATTAATAGAAGACCAGCACCCATCCAGTTATCTTCTAAATGCTGCTGGTGGTGGAAGAAGTCTTGGCCATTTTGGATGGTCAACACTTATGAGAATGTAGTGGAAACTATGGAAACAATAGCCAATCTATTAATACCCACACACCCTCTTCAAACACATTTTGTAAGTAACTTGCAGGCTCTCTATCCTTTTAGAGGTATTCCTATGAAGACACTATTTTTGTAGGTGTTTAAAATGGGTGAACTAGACAAAGGCATGATAGAAAGTAATGTGTTTGTGTTCAGAGACATGTTCAAAAACGGCTGTAACTTCAGTGTAAAGATGGTCTTAGAAAAGTATAAATAGCTTTCTTCAAATATTTCAATGAGGAAATGTCATTGTAGGTTTATGCTTTGGAAATTTGAGGTGGTTATGAGTTGATGACCACTGTATTGATGATATGCACCCTTGAAATGTGGATCTCCAGAAGAAATTTCTGCTTAATGTCACTAGGAGCAATAGCTGGACTTCTGGTTTATTCTTATGGTGTGAATACTGGGGACTTTGTAAATGATTAAGGTTTCTCTTTTTGGCTTTGTTGCTAGAAAGACTTAGAATAAAATCAGCGGTCCCTTCAAACAAATGTGTAAGACTACATTCTGTTTTGCATTCAACCATTTCTGGATCCATTTTATACCCCTTATGTTTGTCTTTCTTTCCTCTCCCTCCTAGTTTCCAATTTATGTTGTTTGTGTAATTGTGAAGCAGCTGTGAAACTTTCTTAAGAATAAAAAAGGATATAAAAGAAGTGGAGATAAGTAAACAAATGTGGGTAGTCTGGAAATGATGGCATTTTGTCTCCTACTTGATGAGGCTCAGTGGTCAAGCTTCTGTGGGGCTAACTGGAGAGTCCAAGGCTGTTGAAAGAGATTCCAAAGCTTCCTGGCTGCCCAGAGCTGCTTGGAGTTGGCTGAAGTACAATAGAGAAAACACCCGGACAATTTCTTCCACCTCTTCCACCCATGTCTTAAGCACACGTGCAGCATGGGAGGGAGGAAACTATGGAGACTGTTTGTGAGAGAAACTGTAGACCTGCTTCTGGAGCATGGAGAAGTGGCTTTAGGTAGAGCATGAACTTGAGGATTCAGAGACTCAAGAGACTTCACGTCTTAGCATTTCCCTAATTGGCACTTGCTGTCCATTTTTATCCCAACTTGACTTGTGAAGTGGCTGTTTTCTTTAAAGCTTGTATTTCCATATGTAGTCACTTTCTAGATAAACCATTTTATTATAAAAGGTGGCCCATTTTTTACAAAAATTAGCTGGGCGTCGTGGCAGGCGCCTGTAATCCCACCTACTCAGGAGGCTGAGGCAGAGAATTGATTGAACCTGGGAGGCAGAGGTTGCAGTGAGCCAAGATCATGTCACTGCACTCCAGCCTGGGCAACAGAGTGAGACTCCGTCTCAAAAAAAAAAAAAAAAAAAAAGGCCCATTTTTGCTGATTCAGGTAACCAGTACAGTGTAAACCTCTTTTAATTTCTCACTTAAAAAATGTGGAAAGTCTATTCATATAGATACTTTGGCCATCTCATAATCAGTTGGGTATATGAGGAGGTAACCTCAGGGTGTCCCTCAAGTGAAGGCTTCTTTCTTCCCAATTATTTGACTTTTCAACTCTCTTGCATTCCATAATGAGAAGCCCCTGATGGAAGGCAGGGGTACTGCTTTCTTCACACATTTACCATGGACTCGAGAATCTGGGGCTTGGCAGGTCTTTGCCTATTGAGTATCATCTCAGGTTCTGAACCCCAAGAGAAGAGCAACAGCAATGTGTTGTTTAGTCTTTAAGATGAAGTAACTTTCAAAGTATTTTGTATTTGTATTTTGCTTTTTTGTAGGGCATTCAAAGCATGGTAAAATGAATACCATCCTATTATGGATGATGTCTTGCTGAAGGAAATAAGTGGCATTTTTTTTCTTTTTCTTATGATTTGAGAAGCAAAGGGCCAAAGAGAGATGTGGAACAATTAGCCAATGACGGATCTGGGCTAGAGGAAAACTCACCTGCCTGCCATATATAGCCCTGACCAACGGTCCCCACTTAAGGACTTAAGTGAAATTTAAAGGATGTTCTTTTTAACAGAAAAGATTTCAACCTTTAGGGAGCCAGCCTTCCCCAGCCTGCCTCGTATCTGCTCAGTCACTTTTTGGCATGTTTTTGATGGTAGTTAATGACACAAAGCAAGCCCAGTGCCCAAGGAGTGTGTAGAGGAATGCTAATTCTAGGAGCTACCATAACTTGATTTTCTTGATTTCCTTGAGTTTAAAGTCTCAGCCACAATATTACATTACCAAAGTTATTTGCATTTGAAATATAATACCTGGGGGTTGACATTTAATTAAATTACAGTGCTACCTCCAGGCTGCAAGGAACCGGGCTGGCATGCTGTGCTGATGGTGCCGGCAGTAACTTTGTGCCCTTCCTGAATGAAATGACAATCAGAAGATGATGTCCCTGAGAGGGACTGGGAGGAGGAAATGCTGATGGTCACCAAGTGCACACAGTTGGCTGGTTTGCAGTTAAAAATACAGAGTGGAGGTGGACATGAAAGAGGTCATTGGGGGTAGAGAAGAGTACTGTTTTCCTCATGCCTTGGGGCTCCAGTCTTCACATTTTCTAAATGTCCTTAAGGAGGAGAAATGGTGAGTGAGAGCCCCTCCCTGGGCCTTATCACGGCCTGGACCAGCCTAGACCAGCAGTGGACCCAGTGAGAAGGGAAACTGATTGTTTGGCCTTCAGGATAACTGGGGTAACTGTGTCACCCTTTCTCCCACCCTTTTGGGAGTCCCTGATAGTCAATAGACAGAAGAGTCCACTCTGCACCCCACTGATCACAGTCCCTTCATTCCCTGGCACTGACTCACCAGGCATGGAAGCAGGAACAACCAAGGTGTGCCCATGGAGCTCCAGACACCTCATCTCCTACAGCATCAGTTCTCAATTTGGGGAGACATTTCCCTGCCAGGGGACTTTTGCAACATCTGGGGACATTTTTGACTGTTATAACTGGGGTGGGGGTTGCTGTTGGCATCTACTGAGAGAGGTAAGGGATGCTGCTAAATAACTCGTAATGCACAGGACAGTCCCCACGACAAAGAATAACCAGCTCAAAATGCCAATCATGCAGCAATTGAGAAACCCTGTTCTAACAAAAGATGAGATCATGGAAGAGTGGATTCCAACCACTGAGTCAACAGTCCAGACAGAAAATTATCTGTAAAATGCACAACTCCTGTGTATCTGTCAGAGCCTAGTCAGGAAAGCAGAAACTGCTTTGGTGTTTGGAAGGGAGCAAGTGCAATGCAGAGATTTAGTTGTCTAGGCATTGGAGAGGCTGAGCAAAAGGGAGAATAGTGAGGCCAGGCAAAGATTTGCAACAGCAGGAAGCCTCGACCGCTCCTTGTCCGAGGGACAGAGGAAGGAGATGGCATTGCTGGTGCCTAGGGGTTATGGATTAGAACCACCACAGTCTGGTCTGGTGGGAGTTGGACTCACAGAGGAGAAGAGGTTATAGACGAAAGGAAGCTTCTGGAAGTACATCAGAGGAAGGGGGAGAAATACCCTGATTTCTCCCTTTCTTCCATCTTGTAATCTTCCACGGGTGCCTCCTCAGCAGGAATCCAGCTGACATGGAAGCCCGGGAAACAGCCTGTAGAGAAGGGGGCAGGAATGAATTTGAGTGCAAACTGGCCAAAGACTGGAGCCGTGTGAATTCCCCAGAGCATCAGAACCAACAAAACAATGGTGTCTTTGAGCAACCTTCACGAGAGTTCTACATTATGTCTGGTACTCTTCCACCATGAAACGTCCCCTTTTCTTATACCGTGGAACTCTAGCATAAAAGAATATCCTAGTCTTTGAGAAAGAAAGGGCAGACCCAATCATTCCTTCATCATTCAGCCTTAGAACTAGCAAACACAATGTGTTGAGTGGCCTCACGACTTAATGAAGAATTTCATGTCTCTGTGCAGACAGCAAGGTCTAATGGAAAGCCATGTTAATGTGCACAGTGCATGTGTTAATTTGGCTATGTCTGTGGCAAACATGATCCTTCAGTGTCAGGCTTCAGCTCATTTTAGTCGCAGTGATCTTGCTGCTTGCTTTGCTTAGATGTGTCCTCTTCATGGCTCCTGCCCCTCTCTAAGCTGAAGTCAGGCTGAAAGCACAAGGTTGTTGGGAGCTAGAGAGCCTGCTGCAAGGGTTTTATTTTTCCTTACAGTGCCATTCACAGCATCTAGACAAAGCAAAGGAAATTAACTTACTTGTTTTCCATTTGAACTGCCCAACAGGTCCCCAAACTTACAGGGATAAAAGTGCCTGATTCAAAAGAGTGTCTTCTTTAAGAAAGTTCCATAGATGCTTAATTATTTTTGCCCCACTTTTGATTAGCTGCACTAATGGAGATGTGGAGGGCATAAATCAATAAAATCCCATGATAATCCCCCAAAATCTCAACGTTGCCATTAGTTTTGACCTCCTCCCCCACCAAACCTTTTATCAGAGCTGCTAAAAAGTACCTCTACACCCCCTGGGTTCTCAATATATTCAACTTGTTGACAGCCTGACTGATAAAATTGTCTGATTTGAGTTTTATCTCTTTTTCCCTTCTCCTGCCCACTCTCTGGGGGAGGTGCTAATGAGCAGCCAAAGAACAAAACCACAGGAAAAAGAGACTGCAGAAAAGCCAGGCTAACACACAAAATGATTAAATAGCTCCCGTATCCCTGAAACTTTACTATATAATGTCAGCTTTGTGGGATTTTTTTTTTTTCCTTTTTCCCGAAGTAAATTGAAATGACTAAAATGGGGCAGGTAGATGGGGCCTTCACAGACCCTTGCTTTGAAGCTTTGAATAGCACAGCTTTTGTATGGAATTCATCTTCTAGGGAAAGATTTTTAATTGTTAATCGTTATACATGGTGTTGATATTACTCTTCATGATGGTAAAATATCCGGGCATTTTCTCAGAAACTTCAGAGCAACTGAGATGGTTATGCTGTCTTCATCCCACAAAGGATGATCAAAACAAGACACAGCTTGGAGAGCAGGTTAAATTTGTTTTTCCTTGTTCTGTTTTGGGTTTGTCAAACATATTTGTTATCAAGAATGGAGTCACAGGCTGAGTGCAGTGGCTCATGCCTGTAATTCCAGCATTTTGAGAGGCCAAAGCAGGAAGATTGCTCGAGCCCAGGAGTTCAAGACCAGCCTGGGCAACACAGCAAGACCCTGTCTCTACAATAAATTAAAAAGAAAATAACTGGGTGTGGTAGCATGTGCCTGTAATCCCAGCTACTTCGGAAGTTGAAGTGGGAGGATCCCTTGAGCCCAAGAGACTGAGGCTACAATGTACTGTGATGCTGCCCCTGCACTCCAGCTTGAGTGATAGAGTGAGACCCTGTCTTAAAAAAAAAGAAAGAAAAAGAATGGAGTCACAGAAAACCACAGAAAGAGACCTGAATATAGCTGGCTGCAAACCCAGCCAATGCACCTGCCCACACTTCTCCATATCCTCTGTGCTTTGGGAATCTGACAGCATTGACCATGAATAAAGCATATGTTGATACACACAGTGATCTCTTGAAATTCCCAACTTGCATTATTCTTCAAGACCTCTAACAATACCCCTGTTTGGGTTGGTGCCTGCTAAAGATGGCCAACTGTCTTCCCATTGTGCCAGAATGCATCCCTAAATGAATGGAGTGGCTGATAAACTGTGCATAGGTGAAATCGGGTGAATGAATGGAGAAAAATGAATTGACATCTGATGTGATCCTTGCAAGGGAGCCAGAGACTCTTTCCTTTGGTCTGTACTCTCCACTGAGGAATGAAGTTTCTTTTCCGAAAGAGAAAAGCAGGGCATTTTTCTGATTTCCCTCTCTGTATTTTCTTCAGTCCCTTTTATTTCTGTTTGCCAGATATCATTTGAAAGCAATTTCATAAACATCAAAGTGGCTATGAAATTCAGTGTTTGTATGTGGCAGGTGGCTTATAAAATCAAACTCAGGAACCACCTGCATTTGAGGAATGAGGATGATGTTTCAAGGTTTGAGCAGAGAAGCAGAACCATCATGAGTGGTTAGAATAACGGATTTGTTGCAGAGAGTAGACCTTCCATGATTGTGGGAGCTGGAAGTTTGGTCCATGCAGGCTGCTGCCCCTGCATCTAGTTTTGAAACTAAAGTAGCCATTGGTGAGTCAGATCAGCAGTTGGAGAGAAATGCTGAAAATGTACAAGGGTGACGATGAACTAGAAACCCACAGGGATCACTGAATCTGTGGGCACAAACTAGAATCCCCATCTGTCTCTGACCATTTCTGACCTCAATGTCATGGTGACCTGAAAGAAAAGATGGCATGCTGCCTCAAGGAGCTGTGTGTGCATCTGGCCCAGGACTGAGAAGCTGAAGGAGTAGATCTAGCAGGAAGAGCTGTGAGTCCAGTGCTTAGTACCCTGGGGGAGCTAGGAGATCCCCAATAACATGTATGAGCTGTCACCATGTCTGTTGCTCAACCAGGTGCACCAACCTTCAGAGCATTAAAAAAAAAAAAAAAAAAAAAAAAACGGAATGGCTGGTGCTTCATTTTGCCTTCCAAATCTTGCACAGAATGTCACCTATGGGCAACACTAATTCAAAACCCTACAGAGAAGGGGATGATGGGAAACAGCTCCTGCTTATTTAAGGTGGAACTGTACAAAGCCATGAGATGAGATAGCTCAAAAGGGAATGTCTATGGGGAGGCATGCATGTAACAGAAACATCACACTTGGGAGAAAGGCGCCTTTTCAGGAACCTTACTTTTTGCTGAATAGCAAGATGTCATTGTTTGGTGATAGTGGTGTTCTCAAATGTACAGTGATCGCATATACATTTGTGTTGCAAACCAGGTTATTTCTGAGAGTGAGAGAGGGCTGTGTTTGACATTTATTTATTAAAAGTTGTTTTATTGTAACCGTATGATTCCACTTATTTGAGATACCTAGAGTAGTCATATTCATACAAAGTATGATGGCGGTTACCAAGGACTGGGGAGAGGGGAGAATGGGGAGTTCTTTTTTTTTTTTTTTTTTTTAGAAGCACACATGGAACTTGCTTTATTGGATTTCCGTTGGAGATTTTTAGTTTAACCAACAAGAAACATAAAGTTAGGTTTTATCATCAAACCTTATAGTTGACTCATAACCCTATGACTCAGGTCTCTGACTCACCTTCACAAGATTTCATTCCAAATACTTTCAGCTGTGGGGATTTCTTGTTTAATGGGTACACAGTTTCAGTTTTGCAAGATGAAACAAGTTTTGTGCATGGGTGGTGGTGATGGCTGCACAACCATGCCGATGTGCTTAATGCTTCTGAACTGTATACCTAACGTGGTTAAAGTAGTTAATTTGATGTGTCTTTTATCACCATTTAAAAAAATAAAATCTGTATATATTCTTCAAGTTGTCTGTTGTATTGGTAGTTTTATAAATGGTTCTACTAAAAATTATTTTTGAAAATATCATTCCTCCTGGAAAATAAAATAATACATATCAGTGTGTATTGCAGCAAACTAAGAGCAACTTTTTTTATATTACTATGTAGATGTTTAAAGATAACATGCACAGAATAAATTATTCTTTGTACATATTCACATACTGTAATAAGTTTCTTAGCATGTTTCACATAAAGCATCACTAGTATTCTTTAGAAAGCATTTTTTCAAATTTGTTATTTTTAATATTTCATAAAATTTTCTACGTTTTTCATAGTTTCATATTTTGGTTGAAATTGTGGACACATTTAATTGATGAATCTTTGTAAGCCATCATACTTTTAAGTGGGAAATTATTTTCTCTACAAATTCTAGCATATCAAGTAAACTCAGAGATAATTCTATAAATGGAATATATCATCAATTCTGTTTTTTTATATTGTACTATGTAAATATTTCAGCCAAAATATTTTTACAGATACTATCTTATTGCTGTCATTCAGGGAAACTCTTTGTGATACAAAATTTATGAGATAAAACTCAGAAAATTATCCATCTCTTCATTATTCTTTTGAATATTTTACCAAATTAAGATGCTACAAAATCATAGGCTTTCTCAATTTCAGTTTATTCTAGTAAAAATATGGATTTATATAATTTTTAAAGAGTAGCTCCATCAGAATATTCTTTGGCAATTTGAGATATTCCAAAAGTCCATCCCCTAACCCTGGGCCATGGACTGGTGATAGTCCATGGCCTATTAGGAACCGGGCTGCACAGCAGGAAGTGGGAGGGTGGGTGAAGCCAGCCAGCATTACCACCTGAGCTCCACCTCCTGTCAGATCAGCAGTGCTATTAGATTCTAGTAGGAGCACAAACACTATTGTGAATTGAGCATGTGAGGGATCTAGGTTGCATGCTCGTTATGAGAATCTAATGCCTGATGATCTGAGGTGGAATAGTTTCATACCGAAACCTTCCCCCACCTCCCAATCCATGGAAAAATTGTCTTCCATGAAACCAGTCTCTGGTGCCAAAAAATTGGGGACCACTGTTACCAGGCATAGTTAAAGAATTTCAAAACAAAATTTTGTACATTATTTGAACTCTCATCACTAATATGTTTAAATATCCTTCTTGCTTTTTGGGGGATGTATTTTAATGTGTTCTTGTATACAAATTTTTCAAATAATTGCCCTTCACTGAATTCTTCAGCTGTAGTTTTTTAGTATTCATTTGTTGAGGACTTAATTAAAGCTTTCTGACTAATGTTGAACAAAACGCAACTAAAATTTAGAGGACTCATTTATTGACAAAATTAATATTATACAACACTTAGGTTGACTTTAAAGTAGTCAACACAGTTCTATATCTAATCCCCAACGACAGGAAAAAGTTAATGATGAACAAAGAAAGAAAATTCATAGAGCTATATTGAAGTCTTTTTTCAAAAATTAATTTTATATCAGCTTAGTCACAAATTGTTTGTACTTCAATTAGTGTAATTTGGGGGTATATAAAAATATAAATTTTAACATCTGTTTTTACTGAAACCTAAAATGAGTAAAATTAATTGAGAAAAACCAGTCATTTGATCTAAATGAAAAGTCATGGCTGATAGAGTGATATGCATTTGCACCTCTGCAGCTTTATGAGTTAAATCATCATGTTTTTGGTATGTCTTCTAAGAATAACTGTTAAATTTTTTAGTAGAAGATAATACTTCTTCAGCAGATTTATGTCTTTTGCTTTTCCTATAGTCAGTGATATCATTACGATTTCTCCATGGTGGATAGTAAATGCCAACACACACTTTGTACAAGTTCCATGCTCTTATTAACTTTCTTGAGAAATAGAAATTCAGAACTTAAATTTTATTTCAATGCTTATTTTTGTGGCTTTGAGCTGATTGCTGCCTAAATAATTTATTACACAGTAAAAAAGCATCACCTAACATTAAAATAAATAAACTGCTGTAGATCTTCACCATACACTAAAGGACAAAACCCAACAGCAAGAGTATACAGACTTCTTTCTATATGATCCATGACAGGACTGCTGTAACTTTCCACTTCTCCTGCTGAACCCACCGCCTTAATGCAGCTTATAGGCATGGATCATGACACAAGAAACCAGCAAAGGCAAATACTTCTCTCACCACCACCATAGACCACTGGAGCTAGCTTTTCCGAAATGCATATTTTATCAGTGAGTGCCCCACAAACTGTCCTTTAGGAGAACAGTTGTCCTTTAAAGAGAGGCATAAGTTGCCCTTAGAAAGGGTCTAGAAAAGAGATACAGGCTAACACTGGTCATTTTTCAGATTTAACTGTGAATTCTGTCATCCATAACTAGACAAATACCATAGCAGAAGCTAGAAGCACAAAGTACAGGTCTATTAGATCCATTCTGGATTTTTAAAATGTAACTATGACTAATAATACTTCATTAGTAAGAGAGAAATCCAGGACAAATCCTAAAACATATGAAACACCAGAATAGCAGGAGTGATCTGGAATTGTCCTGGGCAAATCCAGACATATGGCCACCCTACTCAAAGGCAATATTTCTTTTCTGTTTGTATTTCACTGTTTATTTAAAGAACCCAAAGCAGATTTGCTGAACTCTGATCCTTCTCTGTTGGCCAGCAGATAATTCCATGGATCATTAGGCCTTTGGTGAAACCTTCAGAAAGTAGCCCTCTTTGGAGTATTCTTTTCTCAGTAACAAAGCCTGGGTGTTAATAGTAAGTGTTGAAATTCGGAGTCAACCTTCCTTCCCATTCTTGGGAGAGATAATCCCATTTGGTTTGATATCAAACTTGAGGTTATTCTGAATATTACATAGTCTAGAAAACTGTACTCTTTTTTACACTGGCTTAATTGGTAGAGATGCTTACTAAATGGAATGAGTTTCATTCAGAGTTAGAGTAATTTCAAAATTATAGCGTTTGCTACAAATAAAAACATGCCAAAGCCTGAAATCCCCAAGTAGGGTTCATATTTTTAACAAATCAGCAGGTACTTGCAACAAAAAAGTGACTTTATTCTGCTGGTCCATTTTACAAATTGTTATCCATTCAGAATATGCTGAGCTCTTTCCAGTCTATCCTTCCAAAACGTGTGTCTTTAACACCTCAGTCCTTCTATGAAGAAAGCCTCTTCTCTTGCAATTTAAGCCTAAATGATGCCTGCTTACTGAAATGTTTTGGGTTAAAAAAAATCTTGTTTGGTTTTATTTTGAACATAATGTCCCATTTGCATTTTCTTATTGTAGCCTGTCACTTCTTATTTCAGAAACTTTTCTTAAGGAGTTCAGAATGGGTTTTTTTTCACCCCGAACATCATTGGTTTATGTGTGTGAGCTGCTATAAAGTGCAGTGATTGCTTAAAAAACACTATAGTTACTTTAAAAAGATGACTTTGATTGTGTGTTTTTTGTTCCGATCACAATAACACTTTGCAGGTGATTATTAAATTAGAGATTTTCTTTGTTTTTCTAACAAAAAAAAAAACACCCTTTTTATGTCAGCGCCAATTGAGCAGTAATTTTTCACATTTTACAAAAGATTTTTCTGTCCTACCTCCACGCCCCTCCCCCAGATAAAGAAGGGCTTTGACATTCTATGACAGGGTGGGTTTTTTGCATACACAGTGCTTTTGACTTTTCTTTTAAAAAAATCTGTTGACTCTATTGAAATGTGACAGGACAATATTTAACCTGAATAGAGGCATGTTGACTCCTCTTATTAAAACTGACAGTTAAGGACGTTTCTCTCTTTATTCCTTCTGATACACGCAGACAAGTCTTCACTGCTAACTAGTATACAAAATCAAAAACAAAAAAATACAGAGCGCAGAGATGACTACCTTATAAACAATATATGAATGACAATCGCAAGTTTAATCTAGCAAAGAAACCTTTTTTTATCCTTTAAGAAAATTAAAGCCCTTTCAAATTAGTTTGACATATGAAGATAGACTGACATCATTGATTTTCAAGTCTTCACTCTTCCTCCTCGGCTGTCTTTCCTCTCGAAGACATGGAATGTTCCGCTAAGCCCTGGACAGGACCACAGCGACACCTACGGAGAGAGCCCAGGGTCTCCTGTGAGGCTGTGTAGAGCTGGAAGTTCTTATTCCTTAGAATTCCCTTGTCTTACTTGCACTCTTGAGACAAAAATGGTGGCCATGGATGTTGTTCCCCAGCTCCATACTGGCACTTGCTCTCTTTGTTTGAAAAAATGGCCGGAAATATCACGCTTTCAAGTTCTTTCCGTCCTGTTGGACCAATAAAGGACTTCATTAGCATAAACGAGGCTTAAGTTCTTTTCAGTCGCACATGAGTGGGCCTCTTGGGAAGAGTACAATTAGAAGCCTGATGCCAACTCTCCAAGATAGACGGGAACCATATGGAATTTAGATGTCTCCGGGTACTTGCCCGCTCTCCTCAGCTTCCACGAGCCAAACCTCTTCAAAGGAATGGTCTGATTCCTTATGTACAATGCACTGGATTTGTATATGACACAGGTGAACTGTCCACAGAGATACAGGATTCTTTCTTTCTTGTCTTTTCTTTTCTTTTCTTTCTTTCTCTCTCTTTTTCTTTTTTTTTTTTTTTTTTTTTTTGCGAGGGGAGGGTGTTATTCAAGGGTTGATCATTGAGTGATTTTGTTGTAACAGAATTTGAGCCATAAAAAAACCATGGATGAGTGCCACTGTCTGATACAGTGCAAGCAAAGTTATCTCTTATTCTCATTTCCATATTCTGTCCTTTGCATTTGTCACCAAGTAAGATTCCATCAAATTTTTCAACACATTGATTGTGGAGAGTCAGAAAAGTAGCAACCTGTTCTATGGTAGTCTTCTCTGTTAACCATGTAGAAGAGTCAGCCTTCTGTGCATGGATATTGATCTGCCCAGTTTGTCTGCAGAAATGACCATGTTTGTCTGATTGTCTTGAAAGGGCTTCCATACCATTCTTAGTAGAGTTAATCCCATTTGGTTTGATATGATCAAACTTGAAGTTATTCTGAATATTATTTAGTCTAGTTAGCTGTACATATTTTTTACACTAACTTAACTGGTAGAGACGGTTACTGAGGCAGCCTGTAGATTACACATGGAAGCAAGTCTAGATTCTTCTTCCTTGAGAAGAGGGACCCCATAGAGCCTCATGGGACCTAATAGAACCTGTGACAAAGGAGACCACCCTCAAGTCTTCAGGTCTAAGAGGTGTGAGAAGACATTAAACACTGGCGTGTCATGGTTCTAGTTTCTGTCCTTTGTGTATGCCAAGATTGCGGGAGAGGTTGGCAAGGATGCTATGGTGTTTTAGTTTGGGTTTCCCCAATAGTAGACCTTAGGGCAAGGATTTGATGTAAGTCATTTATCTGGGAAATCGCCCAGGTTTTTTTTTTTTTTTTTGGTTTGTTTGTTTTTTGTTTGTTTTTGAGATGGAGTCTCATTCTGTTGCCCAGGCTGGAGTATAGTGGTGCAATCTCGGCTCACTACAGCCTCTGCCGCCCAGGTTCAAGCGATTCTCCAGACTCAGCCTCCCAAGTAGCTGAGATTACAGGCATGCGCCATCATACCCAGCTAATTTTTGTATGTTTTTAGTGGAGGCAGGGTTTCACCATGTTGACCAGGCTGGTCTCGAACTCCTTACCTCAAATGATCCACCCACTTTGGCCTCCAGAAGTGTTGGGATTACAGGCGTGAGCCTCCACGCCATTGCCGGCCCAGGTGTGTTGTAAGGGAGGTAGCAGGGAAGGAAGGCAGCCAGCAGTGGGTGTGGTGAAGTGGGCTGGCACCATGAGGAACTGGAATTCCTTCCTCTTGGGGACCCTGTCAGAGACTGGGCAGACTACCCTTCAGAATGGGGCTGTTGAGAGACAAGAAAGATGTTTATCTCTATGTCCTGACCCTTATTAATTGACAGTCATTCCCAGAACTTCAGACCTACCTTCTTCCCTGGCTGAACACACTGCCTCAGCTGAGGAGAGGAGGAAGGCAGTGTGGATGGGAACTGTCTGCTGGTTACTTCTGGGTGCCACATGGAAATATAGTAAAGGAACCAACAGCTCCTGGTATGCATGATTTTCATGGTTTAGAGACTTAGGTGCAGTTACACTTGTGTGTGTGTGTGTGTGTGTGTGTGTGTGTGTGTAGGGGGTTATTCTTAGCATTAAGGTAAAGTATTATGTGCTACGAGGGCAGTGTCACCACTACAACTTTCAAGCAGAGGCAGGGGGCTCTTTTTAGATACAGACGGAAAATTCTTACAACAAGCAGTAGCAAAGAGCTACAGATTCCCAGTTCCTCAGCTGGGCTGTTTTAGCTCTAACTGAATGCAAAGCCAAGATGTTGAAGAATTGAACAACATGGCCACCAGTAACTCACAAGAGTTATCGTATAGGAGACTGAGTTGCGGGCTACACATTACATTTTCTCTTTATGTCAGCTACCATTAGCCCTAGAACAGCAAACAGCACTGTCCAATAGAACTTTTTACAATGATGGGACTATTCTCTATCTGGGCTATCTAATATGGTAGTTGCTAGTTACATGTGGCAATTGCGATTATATTAGTTAGTGCCAGTTGCCATAAGAAAATACAGAAATTTATTTTCTTGCAGTTCTGGAGGCTAGAAGTCTGAGATCAAGGTGTCAGCAGCGCTGCTTTGATTCTGAGGCCTCTCCTTGGCTTGCACACAGGCACCTCTCTCTGGCTCATGTGGTCTTTCCTCTGTCTATGCCCATCCCTGGCCTGTCTTCTCTCTCTCTCTCGAGAAATCCAAATCTCCTTTTCTTATAAGAACGTCAGTCAGATTGGAATTAAGTCCATCCTAAGGACCTCATTTAACTTAATTACCTCTTTAAAGACCTGATCTCCAAATACAGTCACATTTTTAGATGCTGGGAGTTACAACTTCAACATATGAATTATTGGGGGCGGGGGGGGGGCACAATTCGGCTCATAAAAGGGACCAAGGAGCTGAATTTCTAATTTTAATTAAATTCAAATAGCCACATGTAGCTAGTGGCTACGATATTACACAGTGTAGCCCTGGAAGATTTACCCGTTAGCTTTTCTCTCATGAGTCCAGAAAAGTCCATAGCAATGGGGTTTCTCCTTGACCACCAGAGGGATGGTTCAACTGGAACCCCAGGCAGAGAGTTGTGTCCTGATAGTCGTTCACATCAGAATGAGCTATAACTCTTTGGGAAACAGTGACATTCAAGGCTGGAGAAGACAGAAAAGCAGATTCCTGAGGTTGAAGGTAAAGGGTAGAACCATTAGCCAGAGATGGAGTCAGATACCTAGAAATGGGATGGGATGGGATCAGAAGAAAACCTGGAAAAATGCATAATGAGTCCCGTATACTTGCTGCAACTCTGATTAGAACTGGTCTCATTTTATCCCTGAGTTGCCACAATCCTTAATGGTAGAAGAAAAATCAAAACTTGTCATCTCTGGGTAACTCCATCTCTTCTAGTTTAAAACAGTCTGTAGGTGAGATTCATTCTGTTTAGGGTAGATGTTGGGTTAATGAAAGATTTGAGCACCCTTTCATGGAAGGTTGTTTCTCTCCTCTTGAACCATCTAATCCCACCATACTCGGTTACCCCAGTTGTGTCTGCATGCAGGGGAAGAATATTTCTTCTCAATGGTAGCTGAAGGAGAGGGTCCCCAGTATGCCTGCTGTCTCTGGAGGCTCCTCTCTGGCTTGGGTGGGGGGCCCCAGTTGTGCAGCTCTGCTGCCTGCCAGGATTCACCTGTATCTGGCTGGTCTTTTCAGGATCTGTGTTGGTCTGGCCACTGCATCTGGTCCCCTCTCTGGATAGGGTCTTCTTTTCCTCCAGCTCTGCCACTGGTTCCACATCCACCCCTGTGGAGGCCCCTAGTCCTCCTGGATGGCCTGTATTCTCACACAGCCTGTGAGAACTAGGATCCTACCTCTAGTCCTGAGCTTCTCAATAGGGAATGATTTTGCCCTCTCCCCAGGGAATGTTGACAATGTCTGAAGACTTTTTGGGATCCCAACTGGAGGGCAACGTGCTAGTGTGCTACTGGAATCTAATGGGTAGAGACCCAGGATGCAGATATAGTTTGCATATGTGTCCCCCTAAATCTCATGTTGACATGTAATCCCCAGCGTTGGAGGTAGGGCCTGGTGGGAGGTGGGTCCCTCATGGCTTGAGTGCTGTTCTCATGATAGTGGGTGATTTCCCACAAGATCTGGTTGTTTGAAAGTATGGCGCCTCCTCCTCCCTCGTGCTCCCGCTGTTGCGTGTGATGGGCCAGCTCCTGCTTTGCCTTCTGCCATGAGTAAAAGCTCTCTGAGGCCTCCCCAGAAGCTGAGCAGATGCCAGTGCCGTGCTTATATAGCCTTCAGAATGGTGAGCCACTCAAACCTCTTTCCTTTATAAATTACTCATTCTCAGGTATTTATTTATGGTGATGCAAGAACGGACTACTACAGATAGCTTTAAACATCCTACAATGCGTAGGACAAACCCCCAGTGCATAGGACAATCCCCACAGCAAAGGCATGTCTGGCCCAAAATGCCATATTGCTGAGATTGAAAACCTCCTTCTAGTCCATCCTTGCAGATACCACCTTAAACCACTTCCATGCAGTGCTTTGGCAGCAATATGTCCTCTGGGTGCCATGCTTAAAATGAGTACTATTTCAGGAGACTCGCACTTTGTTACACATTTACCCTCACAATTTAAGAGCCAGCCCCACTGTGTTGGAAGGAACTACACACTTATGTGAGGGTTTCTATCACCCCTCGCCCCTAGACTTTCTCTAGAGTTTTGACCCCAAAGGATAAGTTAAGACATTTGCATCTGATCTGTTACCTCCTTCCCCTTATCATTAGTCTATTTGTATTCCTCTCCATGGCTAATCATTTGGGTGCCCCCAAGGTTGGTCCTGTCACATGGAGCTTTTACCTGTCTACCCTCCCCTTGAAGCAATGAAACCTATTTATTTAATGGATGGTGAAAGGAATCCATATAAGGACAAAAATTAAATGGTTTAATATTCTCCAAATATCTCCTTTCCCCATAATGCTGTGGCTTAGTGGGGTGACCACAGAGTTGGTTGGTGAGCATATGGGGCCAGGCATGTCAGGCTGGCATAAAGGTATGGTGCCTGGGTTGATGTCCTGTTTTGTAACTTGAATCTCTCATGGTTTAAAGGGGAAAGCACTGTCCATCCCTACTTCCAAGTGGCTTACATCATGTGCTTAATGTTGTTCTAAACAGTTGCTGAGTTGAGAGAATTAGAGTAGGGGTCAAAGGGAGGACTTAGGTAGCTCCTCAATGCTTTACCATTTTGTTCTCTTATCCCAGGCCCTAAGCAGTCTGCATCCACCCTATTCCCTGATTCCTCCCTCAGCCTACACACACACACACACACACACACACACTCACTCACACTCACACTCTGTTGGAGGTAGTGACAATAAGACCCCTGTCTCTTTGGGGCTCTCAGTTGCTCGCTTTGCCCCTCCCAGTGATGACCACAGTTGGCTCCAAGCTTATCATCTCCTGGGTCTTCCTGCTCTTCCTTTGGCATGGGATGCAGAGGAACTGTCGCCCTCCAGGCCCCGACACATGTCTCCCTCCCTGCTGCCTCAAGGAAACAGGGCCCTTTTGTGGCCAGGACTTGGCAAAGCATGGTGCATTTGAAATCAGGCTGGGCCAAGAAATGCAGGGCTAGTTTTCTTTTTATATATAAAAGCCTTTTTAAAAATCTTTAAATTTGTTCTTCAAGAAGAAATAAACCTTTATTAGACCCTATGTATTGCTGTAAATTTGATTGACCAGATGTTTGTCAGATTTAATATACGCCGGTTAAAAAGTTGCTTTCTACATCTCGACTGAGGCCCTTTCTGGTGAGGAAGGAGCCAGTTTATAGGAAACAATGAAATCATTTTTTACACCTTACAGATGCTCTAATCCCATTACAGACTGAGGTGTTTAAAATTCTTGGTGTTTTCTTGCTTTACTTTTATGGCATGAGTGATTTTGGAGGGAGAAGGCCCAGGCAAGGAAATATTTCAATGAGGCATCCCCCAAGGGGGCCTGATGAGGGGTAGGGGTGGAGGAGGGGATGCATGGAGTGGTTGAGTGTTGTTAAACACTCCTGGAGTTGTGCTTTTAAGAATTCTTTCTGTTTGGTTTGCTTTCCAACTACAACTACTGGCTGAAGCTGAAAGACTGCTAGAACTTTGATTAATGATGCTGAGGTCTTGAGCCAAAACCGAGGAAGTTGCTAGGCAGAGGAATTTGGGGCTAGCTTCTCTCCAGTGCCCTAGACAGAATGTGGCTTCCATAGTTCCCTAAAATTCTATCCTGACAACAGGCTATTCGTGTGTTTCTCAGAAGGGTACCAAACTCAAATGCCTACCAAGGCTGGGCAAATAACAAAAGTGAGCAAGTTAGGCCAGACAGCCCACTGTGGCCAACTAGGCACCCCAAGTCTCACCAAAGGAACAGTGGGGTTCTCAATGATGACACCTGGTTGCCCCATGAGGATGTGAGCTTTGTAAAAAAATATCTCCCAGTTAGCAAACAAAATTCATCTGTGGGTATTTTCTGCCTGATGACCACAGGTTTGCAAATCTTGTTCTAGTAAAATGTGTATCAGTAGAAATAAGTCATGTATTCATTAGTAGTCTCCAAATTAGAATTGCTGAGACTAGTAAAGGTTTTAAATTTTGGCAGCTCACACAGGAGTTGTCAGCCTTTTATTTGGTTATGTGAGGGTATTAAACAGACAGAATTACTATTTATTATCACCAACCTGTTTCATAAAAGAAAGGACATTTAAATATTTTCCACCTAACCTTATTCACCCCTCCCCAGACAAAAGAATAGGAAGGAGGCTGTCTCATACTTAAGGACAGCTTTTTAAGAGGAATCGTTGTGCTTTTATGAAAAAATCATCGAATTATCATTTCTTTTCAAATTTCCCAGTGAACACCTTATCAGAGACCAAAGGCGATCTACTATGCTGCCAAAGCTGCCTCACCTATTGATAATAGTATAGATTGTTTTCTTCAATGCTTAAATAATCAGGGTGTCCTGGGTTTCATCCTCTTCCTCACCCTTCTTGCTGCTGGTAGCTTTTGACCCCTAGAAGCAGAGATCATTAGAGTTGGAAAAATTTTAAAGATCGTTTAATTCAGCCAGTTTATCCTACATTTGAAGACATTGTTTCATGGGTCATATAACTCATTGGCTTAATAACTAGGCCTATAATGATTTGTGTCACACATGAGAGAAATATATTTTTTTAAATTACAAAAATAATACAAGAAAAACAAAGAAAGTAAATATTTCCCCAGTCCTATTTTTATGTGATGACCACTATGAACATTTTGGTGTATATCCTTCTCATTTTTTTTCTAATTGTATTTTGTTTGGGATCCTCCTGCCTGTGCCATTTCATAATCTGTGTTTTCATGTCAACAATACATTGTGAACATTTTTCTTTACTCAATAATCTTCAAGAACACGTTTTAATCGCAGAGCAGCATTAAATTTTATGGCATAACTTAATGTTTATGTTCATACATTCATATTATTTCTCACTTTGAATTTTCTGAACAGCACTGGAATCAATATCATTATAGCTGAAGAATCTACCTTCTGAATATCTTATTTTTCTTATGCCTTTTTTTTGTTTTTAGTACTTCCCAAGATCCCTACTAAACTCTCTACACATAATACAAGTTTGGTTCACCTGTATTCCTAGCCTTAGCCATTTGTAAAGCACTCAGAGAATCAACAGTGAAAGATCAGTCCGTGGCCAATGGGGTTGTGTTTCTCATAGTGGATATTGTTAGGTAATCTGTCTGAAGTAGGATTGAGCCACTTTGGTAAAATGGATGGCGAGTATGGTCTCATTAATGGAAAGGAGAACATTTGCACTATGTCATGGGGCCTTAGCATTTAGCTTGAAGACCACACACTTATCAGGAAGCCATGTGAGAATCAATGGACTCAATACTGAGATGACTGGAAATGTAAGGAAAAGGTTTGGAATTGACCATCCAATTCCACCTGTCTGCTAGGAAAAAGATGGGAAATGACTAGCTCTCTTACTATCTGCTTACATCTTCCTGCATTATTTAAAGAGATACTAAAAATTATAAACTGTACCCTTTCCAGAGAGATTTGGGATCTCTGTAAGATCCAGTTTGCACCAAAATATGGCAAACTTTTTTTGTGAGCCCTTCTTACCCATATCATTGGAGGCAGTTTCATTAAATGTGTCATGGTTTATATCCCCACTCAGAATCTTCTCTCCAAATAGCTCACCTTTACAATTTAGTTCTCTCTTAGAAAAAAAAAGTACACTTTTCTAGAGATCTGGGCATATCTAATTTTCATGCCAGTGTATTTCATAGAGTACGCTGCCTACTGTATTTTGAACTATCTTCTCTGAATGGGAGATGAGAGAAAAGAACTTCTGCATTTGAAAGAAGTTTAATTTTGCTGGCTAAAAATCAGAGCCAAGAGTGAGAAGATTTCCTGGTTCATAAAGTCAAGGTTAATTTTAGGAAAATAGTGCTGGCGTCTCAGATAGCTTGAAATTGAATTCTGACAGTTGGAAGCTGTTTAATGCACTCTTCATTTTTCACAAGCTCAAATGAGCAATGTTCAAGGCATCATCAACCAATCGAGTACCATATCACCCTCCTTGGTTTCTTTGAATCTGTCCAGAACAGAAGTGCCTACTTATTGTCCACTGCTCCATTAGGATGTAGGTTCCATGAAGGCAGGGACCTTGTTCATTTTGTTAACAGCTATAGGCCCAGTACCCAGTTGAGCACTAAGCATATAGGAAGTGCTTACTAGCTGCTGAATGAGCAAATGGATGAATAATGTTCTGTTTTGTTTTGTTTTGCTTTGTTTGAGACAGGATCTCTCTCTGTCACCCAGGCTGCAGTGCAGAGACACAGTCACAGCTCACTGCAGCCTCTACCTTCCGAGCTGAAGCAGTCCTTGCACCTCAGTCTCCCGAGTAGCTGGGACTACAGGCTTGCATCATCACATCTGGCTAGTTTTTGTAATTTTTGTAGAGACAGGGTTTTGCTATGTTGTCCAGGCTGTTCTCGAACTCCTGGGCTCAAGCAATCTGCCTGTCTCAGCCTCCCAAAGTGCTGGGATAACCAGTGTGAGCCATTGTGCCTGGCCCACTAGTGGTATTGTTTATAACTGCTAATAATAATTTCCCTTAGGCATGAACAGATTCCAGAGTTGAGATATTGTTCTCATGGAGCCAGGGTCCATAGCAGGAGAACCAAACATCGCTTCCTTGCCTGCATCTTTGGGACTGCTGAAGAGCAGATGGTGCATGGGTGGGCATGCCGGTTAGGAAGAGGGCTTGGGTGGGCTTCACAGTCCAGTTAGGATTTCTGTTTATTACAGATTCAGATCCTAGCTCACTAATACAGATAAATGGTCAGCAAATCCAAGGACTGGGGAATCAAGAGCTGACACAGGGCCAGACAGGATGATGTAAGAAAATATGGAGGAAGAAGGCTGGGTGGCTCACACCTGTAATCCCAGCACTTTGGGAGGCCAAGGTGGGCAGATCACCTGAGGTCAGGAGTTCGAGACCAGCCCGGCCAACATGGTAAAACCCCATCTCTACTAAAAATACAAAAATTAGCTGGGTGTGGTGGCTCACGCCTGTAGTCCCAGCTCCCTGGGAGGCTGAGGCAGGACAATCGCTTGAACCCGGGAGGCGGAAGTTGCAGTGAGCCGAGATCCCGCCACTGCATGCCAGCCTGGCGACAGAGTGAGACTCTGTCAAAAAAAAGAAAAAGAAAGAAAAAGAAAATATGGAGGAAGAAGAACTTGGTTCTTCTTATGGAGGAAGTGGTGAACTGGGAAACATAGACCCTGCCCAGAAGCATTCAAATTCAAGTTTTAAAAATATTATGAGGCCAAATAAAACACTTCTGTCAGCCACACGTGGCCCCTAGGCTGTCACTTTACAATCACAGAATAAATCCAGTGCCTTATTTTTCTGATGAAAAAGTTAGGGATATTAACTTGGAAGGACAACAGATAAATAATCTGTTCTTTTCTGAACAAGGAGAACAAAAATGAACCTTGTACCCTAGATTTCCTAGATGTTTTCATGCTTTTTGCAGTATTAATAATTATCAGTAATCGTTTGTTGAAAGAAATGGCTCACTGTAGAAAATTTGGAAAAAATGGAAAAGTATGAGAGAAAACAAAACTAACTATACAATTATCACACAGGGATAACCCCTTTTTCTAGTGGTTATAAGTAGCAGTCTCTTAGAGTTTTTCCAATATATCCATAGAGTCTTATGGACATCACAGAATTATAGAAAATTGAGGCCGTGCCATAAAATTTGTTTCGTTTAACTCAACATTATAGTATATTTTCCTGCATCAATAAATACTACTTTAAAAGCATGATTTAAAAGGGCTACATGACATTTTATCATATGAATGGACCAAATTTTATGTCACCATTTAACAGTTAGCTACGGAAATGGACATTTAGGTTCTATATAATTTTTCTCCCTTTTAAATGATAGCGAGATAAAATTCTTCATACATACATCTATAGGTAATTTTTGTGATGTTTATGATCAATTCCCTAACACTGAAGTATATTGCCAAAGAGTGTAAATATTTTTAAGAGTGTTGATAAATGTTGCCAGATTGTCACTCAGGAAGGGTGTTCCTTCGTATACCCCTAAAGCCCGTGTCCACAACTCTTTTTCCACACTAGAGATTGTCGTTAAATAATGAAACATGAAACTTTGCCAGTGTGTTAAAAAGAAATTGCTATAATTTTGCCTTATTTTCCATCTCATTGATTATTAGTACTTATTGGTCCATTATATTTCTCCTTTGTGAACCTTATTTTGTTGAGATTGCCTGTTATTCTATGGGTTACTCATCAATTTCACAGATATTTATTACATGGCTTGTAGGTAACAAGTACTGTTCTTGTAGTGGAAGATAGCCGTGAGAAAAACAGCAAACATCTGTTGTTTGAAGAATTAAATGAAATAACTTTAGGAGGCGGAGGCAGGCAGATCACCTGAGGTTGGGAGTTTGAGACCAGCCTGACCAACACGGAGAAACCCTGTCTCTACTAAAAATACAAAATTAGCTGGGCTTGGTGGTGCATGCCTGTAATCTCAGCTACTCAGGAGGCTGAGGCAGGAGAATCGCTTGAACCCCGGAGGCGGAGGTTGCAGTGAGCCGAGATCGCGCCACCCATTGCACTCCACCATGGGCAATAAGAGCAAAAAATAAAAAAATAAAAAAATAAATAAATGAAATAATGCCTATAATACCCTTAACACTGTATTGCCTGACTCATACAAGATTTCAGCGAGTTATTTTCCATCATTCTTGGTGTAATTGTAAGAGTCTTATAATAGTAGCATCAGCTACTATTTTGGGAGCAGGTTGTTTCTAGAAGTTTTATTGAGTTGGCTAGCAATGACCCAGGTGTTCCTAAGCATGTGTGTGAACCTCATATAAATACATTTATCAAAAGCCAAATTCAGTGTAACCAGATTCCAAAATGCTGGTGACCACGCAGGTGCCACCTGACATAATGGGAGGAATAACTGGGCCAGCGTGAGAAGAGACAGCAGCCTGATCTCACTGCTTCACATATGTTACTTTTGCAAACTTTGCCAAAACATAGATTCTTACTATGGTTCACCTTCCTCTGGGTGGGATAGATGATAAGTGCTTGACTGGTATCACTCAGACTCAATACTCAGATGGGATCATTGAAGCACAATTAGAAAGTGAAAGTTCAAAGTGACCAAGATTCTTATTTATCGTTCTTGATACACAGGGAGATTTGAATCCAGTGTACACTGCCTGTTGTAGCTGAACATGTGACATCAAGGGTGACAAAGAATCAGGCAGCCTTAAGCAGAAATACAAGTTTAATGGAACTTAAACCTTACCCTGATGTAATACATTTCATATGATCTGACGGAGGAGGGCTGGTTTTTGTTTTTAAACATGATTCAGGCCAGGCGCAGTGGCTCACACCTGTAATCCCAGCACTTTGGGAGGTCGAGGCGGGCAGATCACGAGGTCAGGAGTTTGAGACCAGCCTGGCCAATATGGCGAAACCCCGTCTCTATTAAAAATACAAAAATTAGCTGGACGTGGTGGTGTGCGCCTGTAGTCCCAGCTACTCAGAAGGCTAAGGCAGAAGAATCGCTTGAACCCAGGAGGTGGAGGTTGCAGTGAGCCGAGATTGTGCCACTGCACTCCAGCCTGGGTGACAGAGCGAGACTCTGTCTTAAAAAAATAAATAAATAAATAATAAATAAATAAATACATAAACAAACATGATTCAGCTCATGGTCTGGCTGTGTAAGGTAGCACCATGTGAATTCCAGGTCTCCTACCCTCAGCTAGATTTTAGTCCCTCTAAATTTGTCCCTTTGCAAATGTCCCTGCCAAACAGGAGCAGGGAGGGAGAGACTTGTGTGCTTGTTGTTGTTTTTATTTAGTTTTATTTTTTGAGACAGAGTCTCGCTCTTTCACCCAGGCTGGAGTGTGATGGCAAGATCTTGGCTCACTGCAACTTCCACCTCCTGGGTTCAAGTGATTCTTCTGCCTCAGCCTCCCGAGTAGCTGGGATTACAGGTGCCTGCCACCACGCCCGGCTAATTTTTATGTTATTTGTAGAGACAGGGTTTTGCCATGTTGGCCAGGCTTGTCGCGAGTTCCTGGCCTCAAGTCATCTACCCCCTTTGGCTTCCCAAAGTGTTGGGATTACAGGCGTGAGCCACCGTGCCCAGCTCACTTGTGTGCTTTTAAGAGTAGGTTCTTGTATTTGGAGAATGGAGAGATGGAGGGGCTGGGAGGAGTGGAGAAAAGATAACACGTTAGGGTTTGAATTTGTATGAGAATAAACATCCTTTCAAGGAAGCACCACTTGGAACAAAACATCACCACATCCTCGCCTGTAACCAAGAGCAAACAGGCCGCTTTTCATTCTGCATAGTGATGGCTGTTGTGCTCTTTACACCAGAGCCACAGGCTGGAGGGCTGCATGCAAAGTGTGGGTAATTGTGCAGTTCTGGAACTGCACAATGTCCGCCTCTGGAACAATGTCTCGTAAAAATCTTAAGCGGCTATCACTTTTCATGGCTAATGAACTGGGGAACTGGGAATGAGATCTAGAGCCAATTCTTGGATTAAGTCTTCTAAGCCTCAAACAAGGCTGCGTTTAGGAACTGGGGGGAAGAGAGAGGTCCGAACTCGGAGATGAAGGAGAGTAAGCTCCAACCCTCCTCGGAGCCTAGCAACCTGCTTGAAGAGCTCACCAAGGACCAAGCAAGTGGGGACATGAATATCAAAAGGCTTGTTTGAGCGTCAAAAATGCATTTAGTGTAGTTTTCCATGTGATTTCTAAGAGGCTTGTTCTCATCTTAAGAAATATTTGAGGTTAGGTATATTTACATTCACATGCTGATTAGTAACCAGACAGTGGTGGCCTCCAGTGACCAGTGAGGAGGGCACTGGGGCAGGGAGTATCAGGAAACTTCTGGCACAAAGGGAATAAGTCAAATGGGAATCGGTGGTCTCTGTTACAGGTGGGTGGTCTTTGGAGAAAAGAGTTTCAGGGCAGATTCCATCCTGTGATGCACACATACAAGTAAGTAAATAAATAAGCAAACAAATAAATGCATGTCCTGTTTCTTTTTATTCCACACTAAAGACAATATCTGCAGGTGCATTAGCCCCCTGGGGAGAAGTGACAGCAAGCTAGAGCCCAGGTATAACTGCGTTCAGAATAGTTCAGGTAGGTCCCAACTACATCTCTGTCTTTCATCTGGTTTTCTTCTTGAGATACTGCAAATTTCCTTTTCTTCTTTTATTTTTTCTGCTGTTCTATGGCGCTTGCACTCATTTCCAAAGAAGGATGTGAACATTCTTTCATATGGCAAGGTGAAAATAATTTTATTTTCATCGCTTCCCTTACCTCCCCCTACCCCAACCTTATGATGGATTTACTTGAAAAAAAATAATGACGGGGCTTCACAAACTGGCCTGACAGTTGTGATGCAGAGAGCGAGCCGGCTGAGTAGGGACGGTGAGGCATCTCTGTACCTATTATGGCAAAAATCGATAATGCTTTCTGTAAATTGCTCCTCCCAAAGGAGCCGAACAAATGCAGAAGACAGGGGAAGCCATCACTCTGTGTGAAGGCCCTGCACGCTCGGACCGGTTCAATTATGAACAGGAGGGCGGTTAGGTCTGTGCGTGCGTGCATGCGTGTGTGTGTGTGTGTGTGTGTGTGTGTGTGTGTGTGTTCAGAGTAAGAATTCTGGGGGAGAAGGAACTTACTCATCATAAAATTTTAATTGTTCTCTTAGGTGCATCCTTCCATCTGTCCTTGAGAGGTGGGAGGTCCTGAGTCCTAGAAACCCTAGAAAATCCTTTGGAAGTTGCAAGGGGTGGATTAAGGAAAATAGCCCGTCTTTTTAATTGCGATTTCCTGGCCAGCAGCTTAATTGTTGTGGTGCTTTTCTAGAAACTCCCTTATCCTGGCTGTGGAAATTACATGCTGAATCTGTGGCTGTAAACAATCTTGTATATTTGGGCTGTGTTAGAATTTTCTTTACGTTCCAAATCTCTCATTTTAGTGATCTTTGAAAAGATAATATATCACAAATCCCTTGAGGGACATTTTTTTTTTCTGTAAGTTTATGACTCCTTCCCAGCCACCCATTCCCTCCCCTAAACTGCAAAAGAAATGGAAGTCATTTCCATAATGATGGTTCTTGTGGGCCATGGCTATATTTACTTTTTTTCTTAGCAGGAGGAGCGTAAAACTTAATTACTGCCATGAAACACAAGTTGATGGAAATAGACAAAAGACGTCAATAAAATAATTTTTCAAACAATGTGTAGGGTTAGGGAAATGGAGCACCTGGAATGCAAAGGTTTTATGCAGGTGGTTGTTTAAAAAATTAAGATGTAGAGGAAATATGCTGTTAGAAAGACCACTGGATTTGGAGCCAGGAGACCTAGAGCTTTAAAGACTAGCTATGGGCCAGGCACAGTGGCTCATGCCTGTAATCCCAGCACTTTGGGAGCCTGAGGTGGGTGGATCACGACGTCAGGAGTTCAAGACCAGCCTGGCCAAGATGGTGAAACCCCGACTCAACTAAAAGTACAAAAAAATTAGCAGGGCATGGTGGCGGGCACCTGTAATCGCAGCTACTTGGGGGGCTGAGGCAGAGAATTGCTTGAACCCTGGAGGCAGAGGTTGCAGAGAGCCGAGATCGCACCATTGCATTCCAGCCTGGGCAACATAGCGAGACTCTGTCTCAAAAAAAAAAAAAAAAAAAAAAAAAAAAGACCAGCTGTGGTACTTGCTAACTTGATGATCATAAGTTTCGGCCTCAGTGTCTTCATCTATAAAATGGGATGGTGACACCTCCATAAGCTCTCTCACAGGTTGTGAGGAAGTTATATGAAAATCCATTGCCAGCATGAAGTTGTTATAAGGATGTAAATTATTGTTGGCATTAAAGAAGATACGCAAGTCTACGTCCGTGTGGTAATTGAATGAGACGGTCAACTGGGTCTGTTCATAGCCATACTATGCCAGCATGCTTGATTTCATTTGGATGCTCTTCACTTTGATGCTCTTCAGTGAGGTCAATTTCCTGTGGGGCATGAGGCTCTAAGAAACCTAGGTCTCAACCCATGTTGAGGTCAAGCAGGCACGTGATGGGAAATGAAACTGCAGGGATGCCGGCAGTCAGAATTTTAGCCGAGAACCATCATGTGACACAAGTACAATTTCTAGTCATCCAGCTTGACCCGAGCAGGCAGATTGGGAGCAGATGCTATATGCTCAAATGAGAGGTAGCTGCAACTTCATGGGGGTAGGGAGGGCAGAGAAAAAGGAAGCATTTTTAAAAGGCAATGAACGATTCTCAGAGAGAGAGAGACCCGGACTTTATCCGAGGAGATGAGACTCTAGCATAGTTTGCAGTTGCTTTGTTAACCTGTTTTTGTTTAAATGAGCGGGAGCAGGACTAATAGATTACCATGTGAGAGGAGCTGGTATGAATTTCTGAGCAGGAAAGTGAAAAGCAGCAAGGAACAGATGATGAGACAAAAGGGAGACTACACCAAGACTAAAGTTTTGGAAAGGAGGGGAAGTGGATATTTTGGAAAACATCAAAAATAATCGTAGTCTTCATGACCCAAGGAAACCACACAGTAATGGTGGAAAGCATGTTCTAGCTGATCAGGAAGTTGGGAATAGATGCTAACACACATGTTGAAATGTTAACACACACGTGCAGACGTCTCCATGCCATAAAGCATTTGAATACCCAGGCAGGAAGAGAATCGGGAGATGGGGTGATTCGGAGGACACTGGGCTGGATGGAGACTTGAGGACACAAATACCTTAGGAAGACATAAAGCTAGTGGAATCCTACCATGCTGCTAGGACTCCCAGATCTAGCCAGTCTCTGTAGAGAAAGCATCTGAAGTTGAGGCAAATGGAGTCCCCTAACCCGTGCTTGGGAATGGAGATGTGTCCTTTCCAAGGGAAATGTTGTCTGACATCTGCCCCCTGCTGGAAGCAGCTGCCTTGCTTCCTAAAGATGGGGGAGAGCGAACAATTGCAGGAAAAAAAAATTGACCTATTAAAGTCAATAAGCCCAGGATCCTAATGTATCCAACTGCATCTGAATAGCGTATGAAAATTACCAAAATTGTCTTTTAAAACCTACTGATGTGGGTCACCCAAGCAGCATGCTCCCAGTTGTTAATAATTAATACTGAGCATCCTAGGGAGGAATCACTGTGGATAATTGTAGCCAGTAAGTACGAGTCTGGCAGCCCAGTGTGCCGCGGGTCAGAAAAGGGCAGTGAGGAAGGGATCATACATCAAGCTGGTGCCAGCCGCTGGGTATCGGTGATCTGCTTCCTCTGGCTGTACTTATTCTTCTGATGCGAAAGCCTTCTAAACAAGGCTGTGAATTGGTTTTCATGCTCGCATTGACAGATTGGGAAAGCAGTTTGTTCTACCAAATTTAACAATGATATATCATTATCACAACTTTGGGGGAAATCTATAAAATCAATAAGTTTGTAGCCTGAACAGGATTTGTATCGCTCGCTTGCTGTGCTGGTGTCAAAGCGTGAGCATATGGATTGAGTCACAGCCTGAGATCAATGGAATTTGTGGACAGTAAGCTCAATAACAAGCCCTTCTGAAAAGAAATAGATGTAAAAAGCAAATTTACTAGAGTATAAAAAAAAAAAAAAAGCTAATATCTTTTCTGTGCCTGGCTGTAAAGTGCTGTTTGGCTGCCGTTGGCTGCGGGTACTTTGAAAGCTGTCTGGAGTATGTGCCTGCAATTCCGAATGCTGCTGCGCCAGCTTCATGCATTGCATGGACAGTTGGGTGCTTCTATTTGCAGGGTTTGTGCTAGGAAACTCGCCAAGAATAGGAGGAGGAGGAAAAATAGCCCTTTATATTATAAACTGAATAAAGAATAAAAACAGTCAGTGTGTCTGCTGGGGAAAGACCACGGTGGCTTTATTTACTTTGTGCTGGTAGGACTTGCTAATGGAGAAAAATAAAAAGGCATAATTAAATAGTTTAATGAATTCGCAGCTCTTTTGTTTGAGTGGGACGGGAATGCATGTTCCGGAGAGGCCTCACAAAAAGCTTGGCTGGTAGTGAGTTAAAAGTAGGAAATCAGTTCTTTGAAGGCATTTTTATACTTCATTATCCCAGCATGTAAAATGACTTGTACTAAACGATTGGGGATTTTATTTTTCACTCTCTCTCTCTTTCTCTCCTTTTTCTAAACAAAAGAGAGCATGGGGTGGCTGGTGTCTAATTCCACTCCAGGTTCCAGAGCTGGAGATCAGCCCATTACCAGGCTGGTGGGCCAGCTCCTGCATATGGGAAAGTCCAGGGCTCTGAGCAATGCGGAGCCCCCATCAGCAGACAGCCCACCCTGCAATGTACATAGGACCTCAAGCTAGCGCAAATGGCCTGTAGTCTCTCCAGCATGAGGCAAAGTTATTGCCTATTGCTGGGCCACAAACTGGGGTGTCCTTTATGTTGTGTTTTCTGGGCAGCCAAGATTATATATCCCCCCTCTTACGGTGAAAACAAAGAAATACCTAGGGTGAAGGAAGCTGATTTTGCAGAACACTGATGCTGATTCTCAGCCCTGACTTGGTTTCCTTTTGTACTGTGGAGAGAATATGCTCCACAGTACAAAAGAGGGCAAGTCCTTCAGGAAGGCCAGCTGCTTCCAGACATGGCCACCTGCCCTTGCTCTGGCCACCAGATTCCCATGCTCAAAGAAGCCAAATGGGCACTGAGAGGCTCATAAGAGGTAGGCATGTCCCTCCAAATCAAGAGTCACACAGGGCTTGTGCTCCCTGAGCAAACTGGGAGAAAATTACACCCGAGAAGGATAACTTTAGCCTGCAACCTGGGCAGGGGCTGGGGAAGGGTCAGAGATTTCAGAGGCCTGGGTTTGAATTGAGATGTTCCCTGATAACCCACTGAGGAGAAGGCCCCAAGGAGAGGACAGCCTTTGTCCCCAAGGAAGAAGGGCAGCTTGGACATCTGACGAGGAGGCAGGCAGAGCTTGGTGGCAGAGGGCAGCCTGGGATATCTCTGCCCAGGCACGGGCCTTCGTTTTTTTTTAAAACTGCAGCTGGTTTGTTGAGCACAAGCTCAACCTCACAAACTTGGTGGCGACAAAGCTGGGGAAAATAAGGCCCATGATGAACCGGGGGTTTTCTTAGGCTCAGGACCAGACCTCACCATTCCTCCCTCATCTCTCCATCCTCCGTATGAGCCACAGGTATAAAGAGAGCAGAATGGTTGTTTATTCAGTGACTCGATGATTTCAAGTGATTGATGCATTCCTGCTTTCTTTTGCTTCCCCTTCTTTCCTGCCTGGGCTGTTTGGGCTCAGGGTTTCCCAGAGAGTGTGGCCAGGGCCAGGGCCTCAAGGGCTGTAGGTGGGGCTGGAGGGCCCCTTTATAGATTTGCTGTGAGATCTCTTCCAGCCAGAGAGAGAGCTCTCTCCTGAGCCTCCTGTGGCAACACTTGGAAGGTAACAGGAAAACAGCCCAGCTGAGATGGCTCTAGGTGACACACCTAATCCATCTTTGGAGGGGAAAGGCCCTCTTGGGTCTGAAAATAATTATTGTTTCTTTCCATCAGCCTCTTATTTTTTCTCCTCTCTCTGTGTCTGCTGTACTTGCTTTCAGTTTTGCTTCCAAATCTAGAGGTGCAGTGTGATTTTCTGGCTGAGTGGTGTCTGCCTCAGTCATATATCTGCACCCCCACTTCAGAAGACTGCTTCTTGGTGACCCCTTGGCTCTGTCACCTCCAACATATGGAGTCAACTGCCAGCAGCGGGCCATTTCCATTCAGTGATTTTGCCAGATTCAGAGATTTGCATTTATAAAGTCTCTCTCTGCCTTATTTGCTTATAACAAGGCTCACTGTTCGTTTCTTGTTAAGTTTTATCTCATAAACAAATATTACTATGGGAGTCCCAGCCAATAATTATTAAATCCTGACTTCTTTTTATTTTCTTATACCGAGAATGCGTTGACTATAAATGCACAATTTAAACTTCACGGGATGGTTTTTTTTTGGCCCACCTCTCTGGAGAGTAGAGGGTCCATCTGTGTGTGGGGACTTGAAATATCAGACCCATATACATAAATATCAGACAGAGAGTGCATTTTGGGGAGAGGGAATGGATACAGTTAAACCCTTCAGTTAAATAAAACAACCCCCAAATGGACAAGGTCTGTGTTCTTTCGTCTTCTTTGATTTGGGTACTGAAAAGCATGAAAGAAATTCCTTTCACAATTAGCTCTAACTTTTGAATTACAGCACGTCTTTCCGTATAATGACCAGGCTGTGCAGTAATTTACAGCCAGTCCCTGGCCTTGCTGAGTAGCAGGGAAATGCTGTGGAAGTGACTGTTAATATTGATCAGTGAGGGCTAGAGAGAGTTGGAGACCCTCAGCACGGCCACTTAAAGTGGGCAGGAAACCCAAATTGACCAGTAATAAAGTGTGTGAGGTTGTACAAGGCGACTCCTGGGAAACTGCTGCTCCGAGAAGGGAGGCCGGGGGTCGAGGGGGAAGCTGTCAATTATTCTTGTTTGATGCCCAGTTACTGAGCAGGACACAGCGGCTGTGAGCCTGTGGCCAGAGACAACGGGAGGCAGGTGCTGGCGGATCCTGCTGGAAAGCCACCTTTGTCAGTGTGGGAAGCCAGGTGTGGGTCTCTCTCTACATTCCATGGAGGTTCAGAGAACTGAAGCTCACCCATTGCAGTGGCCTAGTTTTATTTTAGGGAAGGGGTAAAAACTCAAGCGGTGCAACCTCTCCCCGACTTCTGTGTGGACAACAGTTGATGACTGAACTTTGGTTTTGGTAATTACTGGAGTTACGGGTGCGAAAGAATAGAATCTGAGAAAGACAGATTTGGGGGTGAAAATTAGCTTCTGTTACAGGCTTTGGACATAGTTAAAAATGGGTAAGAGGGAGGCTGTGGCTTTTTCCTAAAACCTTTAAGTCTCATTTAAAGTGACCACATGATCGTTACCATTTACAGATCTTTAATAAGTATAACAGCTAAATGGGAGGCTCTGATTTAAATGCTTAATGCATCCATTCATTTATTTAATTTTTATTTCTTAATTGTTTTGTTTTGTTTTGTTTTTGAGACAGAGTTTTGCTCTTGTTGCCCAGGCTGGAGTGCAATGGCACAACTCACTGCAACGTCCACCTCCCAGGTTCAAGAAATTCTCCTGCCTCAGCCTCCCGAGTAGCTGGGATTATAGGCGCCCGCTACCACACCAGCCAATTTTTTTGTATTTTTAGTAGAGATGAGGCTTCACCATGTTGGCCAGACTGGTCTTGAATTCCTGACCTCAGGTGATCCACCCACCTTGGCCTCCCAAAGTGCTGGGATTACAGGCATGAGCCACCACGCCCGGCCAAAACCTATGTATTTATGATGTACAACTTGTTGTTTTAAAATATGTATACATCATCGAGTGGCTCCATTGACCTAATAACATAGGTGTTATTTTACATACTTACCATTTTTTCGTGTGGGGTGAGAACATTTAAAATCGACTCTTTTGGCAATTTTGTAGGATACAGTACATTGTTACTGTCTATAGTCATCATGTTGTACACTAGATCTCTTGAAGTTATTCTTCCTAACTGAAATTTTGTATCCTTTGACCCACATTGCCCTAAACCCTCACCCCCAACCCCCAGTAATCACCATTCTACTCTCTACTTCTATGAGTTTGACTTTTTTAGATTCCACATATAAGCGACATCATGTGTATTGTGTTTCTGTGCCTGGCTTATTTCACTCAGCATAATACCCTCCAGGTTCATCCACGTTGTTGCAAATGAGAGGGTTTCCTTCTTTTTTAAGGCTGGATAGTGTTCTGTCGTCTATATAGACCATTTCTCTTTTTTTCTTTTCTTTTTTTTTAAGAGACAGGATCTCTCTCTCTCTCTCTCTCTCTCTCTCTGTCACACAGCCTAGAGTGCAGTGGTGCAATCATAGCTCACTTTAACCTCCAACTCCTGAGCTCAAGTGATCCTCCCACCTCAGCCTCCAAAGTAGCTGAGACTACAGGTGCACCCCACTAGGCCTGGCTAATTTTTCTTTTCTGTAGTGATGAGGGTCTTGTGCAGGCTGGCATTTTCTTTCTTTCTTCATCTGCAGATGGACTCTTAGGATGATTTCATGTCTTGGCCATTGTGAATAATGCTGCAGTAGACATGGGAGTGTGTATTAACCCAAAACAACCTTGTGGAGATAGGTACCGAAGAAGGTCAGGAAATGACACCCCAAAATATGCCGCTTTACAGATCCTCCAAAGGAAAGTAATTGTCATGGATTCCCTCCCCAGGCACCTCATCAACGAGGGAAGATAAATACGTATCATGGGAGAGGAGACGGAAAGTGAGCGCCATGTCCAGGCAGACTTTGTTATGCTCTTTCTCCTATTCTTCCGAGAGCCCATTCATCTTTTCCCAGATTTCCTCTCCCCTAAGTTACCTACATCCCCCGCTCCTGTCCCCTACAAAGAGGATAAATAAGCTTCTAGATCTCACTGTGTTTAGGGGTATTCACTTTTTTTTTCTGTCCTGCCCCCATGCACATGATAAATCTGTATACCTCTTCTCCTATTCATCTGCCTGTTATGAGTTTATTTTATTGATTCAATTACAGAATTCTCAGAGGGTAGAGGAAAAATATTCCTTATTTCTTATTATAATTCCACTGAGGGAATGGAATGTGATAACAGTTCTGATGGTAATCCTACTACTTAGGAGAATGAACTAGAACATTCTTCTTGGGCCAAGACCAAGCTATAGATGAAGAGTTTGTGAGAAATATTTCTTTTACCCCCAGTAATTATTTCTGGAGTAATAGATTTCCTTTAATGAACCTGTGTCATACAACATCATTTGGGATTTATGTTATTAACCTTCCAATTCACTGAGTTTTTGTTGCTTTTGTTTTACATCAGCGGTGTATTCTTAATTGAGAAGTGAGTGATTTAGTTAAAGTGAATATTGAATAATCAACTAAAAATAGATGATTGTCATCAATTTAGTAAGATTAAAAGATCAAAAAGTATTGATAAAACGGAGACTTCAATGATTTCTCCAGTAATTCTACTTTCTGTGTCTTGCCATATGGTCACTCAAGGGTTGTTTGCTAAGTTACAAATCTCATGCACAACCATTTGGGAATTCTTCCAATAATTGTAAATACTTCCCCCCCCCACCACACCCAAATTATGAAACATTTCAAATGTACCACAAAAACCACAGGGATTAACATCTATCTCTACCACCCAGCTCTGCCAAATCTGAATATTTTGCCACAGTTGTTTCAGACCATTTTTTTCTATAATATAAAAAGTTTCAAGTCCATTGGAAATCTCCTGTGTGTGCCTCTTCAAGCTCTCAGTTCCTTCCTCCCCGCTCCTCCGTCTCCCAAGAATTAATCCTTCTTCTGAATCTGCTATTTATCATTCTCCACTTTTTTTTCTTGCCCATGTTTGCCACTTTAAATGGCATGTAGTTTTGTTTCTCCTGTTTTTTTTTTTAAATTTTATTATTATTATACTTTAAGTTTTAGGGTACATGTGCACAACGTGCAGGTTTGTCACATATGTACACATGTGCCATGTTGGTGTGCTGCACCCATTAACTTGTCATTTAGCATTAGGTATATCTCCTAATGCTATCCCTCCCCCCTCCCCCCACCCCACAATAGTCCCCGGTGTGTGATGTTCCCCTTCCTGTGTCCCTGTGTTCTCATTGTTCAGTTCCCACCTATGAGTGAGAACATGCGGTGCTTGGTTTTTTGTCCTTGAGATAGTTTGCTGAGAATGATGGTTTCCAGCTTCATCCATGTCCCTACTTAATGTTACATAAATGTTATCATAATCTAGGTCTCCATCCACAACTTGCTTTTTTCAGTCCTCATTACATTTTAAAAATATACCCATGTTGATATGTTTAAGACTTGAACTATGTAGTCTATTCTGAAGGCCTGTTTTCTAAGTAAATTTACCATCATTCCCTCAGACTATGGGTAGACATGTTTTGCTTGGCTCCAAGTAAAGGGGTTACCCTGGCTGGAGAGTGGTTTCAGCTTAAATCACAGGGAAAGAGCAAATACTGAGGAAGTTAGCCAGAAAGGGACTTGTAAAAATTGGCTGATGACTTCAAATAAGTTGAATTAAATATTTAAAAATCTTTGATGAATTCAAGACATAGTGAGTTATGTAATAAAGTATACTGGCTGCTCAATTAGCTTGTTAACTCCTAATTTAGTTTTATCCAGCTTCTTTGATTTAAAAACACAAAACATTGATTCAACAAATATTAAACTCCTACTGTGTGCAATACACTGCCAGGGCCCTAAAGGAGAAAGAAATCGTTAAAGTAAGAATAGCAGAAGACAAGTAACTCATGGAGCAGTCATAATAAGCAATGCAGAGGAGGCTGTGTGACAAAGCAGTTTGCTCATTGAAGCAGGGTTCTGGGTGGAGGGTGGGGGAACGGAAGATGATACACTGAAAAATTGGCATAGGAGATGGCTTTTGAAGGATGGGGAACTATGTTTCTCATAAAGAAAACATCTTTGGCAAAGACACAGAGGCAGAAAAGCTCTAGACTGTTATGGGACCAGCAAGTTTAGTTCATCAGATCTTCTGGGGCATGAAGGCGAATAGGTGGGAAGGGCTGTGATGAGAGATTGGGCTACACCACGGAGAGCCTTGAATATTATTTCAAGGTTTCTCCGCAGTAGCCCCTGTGATGCTCTTCAGGGCCATGGATGAAAGATGATTCCAGAAATGATCAGAAATGATTTTTCTCTTTTTTTTTTTTTTTTTTGAGATAGAGTTTCGCTCTTGTCACCCAGGCTGGAGTGCAGTGGTGCGATCTAGGCTCGCTGCAACCTTTCAAGTTCAAGTGATTCTCCTGCTTCAGCCTCCCGAGTAGCTGGGATTACAGGCGCCTGCCACGACACCCAGCTAATTTTTTGTATCTTTAGGAGAGATGGGGTTTCACCATGTTGGCCAGGTTGGTCTCAAACTCCTGACCTCAGGTGATCCACCCGCCTCAGCCTCCCAAAGTGCTGGGATTACAGATGTGAGCATCCACACCCAACAACGATTTCTTTCTTTTTTTCTAATTCTGTTTATTTTTGTAGAGATGAGGTCTTACTATGTTGTCCAGGCTGGTCTCAAACTCCTGGACTCAAGCGATCCTCCCACCTCAGCTTCCCAAAGTGCTGGGATTACAGGTGTGAGTCACTGTGTCCGGCCAACTCCAGAAATGATTTCTGGGTGGCTTAGAGGCAGAGGACACGAGAAGCTGTGAATCCACTCAGGAGGCCCTTACAAGAGTCTCTGTGAGGTATAACAAGAGTCGGACCATTACAGTGTCAGAGGAACTGTGGCAAAAAATTGAGAGGAACCTATCTGAGGCTGAATGTATAGGGCCATAAATTGGATATGGGTCCATGAGGGTTGGAAATCAGGGATTCTGAGGCAGGCTTACTAGGAAAACATTAATTCTTCAGCAAAAACAGGGAAGATAGAAAGAGTAATGATTTGTGGAGTGGAGAGAAGAGAGTGGATGGAATTGTTTGGATCACACTCAATGTTAAAGCACAGGGCAGGGCAACTCAGTGAGTATGGGTTTAGAACTTAATAAACGTGGAGGAAATGCATGTCTAGCTAAGGACTCAGTTGCTCCAGGTGAGAAGATGCAACACCACAGAAAACAATATGGAAATATTTCAAGGCCTTATAGGAAATATGGCCACTCAGGAATTGAAGGCAGTAGCAAATTCTGTTGGGGCTTATCCATTTCTTCTCGCCTTTGCAGCATCAGAGTATACTGGCCCAAGGTCCAATGGCCAGCTCCTGCTTTATCTGGCCTTTGGGGTTTACTTTGCTGCTCTCACCCTCTCACCCTGGACCAGAAGTGCCAGGGATTGAACCCCCGCATTGGGAGACTCCTGCAACCAGTGACTGAGGCGAATCTGTGTAATGATGGGTTGGAGCCAGCTCTTACTGGCTTGCATGCTCTGATTGCTACATTTTCAGGAATTTTGCATATTGGTTGCTAAACACGGCCATTATTAAACATTAAGTGACACACATTTATAATTAAATTATATTAAAAGCAAAGATAATAATCACTTTGTAATTATTTTACTACATTTTACTATTCTGTATGCTCTTGTCTTGAGGTTACGTCTTTTGTGAGTCGGAAATACTATTGAATGGTGTTTACACTTCTCTTCCCAACTCCATACTCAATGATGTTATGTTGCTGGGTTGAAATCAGCCATGGTGGGAGTATTTACACCATGGTCATTGGCAAATGCTACAAATCAGGGCTCCCTTGACCTCCTACTGGAGAACCCGTTGCCAGCACAATACTGAATCAGTAAATAAGTACTTGAGCTTCCTCACCTCTCAGGTGGGACAGCTTGGAGATGCAATTCTACACTGGCTCCCAGAGCTCCCTAGCAGGAGTGAAGTTCAGTTTCCTCTAGTGGTAACTGGCTTGATCACAAATCATTCTTGGCTATACCCCGGCTCCTCTGGCTCACTCTCCCACTTCCTTACCAGGAATTCTTGGATCATCCTAAAATAAACTACTTACAATTAAGTCCTTGTTCCTAGATCTGCTTCTGGAACAACCAAAATTAAGACAAATAATAAGAATGGTTCCTCTTTCTCTTAAGGGTAAATGACAAGGCAGGAACAACAGACATACGTGAGCCCATTGGTAGCAGTGTCTTATGTGCAGTACAGTGCGGCTGTCTGGGTAACATGCTGGAAATTAGCCAGCGAGTAGCTTCTCTCTATGAAGTGTTGCCATAATGACTTTAAAACGATTTAAAATGTCCAACCTCATTTTATTTTTTAATCTTGCATTTTCTTTCTTCTGTGTTTGAGGTGCTCTGTAAGAGCAATTTCTTGTTCATTCCCTGAAGAACAGTTGCATGGTGAACAAATGATGGTTCGTTCTTCAGGAACTATGACTTCTAATCCCTCCAACCTTACTGTTGCAGGGAGAAAGTCACTTAATAACGGTGGATGTTTATGTATTTATTTAATACTGGGATTCATGTGGTAGAAGTGACCAAAGAGTGCTCACTCTTTCAGTCTGGAATTGTTCAATCTGAAATTGTATAATTTCTGTTTACGGCCATACCACCCTGAACGTGCCCAATCTTGTCTGAAATTGCGTAATTTCCATTTCTTTGTGACTGCTACTAGGAGACAAATTTGTACGTAGTTCACATCTACAGATGTCTACACTTTGCAATCTGATGTTAACACTGCTAAGTAATTTGAAGTATAGGTGGGCGTGATGAGAGTTAGCCACACAGATAGAACTGGCTTGGTTGACAGGGCCCCCTAATGCCCTCTTTCACCTTGCTTTTTATTCCCCTACTTTTAACAAACTCAGCAGGCCTCGTTACGACTCGGATCCCTCAAAAACGTACCACAGTGAAGCAGAAAACTGTTAGTGCATCTTAAACCTGAAGATTGCCTGTCTGTGCTTTCCTATCCATCTACCTGTGTGTCCACCTTAATGTACTTCTGTTCAGTTATTGCAAAGTCCAGTCCAGTGTCTGCCAGGCACCTCCCGGGACTCTTAAATCTTTCTTACTCATGAAATGATTCAGGTAGGCACAGTCTACCGATCTCTGCACACTTCTTTATTACTGGTTCGTTATGGGTACCGTTTCATGACTCTCTCTGCTTGTGCTGTAGGAAATTATAGACCTTCATCCTATAAACCTTCCCCTTCCCACATCAATTTTTTTTTTTTGGCTTTCTCTTGCATTGTGGAATTCAATTCCTATTTGAACCAACCAAACCTATTTTTTAATATTATTGGCTAATTAATATATATCCTTTTAAAAATGACTCATTTTTTTCTTTAGGTGGGTTGTTATTTTTAATGATTGTTTTAATGGTAGTCATGGATGTCCCTGCCTAGGGAGGCCCTTTCTTTCTGTCCATAATGAGACATACCTCATTTGTACTGTCCTGAGATTTATGGAGGGATAAGGAGTGGGAGGGGGAGGCACCCTTCCAATTTATTACATCTTAAACGAACTGCTCCCAAAGCAAAAACAAAACAAAGCAAAACAAAAGAGGCAGGAAAGCAGCCTCTGCATTACTGTTTAGTTTGATGTTTATTGAGCTGCATAGGGGATTGCTGACTAGTCTAAGATTGGATGGCAAGAGGTATCATTCCATTTGAATCACTTTTTTGTTTTCTGTTTGCTCTCAGCTCTTTCTCCTCTTTCACTATCACCACCATCGCTATCATCGCTGCCTCTACTGAGCCATGGAAGTGTTCCTTCCATAATTATACCGACACCATTAGGTAGTTATGAGGTTCATTTCACCATCACTTGAATTTTTTGGTGGAAACAAGGTGAAAGGGGACTCTCTTTATTTCATACAGTTCGGCACAGTGGAATTAGCTCTTAGATACATGATCTCAAGAACATCTGTAATTTAAAAGAAACTCTTTGTCTTCCCCTCTTTTTGTATAGGTATTAGAAAATTCAATTGAATTTTCCACTGAAGTCCTACCTTATAATCATCTATGGGACCCAACCCCTGAATTCTGCGCTGTCTCATCTTTTCAGGCCACATATAACGAGGAATCCTCCACCAATCCCACAGACTTTTCACCTGTGCTGTGGCCAGCTCATTGTGGAGGGGCCGATAACTGCACAGGTGATATTTCGGGGCACTAATCTCATGCGATTTTTATTCCCCTTCATTTGGGCTTAAAGAGTATGTCAGTTTCGAGGAAGGTTCCACAAACCTACAGGGACCTGTTCTTTGCTCTTGTTTACCTGTCTGTGAATCCTGGAAGAAAACACCGCCACTCATCACAGTTCTGAAACACTGCTGGGGAGGTCAGGATTGTCTGCCGTGTGTCCCATCTGGGCTGTGCTGATGCTGCCAATCAAATGTCCCCACACCTGCAGCCCCCAGGCAGCCCCTTCTCTTTGCTGTGTCCTTACGTTTCAGCTCAGGACTTTTCTACTTGGTCACTTGGGTCTATCCTCCCCTTTTGCTATGGCAGTCTTTTGCCACCCAAATTCTCCCATAGTGAGTGTGAACGGGGAGGGTGGGGGGTGCGGTTGTTATTACCCATAGTACTAAAGCAGACTCTGAACTTAAAGAAATTGCTGCTCACGGCAACACTGCACTCTCCACCTCCTTGATTTGGGAAATGAGACATTTCATTTCTAACCATGGTTTGAAGACTATATAAATGCATTTCACACAGTACAAAACATCAGCTGTGTATAGATTCTAATATTTTTTCATTAAAAACCCTTTTGCTTCTCTTCTCCTTGCTTTTTTTACGGGTGCAGTGATAGAAATCGCCCACATACTTAAGATTTCTTCTGCTTTTTTTTTTATGACTCAAACTTCAGAATATTTTCAATATCTGCAACATTATCTTTTGAATAATAATTACCTCTTATATTAAATTATAAGACAGCAGGATTCAGGATTAGATCTCTCCATATTATTCTAGTGAAGGAAATTATGACAGGGGTCATTTTTTAGAATTATGTAGCAGGGTAAAAGGTCCCAGGCAGCATTAGAAGGCAAAGGCGTTTATAATTAAATTGTAATTTAGGCCAGTGATTTATCGTTTTCTCAATGAAAAATTTGGTGCTGCCAAGAGATCCTAAGAGGAACTTTAGTGAGATACAACTTAATGAAATAATAAAAAGAAAAATTATTCTGGAAGAGATTGTATTACAGTGGCAGAACAATTGCAGCCTGCCTTCTGTGGGCATTTTCATTATCAATCCTCTGTTTCATGATTTTCTAATTTAACTCTTATTTTCTTTTGAGGGTAAAACATGGTACAGGAATTTTGAGTTTTATGTCTAGGACATTTTTGAAGACTTTAAACAATATAATTAAAATCTTTTGTTTGTGTTGTTAATGTTTGCAAATACATTTAGAAACATTTGCCAGTTTGCTTAAAAGCTACTGAAATTGAAGGAATACTGTCTTATAATAACAATAACGACAAGAAAACCAACATCACTTGATTTATTTATTTTCAAATAACAGATGACTTTGTTTTGCTTATTTATTGTCGAGGCTTATGCTCATGAAGGTGGACCTCTGGTATTTGTTCATTATTTTCCTTTCCATTTAAACTTCTGCATCTCCCTTGGGTGTAGTATGGGATCTGATCTATATGAACACACAAACCAGAAGAGAAGCTGCAGAATAAAACTCGTTATTCTGTTGTGAAATAAATAAGGGCAAGTTTAAAAGAACAGAGTCCTTTGCTTAAAAAAAAGACCTTTCACAAGCTTTTGGTATGAAATCAGCAATTTTAGAAAACTAATTTTGACCAAAGATGTTGCTCACAATAAGGCCAATTCAGCTGGTGTTTTGAGGAGAGAGATTAAACATTTGAGTTACTAAAAAAATAAAAGTACATCTTGCACTTGTGATGTGATCCTTACATGTATTGGAATTCAAATTGTTTACTTATTGTTACATTTTAATTATTTCCCTAGAACCTTGATTGCTTTAATAAGCTTAGTGGTATTTCTTTAAAAATAATCACGCTAATAAACTTTTAATGGCATGTGTTTTAAATAATTGATTGAAAATGGTTTAAATATCTGTTTATCCAATAGTCTGTAATAGCTTCTTCACTAAACACCTAATCTATTGGGTAAATAATGTGTGTTTCAGAAAATCTACTGTGAATTTACATAATAGACTTTAGGTGTATTAAGAAAATAACATGTATTCTACAAATCCTTTAAATATATTTTCTTTAATAGCAGAAATTGTTGCCATTCATTAAGTAACACACGCTTGAGGAATTATCTAAATTTATAATTGTATGAAAGATCATCGTGTCTTGCAAAGCCCTATTAAGGTTTGTAAGTCTCTGATTACTTAGTAAGTTTTGTCTTTTTTACTTCTTAAAATCTGTCTGGCAGGCTTTGGGATCTAATTTAGGTGAGAACAGGATTCTCAGTAACATCAACTTTTTAGAAGAAAGGAATTTTCTTTTCTTTTTTTTTGAGACAGAGTCTCCCTCTCTCTGTTTCCCAGGTTGGAGTGTGTGGCGTGATCACAGCTCACTGCAGCCTTGATTTCCCAGCTCAAGTGATCCTCCCACATCGGCCTTTCACGTAGCTGAGACCATAAGTGTGTGCTATAATGTCTAGCTAATTTTTAACTTTTTTGTAGAGAGAGGGTCTCACTATGTCACCCAGGCTGGTCTTGAACTCCTGGGCTTAAGTGATCTCCTGCCTTGGCCTCCCAAAGTCCTGGGATTACAGGTATGAGCCACTGCACCCAGCCAGGAATGCTTTTTAATGTTCAGTATATGCCATGTAACAATATCCTTGTTATCATTTTAATATGAACCCCAAATTTCTCATCCTGTGGTCTTTTTCTGTCTCCCAAACTTGAGGCAGACTGGAACTGTTACGGTGGCCCTACATTGTTGTACAGGCAGGGTCACTGGTGTGTAAAAGTACAAGTAAGAGGTACCACCTGGGGAACTATCAGTTAAAACAAGTGATTTAACTGTTTCTCATCTGTGAAAATAGGAATAATAACAGTGTCAGCTTCATAGGGTTGTTGAGCAGATTAAATGAATTAATACACTTACAATGGCATTTGGGAGAGTAAGTACTTAATAAATGCTAGCTAGTGTGTTTGTTTTCTTAAATACAGAATATGACTGTTTTCCCTGGATAGATATTGACAGAAATTTTTAATTAAAGTCGTGTAACAAAAAACTTGGCGATCTAAATTTTGCCCTATATGAAAAGCTTTTCAAAGTAAAAACAATAGAGAAACACACACCACTGGGGACATGACTGAGACAGACAGGCAGTCCACAAAACACTGGTCTTTTATTTTTGGGAAATATGTTCATCTGTCATTTTATATTCAATTTTATATCTATTTTTTTCTTTTTATTTTCAAATAATTTCAGACTTAGAGAAAAGTTGTAACGTAGCAGAGAGAGTTTCCTTACACACCCCCACTATCAGCTTCCTCTCGATATCTTGCATAATTGTGGTAAATTGCCAAAACTAAGAAATTGACATTGATACAATACAATTAACTGAACTTAAAACCGTACTTGATTGGGAGGCCAAGGTGGGCGGATCACGAAGTCAGGAGACTGAGACCATCCTGGTCAACGTGGTGAAACCTTGTCTCTACTAAAAATTCAGCAATTAGTCAGGCGTGGTAGCGGGCGCCTATAATCTCAGCTACTTGGGAGGCTGAGGCAGGAGAATTGCTTGAACCCGGGAGGTGGAGGTTGCAGTAAGCCGAGATCACGCCACTGCACTCCAGCCTGGCTACAGAGGAAGACCCCATCTCAGAAAAACAAACAAACAAACAAACAAACAAACAAACAAAAATAAAACTGTATTTGAATTGCATTGGTTTTTTCCACTAATATCCAGAACCCAGTGCAGGACCCTACGTTGCATTAAGTTGTCGTGACTCCTTAGTCTCCTTAGTCTCCTTCTATCTGTGACATTTCCTCAGGCCTTAACTTCCATGACCTTGACAGTTTCAATGAGTACTGATTGGTTACTTTGTAGAATGCCTCCTCAACTTGGATTCTTCCAGTGTTTACCCATGATTACATTGAGGTAATATAATTTTGGCAGGAATACCCTGGAGGTGATGCGCCTTCTTAGCCTATCATATGATGAGGTGTGTGACAGCAATATGTCTTATTACTGACGACGTTATCTTGGTTTCTTGGTTAAGATGGTAACTATTGGGTTTCTTCCTTGCAAAGTTACTAATTTTCCCTTGGTGATATCAAATATTATGAGTTCTTGAGACTCAAATGTTCACCCACCGATATTAGCATCCATAAGTGGGCCTTACCTCTAACAATTCTTACTATGGTGTTCTAATGGTAATTTTCTATTTCTCTTATTTCTTCCACATTAAGTAATTGGAATTCTTCTGAAAATAAGAGCTATCTTTTCTCTTCCATTTTTTATTTATTCAGTTATTAATTTATACCAATATGAATTCATGGAGGTTTATTTTGTTCTATAGATACTATTAATTTTTTTTTCTCAAATTGTTCCAGTTTCGGCCATTGGGAATTGTACCATAACCATGGTACAATTACCAAAACTAAGAAATTGACATTGATACCATGCAATTAACTAAACTTAAAACTTTATCATTTCCTATGTTTTTTTTTGATATGGCTCTTCCTCTTTTTGAGTTGTCTCTTATGCTGTGGCACTACAAAGATACCCCACACTCACCTTGGATTTAAGGAGCCCTGGTTCCTTTCATTGGATAAATGATTTTGTAGAAAACAAAATCTGGGTGGGCTCTAGGTGTGTTCACTACAGTAGTGCCATTGCTTATAGGCCGTTTCCACAAACAGAGCTTGGAAATAAACATACGTTTTCCAGCCCATGCATACAACCATACCAGTATTTGTTTATAGATTCATAAATGATTTAGAATTGTTTCTATTTTTTTTTTTGTGACCACAGAATAAAAGTGGTGAAACATTTTTAAGAAGACAATTAGTAGGTAGACAAATAAAGCAGAAATATTTTAAAACTGGAATTTAGCACATATCCAGGTCAGGACTGTGAACTTAATGTAGAATTTTAAGCCAAGTCTTGATTCTTGGGTATATGAAACAAAAACAAGAACTTCCTCACTGTATTTGCATATCAATGACTTGGAGACCTGGGGATGACTCACCTTGAATTTCATTGTCAGGTATATAGCAACTTGGGAACAATGTTGAATCAGTGATTTATCCAGTAAAAATGTAATTAATAATTGGGAAGATATTTTAATAATTGAGTGACAGGTCAATATATGTGCTAAATGAAACAGTCTGCATCTGTGTTTTGAAACTGTGATTCATTTGTCTTTATACCTGAATTTATGACAAAACTCTTTATTTTCAAAAACTTTGTCCATTCTAAATACTTTAAACACCTTATATGTGTCGTGACACTCACATGATCTCTACTTTCCAGATTGTTTACTATTGCTAAAAAAAAAAAAAAAGAGGTTAGAATTCATGATAGATGTTTTCCTAATGCCATGGAATCATTTGTCTTGAAATAAACCAGAAATAAGTGATATCAGAATTGGTCTTTCTAAGAGCTAGTTCACTTAAAATATTTTTTCCATTCTGCATTTCTATAATTTCTCCAACAAAAAAATTTATAAATAACTGCCACATTTTCTCTTTTTTCTACATTTTCCCCTTTCTTTTCTAAATTAACTATCGTGTCCCTTTTTGATGGTCTGTAAGCAAACAGATGCTATTAGAATTAATTGCTACATGCTAGATAAAATGCTCACTATTGATTGTTATATAATTTAAGCTTGGAGTTCATCAACACTTTATTTCTACCTCACAACCTATGTTTAAATAGCCTCTTCACTTTCCAGAAGTCTCAGGGAAGACTAAAGATATGAAAGCCACAGCCAAGCAGATGGAATGGAAGTTAAGGAAGGATTTTTGTGTGGGGATTGCTGTGGAAGAAGGAAAAGGGCTAGAGAATAAATCAGACTGCCACTTACCAGGGTCACAAATCTGCTGGCTTTGACGGGGCTGACATTACATACAAACCCACACAAGGGAAAGCAATGAATTTGGAGCTGAGCAACATGCCACTTTCAGGCCCTGTTGGTGCATCTTCACCTCCAAATTGTATGAAGAGCTTTCTAGGCTGAATGGTTGTGAGTTAGAGATAGCTTAATATATCTTTTATGTATGGCTCTTTGGTTCAGAATCATGACCCAACCCAACACACTGTTTCCTTGGCTCAAGGTTATCCCAACAGTCTACACAAAAGTGTATGTGTCACAGTGCCAGCTTCAGGATGAGTCTGTAGGTATGACTCTTATATCCACCTCTTTACTACTTGAAAGCAATCTTAGTTACTGTGGCAGACCCTGACGGTGTTCTGCCCATATCTTATGGGGAACTCACCTCTCTATACTTAAGGCTGCTCATTACTAACTCTCTGCCTGACTTGTTCGTTTTTGTTTGTTTGTTTCTGGCTGCAGGTCCTTGGCCAGCATAGGACAAACCTGAATTAGCAGAGGGTTGATGCCACTGAAAGCCCTCAACCAATGACAAATGAAGGTTTAGTGGATACACCCTACCTCTGCCCTTGGCTGGAATTACTCTGGGCCATGTAATATTTCATCTCTCAGAGTCCCCAGTGGGTTTGAGCTGCAATTTCCCTCTTACTCTCTTTTGTGGAGAACCCAAATTATAGTCAGGACAAGTCTAAGTTATCTCTTGGCATAAGACAGTTTCCACCTCCCTTACCCCCTCTCCTTTGTTGCTCCTACATCTGCTTTGTTCTTTGGGCCCCTTACGCAGCTGAGTCCTTCTTGCCGAGCCTGGGTGTGAGTGGGAGAGAAGGCAGTGGAGATACTGAGACAAATGGGTACCCTAGAGTCAGACAGGGAAGAGGGATCAGGCACTTCCTGAGCACCTGCTGTGAGCCAGGCACTGCCCTGTATTCGGAGCTTCACAAAGGCCATCTTATCGCATTCTCTTGGCAGCCCTGGGAGGAAAGGGCGAATTATCCCTGTTTTGGAAATGAAAGAAGCTGAAATGACAAAGCTGCTAATAAATGGAACTAGGTTTGGAGCCTAAACGTATACCCTTTTCTCCCTGTTCTTTTCCTTTTCTAGAGAAAGACCTGGACTCAACGCCAGAAAACCTCACTTTGAATCCCAGACCTTCTGTTGACTAGTTCTGTGGTCTTGGGCAAGCAGTTTGATTTCTTCAAAGCTGTTTCTTCATCTATCAAGTGGGAAATGACAAATGAGAGGAGATTATTATCATAAAACATTTTATTTAGTCTCAGCCAGCTGGGTGCCTATAATCTCAGCTACTTGGGAGGCTGAGGCAGGAGAATTGCTTGAACCCGGGGAGGTGGAGGTTGCAGTGAGCTGAGATCGCGCCACTGCACTCCAGCCTGGCTACAGAGGAAGACCCCATCTCAAAAAAAAAAAACAAAAAAAAACTGTATTTGAATTACATTTTCTGCAATTTTTAAGCAAAGAAAAAAATAGTATAGATATATTTGGCTAAAAGGGCTCTTGAAAAATATTTACTGACTGGCACCACCCCATCGGGGTATAGGAGGAGTGGCTTACCCTTAAATATACAGCTCTTTTGTAATCCCTTGTGTAAATAGGTCTGCAATAAGGAGGCAGCGCTGTGCCTCTGAGCAAGTTACCCTCGCCTGGCTTGGAGTTAGCCACACCGTGGCTCTCAACTGCCTCAGCTTAGTGGAGTACTTGGCTTTTGGAGTTCTTGAGTCAATCATGGCTGTTTTTTCCATTGGTCGGTAAATGGTTTAATCATCATGTGGCCTTTTGCTTCATATTTGTCACTGTCAGGTTGACTTTGTATTTTGGAGAGCTTCCAGCATTCGTTACCATAATGAAAAAGGAGAGAGATGCGGTGAAGAGCAGGCCCATGGCCATTGAGAGACATTCATATTCTCAACACAAAAACTTAGAAAAATGCACAGAGGGGCCATTCTTGCTATCCACTGTTACCTGTTCAACTAAAAGAAACTGAAAACACATGTTTTTTAATAAAAATTTTTGGCCAGGCACAGTGGCTCACGCCTGTAATCCCAGCACTTTGGGAGGCCGAGGCGGATGGATCACGAGGTCGGGAGTTCAAGACCAGCCTGGCCAATATGGTGAAACCACGTCTCTACTAAAAATACAAAAATTAGCCAGGCATGGTGACATGCGTCTGTAGCCCCAGCTACTCAGGAGGGTGAGGCAGAAGAATTGCTTGAGCTCGGGAGGTGGACGTTGTAGTAAGCCGATATCGCACCACTGAACTCCAGCCTGGGCGACAGAGCAAGACTCCATCTCAAAAAAATAAATAAAAATAAAATAAAATAAAATAAAATTTTGAGATAGCCTCGCTCTGCTGCCCAGGCTGGAATGCAGTGGTGTGATCTTGGCTCACTGCAACCTCTGCCTCCCCAGTTCAAGCGATTCTCCTGCCTCAGCCTCCCCAGTAGCTGGGACTACAGACATGAGCCACCACGCCTGGCTAATTTTTATATTTTTGGTAGAGATGGGGTTTCACCATGCTGGCCAGGCTGGTCTTGAACTCCTGACCTCAAGTGATTTGCCTGCCTTGGCCTCCCAAGGTGCTGGGATTACAGGCATGAGCCACTGTGCCTAGCAATTTTTTTTTTTTTTTAGCTAAAACGAAACACCCCATCATGTTTATTTGAGTCAGCAGAGTTGGAGACAACTTTGTCCAGAATTGGACCATAAAACTGACAGGCTTGAGAGCAGAGCTTATTTTGGTACTAGTTCTTGAATAGTTTTGTTTCTTCTTACCCCGAGAGCCATTTGTAGGTGTTTGATAATCCATCATGAGATGTGGAAACGCACAGGTTACTTTCTTTAGCAGTTGTAAGGCAGGCAAAGGATTTCGAAGTAAATCTTGTAAATGGAAGGTGGATATTTTATTTTGTGTAATGTAATTGAAATCCTAACTGAAGGGAGGGACTGTTTACATTGATTTGGAGGGCTTTCCTTTATGGTACTCTAAGAACCCGAGTTTGTGCTTATGAGACAGAGGCCAGTGCTAAGCCCTTCTTTTCTCTCGTTCCCGTGGCCTTTATGTAGCGGAAAGAACCCAACTTTCCTCTTATCCTTCATGAAAGCGCAGGACATAGATTGGTCTATATTCTCACTTGTCACTTTCTTGCCTGCCGCGGTGCTGGGAGCTATCCGGGAACACTTCTCGGTGCAGCTCAAACGCAAATGTCTTGAATGTCTTGAGAAGCCCTAATCCAAAGTGAATCTTCTATAAATAATAAACAGCAAACAGGCTCCATTTAGTTATATTAACCCTCAAATAGGTCAGGCGCATTGTTTAAAAATGCAAACATCACAATAAAACAGATTCCCCAGATGCAGAGTTTGATGTGTATGTGCAAATTTTCTGGACATGGTACTGGAAAAAATAGCCCACACCTATATTTGCTACTTAAAATATTTATATATTATCTCTGAAAAGTGCTACTTTTGAAATGCTATTTATTATAAGCTGATGAAGCCCAAGGGCTCTCTGTCCTTGTATAAGTCCTTCTTGTTTTTCCTGATTGCCAAGTAGTTACTGCTAACTTTACTTTTAGAGACCTGTGGTGTCCCCTAGAGAGTCATAGCTGCTGCCAAGTTTTTCGTAATTTCTTGTTGAACAACTTGGCATTCATCTGCGATCCTATTTTGTTTCTTCAATGGGTCTAATTTCATTGTTAAGAATCTTATTGTTTGCCAGCCAAAATAAAATGGTATAGTTCAAAACTATTTATAAAATTTAAAACATTTGTTTCATTCGGAGCTCTGGTGGCTCCTCTTTCTGCCTTGATTGGATGTTAACTTTGTTTCTTTCATGCCAGGAATAATTAGACGATTAAGTGTCAATGCTCTAGAAATGAGATGGCATATTTTCACTGAAACTCTCACCTACAAAAATACCTACTTTAATTCACGTTCCCCCTTAGAATTGGATGGGTAAATTGTTCCATCGTGAACTCTAACGTATCGATCCCAAAGTATTTGCACTTGGGCAAAGATGCGACACCATAATTCAGTTGAGAAATGGCAGTAATTTCTTTTTCCTAGGGAAGAGTAATTCTTGCAGTTAAAAATATACAGAGGCAACCTTTGTTACTGTGTTGGAATCTCTTGGCTCTTTAAAAATAGTTACCTCCTTTAATTCTTCCTTTAATTCCCTCCCTTCTCTCTAGGAATGCCATAGTTAAGAAATAAAATAGAAGCCCAGTGTCATTGGCATCTGGCTGTACATCTGGGTGTATTCGTTTATATAAAAAGGGTGTTAAACACCTCCTGGCCTGGTCCTTGGGTTCTCTTCTGTAGCTCCCCATCTGAAGATTGTACTGATTTCACATTACAAATGAAACTCTTAGAGTTTCATTCAGGAGAGACTTCCTACCTCCTGTCCACACTTTTGCCCTCCTACGCACTATCATTTCCACCTCAATCTATTTATTAGAAGTGTCACTAAGTCCAGGACAGAATCAAGGAGAGGAGAATTAAGGTCCGCTTCTTGAAGAGAGGAATATCGAATAATCTGTGGACGTATTTTCAAACCACCAGAATCCTGGAGGAGGATTTCAGACAAAGCAGTGACATTGATCTGCAACAGGAAAAGGTCAATCTGAAAACAGGGTTCATGGTGTGCTGATGTAGGGAGAGGCTGAGTTATTTGATGATAATCTCTTTTACCTTCTAAATTTGAAACCCTATGAAGTCAACAGCAATATTACCATTGATGTCCCCCAGCTCTTCAGATCTTTCGCATAGAGGAGGTGCTCCTTAAACATTTTTAGAAGGACTGAATCAATGAATCAGTATCTCAATAAATTTTAAAAATTAATGAAGAACAAGTGACTACCTTATATAACTTGAAAGACAGCATGCTGAAATATTGTAGAAGATGCTTTCTGGAATCATATTGTCTGGGTTCAAATTCAGGCCCCACCATATATACTGGGTGTTTTTCTTGGGAAGTTACTTAATCTCTGTAAGCCTGATGTAAAATGGGAATATTTATAGAATCTATCCCATGGAGTTGTTGTAAAGATTATATGATATCGATTATCGGGTACAATATTTGATATATGATAAACAATAAATGTTAGCTGTTATTACAACTATTTTGAATACGGAAGTTCTCCAGCTATAAACATGGTAGAGCCAGGATTTAAATCCATATTTGTCTTATTCTAAATAAAGCCGATGGTCCCACCTTCTGTTCCTTCAAGGTTGGAGATAATATTACTCTTTCATGGACAGCAGTGTTGAAGCTCTTTGAGTTCCTTCAGTCAATATTTTGATAGCAGTACTATAATCTTGTTTTTTTCTTTTTGCCAAATCTTAAGCTTTTTATTCCGTTGTAGAGGAAGAGTGTGCGGCTTCTGGAGGTTTGCTGATTTAGAAGATTTTTTTAGGCTAGTTCCTAGAAAATGGTAGAAAATAATACCACCAGGACTGTCTTTAGAAAACACTTGTTTTGATTGGCGAACTTATATAACAAGAATAGCGGCAGCAGCAAGAGCTCACTCCAATTTGTTGTTAATAACCAAGAGACCCTGTGTAATCTATGTTGATGAGCTAGAGAGAAATGTTTAATTGCTTATGGACAACAGTTCCTTTTGTCCTTTTACTTTTACAGTGTCCAGTCTTATGCAGGTGGAAAAATTGGTCTGTGTGTCTCTTATCTGTTGATGAATAACAAACTACTCCAAACCATAGAGGCTCAAAACAATCACCCTTTAATTTGTTCACCAGATTTGGGCTGGAATTGTCTGGGCAGTGCTATTGGTATCAGCTGGGGCTGGATGGGTGGAGTGCGAGCAGATGGTGTAAGGTAACCTCCCTCATTTGTCTGGCACTAGGGATGGCTGTTGGCTGGGCCACTTGTCTTCCAGTATTTAGCAGGGCTTATTCACATCAAGTCTTCAGGATTCCCACAGCAGCCAAAAGAGGAAAACTCACAATGCACAATTTATTTTCAAGCTTCGAATTGCATCACGTTTGCTAAAGTAAGTTGCATGGTCATGCCCAGATTCAAGGGGTGAAGAAATAGACACTACTTCTTGATCAGGAAGCTGCAGAGTCACATTGCAAAGGGAGTGCATGAAGGGATGGGAGGAAACTTTGCAGCAGTCTTTGTAAACAATTGCCACAGTGTGAAAGATAGTTTCAAGTTCATGTTTGCAAGGTGTAAAGCAATTCCTTGAAAAGTTTTTGAGGAGTGTGCAGCTCAGGATTGCATGTGGCCCAAAATTGATTTGAAATTTTCTTCTTACCTAGCTGCTTCAAGCAGATTCCTAGGGGACCATACCATGTTAGCTGGTAATCACAGAAGCCTGAATGCATAGGCCCCGTACATGGATGCTAAGATACGAACAGATCTGAGTCTGCAAATCTAGTTTGGGATTCTTGGGATGGATGTAAAACCTTGTTTGTGCTTCTTAAATAGTGTATGTCCACGTGTAATCCCAGCACTTTGGGAGGCCGAGGTGGGAGGATTGTCTGAGGTCAGGAGTTCGAGATCAGTCTGGCCAACATGGTGAAACCCCATCTCTACTAAAAGTACAAAAAAATTAGCCAGACGTGTGGTGTGCACCTGTAATCCCAGCTACTCAGGAGGCTGAGGCAGGGCAATTGCTTAAACCAGGGAGGTGGAGGTTGCGGTGAGCCGAGATCGCGCCACTGCACTCCAGCCTGGGTGATGCTACTCAGGAGGCTGAGGCAAGAGAGTTGCTTGAACCTGGGAGGCGGAGGTTGCAGTGAGCGTGCACCACTGCACTCCAGCCTGGGCGACAGAGCGAGACTCCATCTCAAAAAAACAACAACAACAAAAAAAACAAAAAACAAAAAACTGTATGTCCTCAGAGCTGGGTAAGCTTTGCTAATGAAACCTGATAGTCGTGTTTTCCATGGTTTCTTAAGAAAATTAATAACCCCAGGAAACTTTCAAAAATTTCATTTATTCCATCTGACTTGTAACATAGAACTGCCTATATGGCCTTCTCATGGACCTGCCATGCTGCACCAACCCTTCCCTCTCTGACTTCACATTCCCTTAGCCCTCCCTCTAAGTCAGGCAGCTGTTTAGATGTGGAATGAGTGGGGGGAGGGGCAAGAGGAAGATGGGAACAGAGGTCTAATTTTTCCCACAGCAAAGGAAGCACCTGAATGGAGCCTGGGCTGCTCCTTCACTTGCTGGATCAGAAAATGTAGCTTTTACAGCCCCTGTCACCCCTCTTTACTTTGTGCACATAGCTCAGGCATGATGCAAAATCAATGACTCCAGGAAGTTCACCTGAGGGACCATGTGGCTACTTCTCTGGGATGTCTTGGATGAATTTAGAAATTTGGGGGCTTCCTAAAACCCCCCTGTCCCCAGAGCATAATGTGAAATCATAGCAGTGTCCCTGATAGTGACATAGAACTTTAGAGGTTTCACGTAACTAGATCTTATTTTGATATTTTGAATTGAAAGACGTACAAGATTATCAAGAGAATTTAAGTTCAATCAGTATCAATCCTTTGGCAAGTATTTATTGGATCATTTAAAATGGGTTGGTTTGCATTAAACCCAGTAAGTTTTGTTTGGCCATTGTGTTTGTTTGGGCTTGTATTAGTCTGTTTTCACGCTGCTGATAAAGACATACCCAAGACCAGGCAATTCACAAAAGAAAGAGGCTTAATGGACTCACAGTTCCACATGGCTGGGGAGGCCTCACAATCATGGTGGAAGGTGAAAGGCACATCTCACTTGGCGGCAGACAAGAGGAGAGAAATGGTGCAGGGAAGCTCCCCTTTATAAAACCATCAGCTCTCATGAGACTTACTCACTGTCATGAGAATAGCATGGGAACGACCCGCCCCCATGATTCAATTATCTCCCACCTGGTCCCTCCCACAACATGTGGGAATTATGGGGGCTGCAATTCAAGATGAGATTTGGGTGGGGACACAGCCAAACCATATCAGGGCTGCTATGAAAAAATACCTTACACTGGGTAACTTCTAATCAACAGAAATGTGTTGCTTACAGTTTTAGGGTCTGGGAAGTCCAAGATCCAGGCACCAGCAGATGCAGTGTCTGTTGAGGGCCTGCTTTCTGCTTCATACAGGGCGCCTTTGCACTGTGTCCTTACATGGTGGGATGGGCAAGGCAGCTCTCTGGGGTCTCTTTTATGAGGGTGCTAATTCCATTCCTGGGGGTGTCCCTCATGACCTAATCACCTCTCAATGGCTCCACCTCTTAATACTTGCATGGGGATTAAATTTCAAGATACAATTTTTTTTTTTTTTTTTTTGAGATGGAGTCTCACTCTGTCACCCAGGCTGGAGTGCAGCAGTGTGATCTCAGCTCACTGCAACCTCTGCCTCCCGGGTTCAAGTGATTCTCCTGCCTCAGCCTCCTGAGTAGCTGAGATTACAGGCATGTGCCACTATGCCTGGTTAATTTTCGTATTTTTAGTAGAGACGGGGTTTCACCATGTTGGCCAGGCTAATCTTGAACTTCTGACCTCAGGTGATCCACCTGCCTCAGCCTCCCAAAGTGCTGGGATTACAGGCATGAGCCACTGTGCCCAGGCTCAAGATGTGAATTTTGGGGAGACACAAACATTCAGACCATAGCAGCCATAATGTCCCATGTCCACTGAAATGTGCCTGCTCTATAGTGAATTTGCGTCTTACGTTGGAAAAAAAATTATTGTCTTAAAGATAAAATTACAAGTATTATGGAAATTTTGGGGTAAAGAGCACAGTGACTGTCAATATTAATAGCTACTAAATCTGTTTTTTTTTTTTTTTTTTTTTTTGAGACAGAGTCTTGCTCTGTCACCAGTTTGGAGTGCAGTGGCACAATCTCGGCTCACTGCAACCTCTGCCTCCTGGGTTCAAGAGATTCTCCTGCCCCAGTCTCCTGAGTAGCTGGGACTACAGGCATGTGCATGTGCCACCATGCCTGGCTAATTTTTGTATTTTTAGCAGAGACGGGGTTTCACTATGTTGGTCAGGATGGTCTCGATCTCTTGACCTCGTGATCCACCTGCCTTGGCCTCCCAAAGTGCTGGGATTACAGATGTGAGCCACCGCACCCGGTCAATAGTTACTAAATCTTAAGAGGATGCTAATGATGGCATTTCCCTTTCTGATGTACACCAACAGAAGATGCACTGTGGGGCCACTTTGTAGCTTAGCTTTTATTTCTCCACATGTAACAACACAGGATAAATTTATCTAGTAATAAATGACCCATCGTTTGGAAACTTTTTTTTTTTTTGAGACAGGGTCTCTCTCTGTCACCCAGGCTGGTGTGCGGTGGTGCTCACTGCAGCCTCCACCTCCCAAGCTCAAGTGATCCTTCCACCTAAGCCTCCCCAGTAGCTGGAACTACAGGTGTGTGCCACCATTCACAGCTAATTTTTGTACTTTTTTTTTTAGAGATGGGGTTTTACCATGTTGCCCAGGCTGGTCTCAAACTCCTGAGCTCAAGCAATCTGCCCACCTCTGCCTCCCATACTGTTGGGATTACAGTTGTAAGCCACTGCAACTGGCCTGGAAATGTTTTAAAATAAAAAATAAGACTTAAAGCTGCAAATATATATATATATATATATATATATATATATATATATATATATATATATATATTTAGCTGCAAATATATATATATTCTCTCTCCTTCTAAATGGTGGTGCTACCGGTTAAGCTCTGTCTCTCTGGAAGGTGTACAAAAAAGGGTTCCATTCTGGCAAGGGTGGTGAATACAGGGTGAACCAAGACCAGTGCACCCCAAACAACTTGGCTGTGTTATGCTCCTTTCCTTTAAGCTTAGTCTGTAAACTTTATAACTCTCCTAGATAAGGTTTCAATCCAGAAACATGTGCTACAAACTGAGTAGCTATTCTAGTGGGTCTCACACAAGTCTAGGCCTGACTGCTTTTATAGTTAGTACAATGGGTTCAGTCTGTTGAGGGGAAACCCTGGAGCCCACCCTTACCAGAGGGAATACAGCCTGCGTGCTTGGATCATGGATAAGAGGCTGAGACAATTATGGACTCATCACTCTGGGCAGCTCCAGAGACCAACCTCTTGACTTCTCTGAGCATGAGTTTCCTTAACATTCAGAGAACATGCAAGAATTCCCGAAGGGTCAGTTGAGTTTTTTCATGACTATAGGTCCAAGTTTTGCAAAACGTGTTATGCAAGACACCCAACTCATGATACTTCAGGAAAAAGAAAAGCACTCATAGTTAGAAATGTCTGAATATGACCAGGCGTGGTGGCTCACGCCTTATCCCAGCACTTTGGGAGGCCGAGGTGGGTGGATCACGAGGTCTGGAATTCAAGACCAGCCTGAACAATATGGTGAAACCCTGTCTCTACTAAAAATACAAAAAATTAGCCAGGTGTGGTGGTGGGCACCTGTAATCCCAGCTACTCAGGAGGCTGAGGCAGGGAACTGCTTGAACCCGGGAGGTGGAGGTTGTAGTGAGCCGAGATCACGCCACTGCACTCCAGCCTGGGCAACAGTGAGACTCAATCTCAAATAAATAAATAAATAAATAAATAAGAAATGTCTGAATATACTATTACCCTCTTGGAAATTCACATAAGCATGTTGAAGATTCGGAGAAGTTCAACATAAAGACAACTGTTTAATTTTGCTTAAGCCTTTTCCTACACATACATGAACACATTTCTTTTTCTCCTGAAACAGAATAACATCCCACACTTCCGAGAATGTTGATCTAGATATTCCACATTTTATTCTCACATTAAGCCAGACTCTTAGAGAACAGCCTATCTGGATCTCACATTGTCGGGTGCTCATAAAAGAGCATTTGCTCTTCTGTGATTTGCTGTTTGCTCTCAGCCTGCTCAAGGGTTGTTTTAGGGAAGAGGTACAGGAAACTTGCCATTAGAATCATTGTGGGCATTTTGTTGATTATTACATAATAGGCTCATTATAAAGACCCACAAAGAAATTTCTACTCTATGTTATGAACTGATATAATAGATTCCTATGGTTGCTGATGCATGCTACCGCAAACTTGGTGGCTTAAAACAACACAAATCTATCATCTTACCATTCTGGCTGTCAGAAATCTGAGAAGGGTCTCATTGGGCTACAATAAAGAGGTTGGCAGGGCTGTGATCCTTTCTGGAAGCTGCAAGGGGGAATTCGCCTTCTCACCTTTTCCAGCTTTTAGAGGCTGCCTGTATTCCTTGGCTCATGGCCTGCTTCAGTCTTCAAAGCCAGTAATAACCTGTCTATCTTCATCATGATTCCAACTCTGGTTCTCCCTCTTCTGCCTCCCTCTTACATTTTTAAAAGACCCTTGTGGGCTGAGCGTGGTGGCTCACGCCTGTAATCCCAGCACGTTGGGAGGCTGAGGGGGGCGGATCACGAGGTCAGGAGATCAAGACCATCTGGGCCAACACGGTGAAACCCTGTCTCTAGCAAAATACAAGAAAATTAGCCAGGGGCGTGGTGGCATGCAACTGTAGTCCCAGCTACTCGGGAGGCTGAGGCAAGGGAATCACTTGAACCTGGAAGGCAGAGGTTGCAGTGAGCCGAGGTTGGGCCACTGGACTCCAGCCTGGCGACAGAGTGAGACTCTGTCTCAAAAAAAATAATAATAAATAAAATGACCCTTGTTGGGCCTGGCACAGTGGCTCACGCCTGTAATCCCAGCACTTTGGGAGGCTGAGGTGGGCGGATCATGAGGTCAGGAGTTCAAGACCAGCCTGACCAACATAGTGAAATCCTGTCTCTACTAAAAAGACAAAAATTAGCCAGGTGTGGTGGTGCGTGCCTGTAATCCCAGCTACTCAGGAGGCTGAAGCAGGAGAATTGCTTGAACCCAGGAGGTGGAGGTTGTAGTAAGCTGAGATCATGCCACTGCACTTCAGCCTGGGTGACAGAGCAAGACTCCATCTCCAAAAAAAAAAAAAAAAAAAAAAGGACCCTTGTGATTGCAGGGGCACATGCAGATAATCTGGGATAATCTCTTTATTTTGAGGTCAGCTGATTTGCAATCTTAATTCCATCTGCAACCTTAAATCCTCTTTGCCATGTAACCCAACATATTTGTGGGTTTTGAGCAGTAGGATATGGGTATGTTTGGGAAGCCATTATTCTACCTACCTTAATCCAATATGCACATTCCTCTTTTTGATTTGGCTTCTAGGATGCTCAGAGTTATCTAGCAATTGTACAGGACTTCATCTTATTTTTTTATCCCAATTTTCCTTTATTTCCTATAGTCTAATTCGCTCCTAAAGTTCATGTCATTACACACATACACACACACACACACACAAACACACACACATGCCATATCAAAATATAATCAAAGTAATCATATTAATAATGGACCCCTAGAGCAGGAATTGGAAAACTACAATGCATAGATTAAGTCTGGATTCCCTTGACCTCCTGGGCTCAAGAGATCCTCTTATCTTAGCCTCTCGAGTAGCTGGGACTACAGGTACCCACCACCTCACTCAGCTACTTTTTAAGTTATGTGTAGAGACAGGGTCTTGCTACGCTGCCCAGGCTAGTGTCAAGCTCCTGGGCTCAAGCTGTCCTCTGGCCTTGGCTTCCCAAAGTACTGGGATTATGAGCATGAGCCACTGTGCCTGGCAATGTTTTTGTAAATAAAGTTTTATTGGAACACAGCTACTGCTTTCCTTCTACAAGCACAGAGTTGAGTAGTTTGGCACAGACTGTATATGTGGCCCACAAACAAGAAATATTACTACATGGCCCTTTACAGAAGAAGTTTATGACCCTTCTCTGAACAACAAATAACATTCTATTATACTATTCTGTGGATTTCCTTACTGTGTATCTCATTCATTTCTAGAACAATGAGAATCCAGAGTTGCACTCAGTTTCAACTCTGAGGCTTAATGGCTGCTGCTGTCTTTTGCTGCAAAGGGAGATGATGGGTCACCTAAAATCCCTGAAACATGTAATCCCCGCTACTCAGGAGGCTGAGGCAGGAGAATCACTTGAGTCCAGGAGGCAGAGGTTGCAGTGAGCCGAGATCACACCATTGCACTCCAGCCTTGGCAACAAGAGAGAAACTCTGTCTTAAAAAAAAAAATCCCAAAACATGTCGCATGGTTAGGTCTTTTGTCACTTTTAGGTTTTGGCTTTTATAGAGGGTTGGAAAATTATCCAGGGGATTTGAGACAGTGTGGACCTAATCACAGTCACTTAAAATACAATGTTTATTAAGACAGACTATGTCTACATATTTATAAAAGGTTATCTCGTGGCTTAAGGCTCTGATTAATTTTATTTATCAGTAGTTACCAACCTGACTGCCCCCTCCTCTGGCCAACACACATACACCCTGCTCTCTTTCACTCAACCTCTAAATCTCAGAGGGAAGTGAACGGGCTTTGAGCTAGTCTACTATTTCACAAGACTTGTGGTAGTTGTACATTCACCCATTATATACATCGCTGATGGTTTTTAAATAGAACTACATTTTAACAAACACCATTTCTTTACTAGACAAAAGTATAATAAAAGGCATGTGTAAGAGTAAAAATGTTGGAAATATCTGATGTATAGTCTATCTTCAAAAATCATGCAATTGTTATTTCCTTCCTTCTCCCTCCCTCCCTCCTTTCTCTTTCTTTCTTTCTTTCTTTTCTTTCTTTCTTTCTTTCTTTCTTTCTTTCTTTCTTTCTTTCTTTCTTTCTTTCTTTCTTTCTTTCTCTTTCTCTCTTTCTTTCTCTTTCTTTCTTTCTTTCTTTCTTTCTTTCTTTCTTTCTTTCTTTCTTTCTTTCTCTTTCTTTTTTTCTCTCTCTCTCTCCTTTTCTCTTTCTCTCTTTCTTTCTTTCTTTCTTTCTTTTGAAATGAAGTTTCACTCTTGTTGCCCAGGCTGGAGTGCAGTGGTGGGATCTCAGCTCACTGCAACCTCCACCTCCTGGGTTCAGGTGATTCTCCTGCCTCAGCCTCCCGAGTAGCTGGGATTACAGGTGCATGCCACCATGACCGGCTCATTTTTTGTATTTTTAGTAGAGACGGGGTTTCACCATGTTGGCCAGGCTGGTCTCAAACTCTTGACCTCAGGTGATCCACCCACCTCGGCTTCCGAAACTGCTGGGATTACAGGCGTGAGCCACCGCACCCGGCCTACCTTTCTTTTAGATCAGTGTGCAATAGATGCATTATGGTTTGTCTAGATGGTGACATTCTTGACCATTTCAAGGGACGTGGATTTGAATTTTCTTCTTACTTCATTTTGAGTAATCTTTCTCCAAAACAACATTCCCATGTGCCTTATGATTAAAACCCCTAATTTTTATATAAGAAAATGTATTTTATTGTCAAAATATATATAATTTTAATAGAATAAATACAAAGATTTCAGGATAATGATAATTGAGCATGGCAAACTACATTTATTTTGAATTAATTAGTAGAGTGGCACTCTGCTAAACAATTTCCAAATATTACCTTATTTTATCCTCATAAGAGCAATGGCAAATGATTTTCAAAGCCAGATTGCCTGACTTCAGAGCCTAAGTTCTAAATAAGTACACTACTGCTTTGCTGTGGCAGTTTTCTGTATGTAATATCAGCCTTTATTTGTTAAGCATCCATTATGCGTCAGACATTCCGTTAAGGGCTTTATGTACGTGAGCTCACTTGATCCTCATAGCTAGATAGGTATATATCATTATCCCTATTTATTAGATACCCTCTTTGGGGAATCGTATTTATTGGAAATTTAAAATTGATGATTACAAATAGAGGAAGTCACTAATACATAGATATGATTACATTTTCTAAGCAGGGGCTTATCTTAGGAAGAAATGCAAGCCTACCCTTCCATTGTTATAGTTTTCAGATTTTCTAGCAACAATGCATATGCTTACAAAATACTGTAAAAACCATAATTTTGAATGCAGTTTGCACATGGAAGCACAGGATATTAAGTCCGGAGAACAGGATCAGGTGCCTGTCTTTGGGCAACTCCTATCTTAGGGAATGTATGTTAGATGATCCTAAGCCTTGCCAGACTTAGCCGTTAGCAAGGTGCTTCCCTTGCTAGAATGGCTTAGAAACGCTAACCAGAAGCCCAAACCTCAACGTGCTCTAGACTCATGACTATTCGAATGAAATTTCATTCTTTATCTCTCGGCTTTCTCCCCATTTTGGATTAGCCCTGCCCTTTCTCATCGTAATCTTCCCATGTTTCCGATAACTATAATTTTAATAAGAATTCTTTTAAGGTTCACCTTTTACTTTCAAAATTTACTCTATGCCTGCTGCATTCACTTGGAGAGACACTTCTGCCTTCGCTTTGGACGATCATTCTTAAATCTGGCTTGTAGAGTAACCAGTAATTGGATCAATCACTATTTATCACTCTTCTAAAAACAATTGTCACCTATTAAAATGCCTTTCTCTCCCATGTTGCCTTAATTTGTTTAGCCATTATAGTCTGGAAATAATAGCAAGATGCTTATGCATGCAACCATCTTCTGTCATTTTTGACCACCTCAACTTTCACTTTTTTACTTAAATAATAAATAATAGGTTATTCTCTCCCACAAGACCAGACATCCACTGAGAGGTGGTCTAACATTGTATAAAATAACTAAAATCTTTCTAATCAGTTTGTGCTGGTGCTATTCTTGCTAGATTTCTGGACTTTTAATTTCTTCCTTGGCATTCAGGCTTTGCATATAGTATCTTTCCCGTATACTCTGTGTGATCCTGCTCACTGGAAGCTAGTAATTATATATGAATAATGGTTTCCACACAATATCTAAGGCACTTACCCCACTCACACGCACAGATGAAGCAAAGGTACAATTAAATCCAAATCATTTGCCAAAAAGATATAGTTTAAGATTCACCATTTTTATATAAAACTTTCATATTAGGATAAGACGAATTCCATGATATACACCCACCATTCAGTTTCATCCTCAACTTAGGACCTCTGTCTAATTATTTTGGGAGAAATTTCCTGTCACTTTCTTTGTACCTTTCCCAGATGCAGACTGATGAGAAAATCCCAAATTCCTTTCAGTCATTTCCTAAATAGTGTTTAGTGATAAATTAAAATGTAACCGGTTAATATTAAAAATGTATTGGTTAATGTGAAATGGTTTTCCATTGCCATCTTCTACCACTTTCTTGGAAGGGGAGAGCACAGGCTTTCTTTGCAATTGGAAACAGTGCTTCTGTTTTGAGATGAGCTGAAACAGTCAACATTCATTCGAGCCGTGACCTCCATGGCTTTGAACATTTTTTAGCAACTTTCCACTCAGAATGTGCCTTATTTTTAGCCAAGCACACACGTTACCATTTTCAATTGCCTTTGATCATTTTGATTGATATTTTTCTAGATCTTTTCCTTAAACTTTTTTTTTTCATATTTACAGGCTTCTGGACTTTTTGAATTCTGAAACCAAAAGAAGAATAAGTCGAAGAAATTTTACTTTGGTATGTAGAAGCGTTCCAATTTGTTTGGTCTAAAAGTTATCCATGGACTTTTCTTCAGAGTGCTCTGTTTCATTCGATGTAGTTAAAGGTTGATTTCAGGTAATTTCTGAGATGTGATGATTTGGAAAATGTAGCACATAAAAATGAGGAACTTACGCGTTAATGGCTTTACTTTCAAAATGCCTATGTATCTTTCTGGCATGAATTTGACTTGGCTCATCACAGCTCTGATATCCTCTGCACATTGAGGTGTTGTCGTTACTACTTAATATTTGGTCTGGAAAAAATGAATCCTGTTGCTAAAGATTTTGTTGGTGGGTAGTCCACAGCAGAACGATTGCTACGGGAGGTGCTGGCTGTGTAAGTCATGAGCTTTGATAATTTCAGTGCTTAATGTACAGCTGCTGGTCTTGGTAAAGTACCACATGATGGCTCATAGTTGCATTCCTAGTTGAAACTCAGCACAACTCTGGATTCTGATTGTTCTACAAATGAATGAGATACAATAGTAAGGAAATCCACAGAATAGTAAAATAGAATGTTGTTTGTTGGAATTCATTTCTGTGGCTGTAGGTAGAAGACGATATGGCAAATTCACTCACCAGAAAATTGTACTATGAGTTTTTTGTTTTTGTTTTTGTTTTACATAAGAGAAAAGAAGGTAAAAAAAAGAGAAGAGTTTGAATGTCAAGTTTTGTTGGACGCAGAACCAAGTTACCATTTGCTGTTCCGGAGCCTCTTTGCTGTCCCCATAGGAAGAAAGTGTTCACAAAATGCTTTTAATCCTAGGAGCATTCCGTTGTCTAGCAAAAACATCTTTCTCACTGGCCTGAAATATACAAGGCATATTTTTGTATGGCCATAGAAATATACTTTTCAATGCTCTGATTTGAAAATGGCGACATTGTTAAAAAAGAGCAGGGACTTGGGTACAGTGGTGAATGCATGAGACGTTCATTTTGATGAAGTGTTGAGTAGACTAGATGCTTGGTATCAAATGCCTTGATAAAATATTTTGGAAATGAGAGCTGGTTTCCATTAAAAAAAAAAATAAGCCCCTCTGGAGGGATTGACTTATGACTTTCACCATTTTGTTTTCATTTACTTCAAGTAGTTTTTAAAATTAAGTATACCTATGAGCACGAGCCAGGCTTGGACTATAGATTTTCAGAAGTCGATGTGCTTGACCCTAGATATTTGATCCCTGTTGGTGATTCTTGGTCATCTGGTGTTGTGATCCTCGTTAGCAGAACCGCATCTGCATAGATAGCACTTTGATGCACATCAGAGCCCAAAACACTTGAATTTTCCAACAACGAGAACATCGGGTGTTTCTCTTGGTGTGTGCTAATGGTATGGACTGATTTTGCAGAATCACTGAAGCAAGCTGTAAATGATGTATGAAATGAAAAACTCCTGTCCAGTGCACAGAGCGAATATATACAGTTCTGTGTAATCACTGTGGTGCTGGGCTATTTGTTTTAATATTTCCTTCAGACATATAGCAGTTTTTTTGGTGAGTCATATCCAGACACTTGCCATTGGCACATAGCTCAGGTTTCTGTTACATATATTTTAAATAAATTTCAATGTTGTATAAGTGTACTTGAATTAATGCAATACCAGATTTTAGAAGACTTGACCTTTATAAAATAGTATTTTTATGAAAACAATATCAACATTTTTGTTCTGAAAAATTTGGAAAATACTGAAGAGCCTAAGTAGCAAAATTGGAAATCATTTTATGCCATTATGGAGAAATAGCCATTGTTTACATTTTGTATATATTCTTTAAGGTATTTTTACCCACTGTAATTAGAATATACTCTTTGAAAAAATTATCCGATGCACTTCTTTTACACTTTCATTCCCAATAACCAATAGGGCTTGAACATCTCCCAATGGTCTTCTACAGTGTGACTTTTACTCACTGCATGCTGTTCACACATGCGTGTAACACAGAAAAGTTTTACTCATTCCTGTTATCGAAAAATGAACATTTAGTTTTTTTCTGATTTTGCTAATATAAATAATTTCCTGTATCACTACTGTAATGTTTATGTGATTTCAGTAATTTTGGTGTATATTTGGTAATGCCAAACTTGTCTCTGTTCTTCTCTTACAAAATTTTCTTTACTTTTGCATTTGTTTTTCCCTGTTGGGTTTTGACAATGACTGGATTATATTTATAAATTATTGGAGTAGACTGGTATCTGTGTAATATTGAGTCATTCCATTGGAGGACATAGAGTGTCTCTATTTATGGGTAAATTTTCTAACATGAATTCATCCTTATGTACCAGAAATAAACCTCCCTAAGTCACAAGAGTATTTTATTTAGGGTTTCTGCATATTATATACTAGTATAATTATTTTTTTGTGCCATCTTTGTTTAGGAGGAGAAGTTGTTTGAAGCCTCTAATTTTCTTTCAAGATTAATTGACCTGTTCAGGTTGTTTTCTATTTCTATTTGAATCAAGTTTGATGATTTATATTTTCCTGTTGAAATATCAGTTCATTTAAATTTATTTTTATAGATGCAAACAAAATATTGTTATAGTTAAAATAATTCTAGAAATCTATTGTTAAATCACTTTTCTTATTCTTAATATATCTTTTTTTGTGATTAGCTATGCCAAAGGTAGTGTGGAAGAGCCAGGTCTAAAGTTTACTATTTCCAGTTGTTCTGTTTTCCTACTAGCTTTTAAAGTTGCATGCTTAGTTAATTCATTTTTTGTTGTTGTTGTTGTTTATTAATAAAAATATTTAAAACTATGAACTTTGCTATGATTTTTAGCTTAGCTGCATCATATAACTTTTGCTGTTATATTCTTACTTTATCCATTGTTTAATAACCTAAAGTGATATTCTGATAGCCTCTAAGATCCAAAATTCTTTTATAAGAGTAATTTTAAATTTTAAAGTGGTTGATTTTATGACATCATGTTATTATTAATTTACAGTTTTATTTAATTGCCTCCTAAAATATACCTGTGATGATTTTTACTTAAATTTTGTTGACATATTTTGGGGATAGTATGTATAAACATCTTTGGAAAAGAATCCATGGTCACTGGAAATGAAGGCTATTTTCCTTAAGATAGAGAATTAACTAATTATAAAGCTCCACTGTATCCTTTGGTCTTCTTTGACCAACTGTGAGGAATGTTAAAGTCCTTTATGAAGTTGGTCTTACTATTCTTTAACTTTTACTTCTAGAGATATTCTCATTCTGAGAGTCAGTGTTGCGTTATTTGACACATGAATATTGCATATTTGTGTTGAATTGTATTCCCTTAATATAAAGTCTGTCTTTGCCCACTTCTTGTGTTTTGCCTTGCATTTTTATTTCTCTAATACTAATATTAAAACTCTTTTTTTTATTTGTATCTCTTTAGTGTATGTTCACTCGTCTTTTTACTCATCCTTTCTGTACTTGTTTGTCTTAGGTGTATTTCTTCTAATTGATACATAATTGGATTTGGTGTTGTGACTCAGTCTTCTAGTCTTTGTCTTCTCACAGGGAAATTTAAGCCATTTACGTACATTGTTATAAATAAAATATTAGCCTTATTGCTTTCTTTATATTTTCTTTTTGATTCTCTGGGTGTCTTTTATTATTTTTCGTTCTCTGTCTTTGGGCATATAGACTGTATGGTTCTTTGTTAGTATTTTATGAAGTATATGTTGGTATTCAATTTTTTTGGATCTAATTTCTCAAAACCATTATTTAATCTCTATATCTCCAACTGTCAAATTTAAGGGGAAAAAAGTCATTATGTCTTTTATTTAAATGGAAGAGTTTAGCATACTTCTCATCTCCCCCACCCTGCAACATACATTCCATTGCTCTCTCCAGCCCTGTATCTTGGTCTTTGTTTATAACCTCAGGTTTTAGAAAAAGTGTTATTTAATAAAAATCATTAGTCTTAATGCATATGTTTATTTTTCAAAAATAATTTATAGTCAAAAATAATAGAAAACAGTTTATAATTTCTACTTAGCTTTTAAAATTTTTGCTATAATTAGTTATTGTTATGTTTAATTGGTTTCACTGTTCTCGATATGATTCTTATACTTTTTCCTTATTATTTTTGAGTTCTTAGTTATTTTTAAATCTCTTAGTGAGTTTGAGTATGCCTTTAGATAATTTTTCAAGAAAGATGGATGGTTGGTACGTTTTCTGAGTTCACACATTTGTGTGGATTTTTTAAATTCTTTGTTTAGATGTGCAATTCTTGAGTTGTACCATTTCCCCTCAAAATTTTGTAATTTTGTTGTATTAATTTTCATATCTGAGGCAAGGCTGATTTTTTTTTAGATAATTGAAGGCTGTGTCAGTGTGTGTGCATATGTGCGTGCGTGTATGTGTATTGTTTTTTTCTATGCCTAGATATTTGTGAGACTTTATTTTTGTGTAACTCAGAATTTTTGGCCAGATCCAGGTATGAGTTTGCCTTGATAATGGTCATTCTTTTTATCTGTTACATGGAACTTTTTCAGTTGATAAGTATTTTCATCTGTTTTAGCTTAAGTTATTCACTTGGTTCCATTTATCCTATTCTTCTTTTCAGGAACCGCAGTAATCTAAGATGCTAAAACAATAAGTTCTATAAAGGCAGTGAAACTGATAGGGAAATCCTATCAGTTTCATTCACAGCACTTTACTGGGGTATATAGATACAGAGCCCAACACATTCTAGAACCTCAGTAAATCCATTTGTAATGGATAGATGAATGAACAAATGAATGAATGAATGTAAGATAAACCCCATGTCTGATTTTATATGTGTCTTTCTTCACTGATAATTTTTATCTTACATTTTTTTCTTCTATTTAGGGAGGTTTTGGGAAATGAGCTCTCTAATTAACCATAAAACTGAAGGCTAAGATACTGCTTAGAGGGTACTTGGGCTGTGACTCTGCTTCCCTGGTCCCCCTCCCATGCCTTGTGAGAATATGGCTTTAATACTGTCTTTGCTTGAGAACCAGGAAAGTCTCACAAGTCTGAAACATTCCCTCTTAACATATAACTAGTTCAAATTCTTTGCAAGGAATGCTTACTTTCAAGTATAAGGAGGAGGTGTTGGGGCTGGAACTGAGCTCAGACCCAAAGCTTCCTCTTGGGCAGAGTATCACTGACAGCTGGCTTGCTTCTGTGTCCATGAGCTTTACTGCATTACAAACCACCAAATGTAGCAGCTTATAACAGCAATCATTTATTAGGACATGCATGGTGCTGTAGGCCAGTAATTTGGGCTGGGTTCAGCTGGGCAGTTCTTCTGTAAGTCTCACATGTGACATATGTGTCATTCCTGTGGTTATAGTCAGCTGAGAAGTCAACTGGGGCTGTTTTTTTCCTGATAGCCTCCTGCACATGTCTGGTGTTGGAGCCACATATCTGAGGGTTTCTAAAGCAGCAAGATAGGGCAAATGTCAACATATAAGCACTTTTCGAGACTGATTTAGTCACTTGGCTTAGATTCCATTAGTTAAAGGAAGTCACCTGACCAACCCAGATTCAAGAGGTAGAGAAAGAGACTCTAGGTCTTAATTGGAGAAACTGTCATGTCCTATTGCAAGGGCATGGATACAGCAATGGGGCAAATGTGAGGCCATCTTTACAATTCACTGCATTCCCACTAGGGACTCTGAAAACCAAAGGAATTCATGCTGAGTGTTGTCTATTCTTGACTGTGTTGCCCTCTTGGCCAATTAAATTGAAACTTAATCTAAGCTTACACAGTGTGTTTGATCTCTTCCAATTGATTTTTAGTCTTCCTGAAATGTCACACTGTGCACTTTCTACCTTAGCATTCTGTATTTACTGCCTTTAATGTGGATTTGCATTCTGCCCATGCATTTTTGGTTGTGAACAGCCTCTCTTCTCATTCATCTTTCTTTTTTCATTCTGTTACTTTTTTGTATTCTATTTTTTTATAATTTTCTATGCCTTTTATAGTGACGTCTATTTTACACTTTTCTGTATATGAAAACTATTTAAGAATATTCATCACATGCTTATTTTGTGCAAAGCACTGCTTTCATACTAGAAACACAATAGCAAACAAGATTTGGCCCCTTCCTTCGAGGAATTAGAGTTGAGTACATTTTCTGATTTCTTCAAGTATATTTTCAGAGGCAATGATCTGTCTCTGAGTTTGGGAGATGTTTTTGTTTCCTTTTTGTGTAGTAGCCAATCACAGATGCTTTGTTTGGTGTTCGTCACCTGACTTAGGGGTTTGCTCTCATACCTGTCTCCTTGTGTGGTGGTCAGATTTCCTTCCTGGATCTGTATCTGGAGGGTGTATTGATGTGCATACGTTCTAGATCAATTCCTAGTTTTCATGGAGCTTCACTGCCCCTATAGTCTAAATCTCCATTCAGGTGGAATACATAACAAACTCAGGTTCCAGCCTGCCCTGCTGTTATCCCTGTTCTGCCCCAAGTCCAGCTCAGCACTTCAATTTTGAGGCTCTTTTCCAGGCAAATGCCATACCCTCTTCCTCCTTTAATTTTTCTAAGGTTGGTGTTTCTGAATGGATGGCAGGTAACTCAGTAGATATATTTTTGTGGAAAAATAGTCTAGTTTCTCATGAAATAGTTCTTGCCTAATCTTGAGACAGCTGCTAGCTTTTTTATCTCGGGTGGCAGACTGTGAGAGCCCAAGGAATCTCTTACTTCTTGGTGATAGCCTGGGAGGGGGAAGAGAATGAGGTTCCTTTAACAGCAGGATAAATATAAGGCCTTTTCCTATCTTCTCTCTGTGTGTGATTTTATGATTTTGGGGGGACTATTTTTATTAGTAATATTTCATACATATGAAACAAACTATGTCATATATATGTAGGTTACACAGCATAATAATGAAATGAATACCCATAACTTACGACCCAGCTTAAAAGTAGGAAAATTAGCGGGACAGTGGCCTCTACCCGTGTGCCCCTTCCCTATTCTTATCTTGATATCCTCCTCCCCACTTAGAGGGGACCACTATTTTGAATACTGTGTGTTCACTGTTCCCTTGCCTTTTGAAAAACAGTTTTATTTAATATATTAATTTGAACTAAACAATATGTTGTTTAGATCTTTCTAATTTTTGAGTATTATAAAAACTGTGTCACACCAAATGTAGACTGATGGGAGTGACAAATTTTCACTCAATATGATGTTTCCAAGATCCATTTATGTTGTTGCAAGTAATTGTATTTCATTCATTTCCACTGCTGTATAATAGGCCTTTGAGTAAATGTATCATGTTTTTGTAATCTATCAATTAAATTTAAAACAATCTATCTAATAAAAATAATGTCGCTTTGAATATTTGGGTATAGTTCTCCCAGTTTTCATGTGTAAGAATTTCTTTTGGATATACAGATTCCTCATATTCATAAAAGTGTAAAATTATAAATGTATAAAAGTATAAGGTATAAAAAGCATATGCTCTTTCTTCTGATCCTTTTAATGTCCACAAAACCTTAGTGTTGATCCTATGTGCCTTCTCTTTTTATTATTCTCTCATCATGTGTTTTTCAATTTTATTATTCTTTCGAAAAATAATAACTTTTGATTTTTATGATCATTTTTTATGATGCTCAGTTTCTATATTACTAATTTCTGTTCTTTATTATTTGATGTTGGCTCTGAGTTTGGAAGGGTAGGTACAACTTGGCCAATATAAGGCCCAAAAATGCTTAAATATTTGTCAGACATGAAATGTTCTTGAGAGCATTCATCAGAATATAGGAAATGCTGTTGTAATGGCGTTTTTGAAGTAGTTAGTCCTATTGGGTCCCCTGGAGTTCAGAAATGGTAACACGGAAGTCTTCAAATCTTCAGATCATTTGATTTCATTTAAGGGTTAATATTGGTGATATATTTTGGTTTTGTATATCTTGCCTTGTTCCCAGAACGATCTTGTTCCTTTCTCTTTTCCTGGTTGTTGATGAAATCTGATTCTGAGATGGGAATATGCTTCCTAGGGGTGTCAGAGTAAAGATTATATAATAGATGGTGTTTTTCTAATTGATTTGATCTGCTATCTGAATCTGTCTTATATACACTACTCTGTCCTTAAACTATCATTGATTTTTATTTGCTTTGGTTACCTGTGTTTCCTTTTATGTATTTTTTTTCCCCTCAGATCTGTCCCTCATTCTTGGGTAGTGTCAATTTTCTTTGCCTGGTATTTCTGTTTTTGAAAAAAAAAAGCAGAAAGATGACACTCTTCAATGGGCCATTTAGCTGAAGATTGGCAAGTGAGACATGCTTTTTCTATATGTATAATGAGAGAGATGTATATAGGTTAATGTATGTATTTATAGAGAGGAATATTACAGCTATTTTATGATATTTAAAACTAAATGCCACAGTTGTATTTTTTCCTAAGTAAGTCTAAACTCCCCTTCAAGGAAAGCCAGGAAAAGTAGTAATTTGGAACTAGTTGGCTTAACTTAAAAAGCTCCCCTGTGACATCGGAGTGTGTTTCATGCAATTGCTTTCTTAGACTTCCTCATTAAAATATTGACTACTCCTTTTCTTCAGTAAATGCTAATCCCAGCTCCCATGTACATGTATTTACATTTCACTGCAGGCACCCTGCCAGGTTAGAAATAAAACCAATTTGTTAATATCACTATTTCCTTTTCAGCAAAGAAAATATGCATTAAATTAAAGGTTTTCTAAAAATAATCAGAAAAGGCTCCTGTTGGTACCAACCATGTATTTGTCTCTCTGGCTGAGGTGGTGATGGTTCATCTTTATCTGCCTGTGTTTCTCTGCTCATCTCAGCTCCGGCCGTCTCTTTGCAGAGCTCTGGATTCTCGAAGGCCACTGATGCTGGCTTTGCTCCGCTTTCCTCCCTGTTTCCGTTGCTGTTCTTTCGCTGGTCCCTGCCAGCACCCATCCAAGGATGCAAATCACTATTTTTAAAAGAATGTGAGCAAATGTGGTTAATCCTGGTCAATAACACGCTGCTGTGCTGGAGTATTCTCCCCAGAAGTCTTGGAAATCTGCGAACTGCAAAAGGGTTCCCATTTGATTTATGATTCATAAGTGGATCAGTGTTATTAAAATCCACAGGAGTCCTTTGTTCGTGTAGTCATTGTGAGGACCACCCATCATGCACTTCCATACACTGTTTTGAAAAAGAACATCCTCCTGGAGCCCATAGCTGTTTCTTAAATAATCCTTCTGGAGAAACCAACTAATTATGCAACTGAACATTAAGTCATATTAGTAACTGTAGAATGTTTGTGCACATCGGGTTATCTAAACTTGCAAACTTCAAGTGAATTTTCAATAAAAGCTAACCTTATTAGCATACTTTGCCTGGCTGGATGCTACTCTTTACTTTGTTGAATATTTCATTTATAAAATGGATTGATTGATATTTACCATTATTCCCATAATCCTTAAGGAAAAAAGAGTCATTTGCAAATGTCACAGTATAGTTTGGTGCTGGGAGAAGTAAAATCTAGCATCTAAAAATTTGGTGCATATGTTTTGTTAGTTTTTCCTGTTTTTACTCCTTATTTCATTACGTTTTCCCTATTGTTTTTTCCTGCAGTCAAATAATGGTCTTTGCTCTACCAAGGTTAGAAGACCAAGGTCTTACTGATAATCTTCATGCTACATTTCTACTTTTGGGAAAACGCTAAAGACAAAAAGATTAAGCTTAAAGTAGTCGATTGATGACTTTTCTTCTAATTTTGTCTTAACTGGATTTCAGATTTGGAGCTCTGAGTGTTTTACTGCAAATAATCCATATTGGCCAACAAAGTTAGGAACTGCTTCCCTCCTGAGCCATTTCGTCTTTTATAATTTTATCCCATTTTACTCCTATTCCTTGTGAATGGAGGTGTTGGCCTCTCTCTTGCATCATTATTTTCAGATTTTAGATTGGCGTGGTATCATACACTTTCTAAATTCTGTAAAAACTTGGGCTGGATGCAAACCAACAATGTAAAGATCTTTCTGCTGTAGTCTTTGGTCCTGGAAGTGGTCAGCATTGAGATACTTCTCAGGAAAACATATTTAGCAGTGCAGTGTTGGTCTGCGAGGGAAACCACCTTATCCAGCTGGTAAGCAATTTATGCCCTGAAGCATGAAGATTTCATAGCCCTTGTAATTTTATCCTTCCTGGTGTCGCTGCAGGTGCTATTTTTATTCATATAAATGTTTAATCTTCGATAAAACTTATTAAGCTGTTGGCCTCAATCATATTTTTTGGCAGTGAGTTCCCTAGGTTAAAGGGACACAGTCAAGTACAACAGCTTAGCTCAAGATCAGTTTTAAATAAAGGTATAAAAGGTGATTTTCTGAGATTTAAAAAAAATACCCCAGCAAAGCTGTTTGGGGTTTGACTAGGACATTTCCCAATAATGCTGCCACGGTCTCAGTAGCACTGAGCTGGCATCTGAGAGACCAGGAAACAAGCTTAGTTGAAACTAAAGTGAAAGCAGTTTCTGTACATCCTAGAGCTAGTGAAAAGAAAAAGCAGGCAAAGCCTCTATAAAGAGTGTTCTTCACTTTCATGGCCTCCAGGTCTTCATGTTCAGATTTTTGCATGACTTTTAATTCACAGAAATAGTTCTGCCTATTAGATTTTCCTAACCCTTTTCAGGTGGTTGGCTTCTTTTCATGGATACCCCTTTTTATCTTAAAAACTTACAAGCTTCCCTGAGTCTTTTGGTCACACAGGAGCACCAGCCAGGAATATATGGTGGTGTGTTCTACTTCCCTTTAGAAGGTCATCTAGAGATCACGTGGGAGTTTCTCCAGTTGAATTCAGTTAAACCAGATCCACATTAGAAAATACAAAGATCAGCTGGGCATGGTGGCTCACGCCTGTAATCCCAGCACTTTGGGAGGCCAAGGCGGGTGGATTACCTGAGGTCAGGAGTTTGAGACAAGCCTGGCCAACATGGTGAAACCCCATCTCTACTAAAAATACAAAAATTAGCAGGGCGTAGTGGCACATGCCTGTAATCCCAGCTACATGCAAGGCTGAGACAGGAGAATTGCTTGAGCCCGGGAGGCAGTGGTTGCAGTGAGCCCAGATCGCACCACTGCACTCCAGCCTGGCCGACAGAGCTTAAAAAAAAATAGAAAATAGAAAAGAAAAAAAATAATAAATAGAAAAAAAAATAGAAAAGAAAAAGAAAGAAACAAAAGAAAATACAAAGATCACACTGTCTTCCACAATGGTTGAACTAATTTATACTCCACCAACAGTTTAAAAGTATTCCTATTTCTCCATATCCTCTCCAGCATCTGTTGTTTCCTGACTTTTTAATAATTGCCATTCTAACTGGCATGAGATGTGGTTTTGATTTACATTTCTCTAACGACCAGTGATGATGAGCTTTTCTTCATATGTTTGTTGGCTGCATAAGCGTCTTCTTTTGAGAAGTGTCTGTTCATATCCTTTGCCCACTTTTTGATGGGGTTGTTTTTTTCTTGTAAATTTGTTTAAGTTCTTTGTAGATGCTGGATATTAGCCCTTTGTCAGATGGATAGATTGCAAAAAAAAAAAAAAGGATGAGTTTATGTCCTTTGGAGGGACATGGATGATGCTGGAAACCATCATTCTCAGCAAACTAACACAAGAACAGAAAACCAAACACCACATGTTCTCACTTATAAGTGGCATTTGAGCAATGAGAACACATAGACACAGGGAGGGGAATATCACACGCTGGGGTCTGTCAGTGGGTGGGGGGCTAGGTGAGGGATAGCATTAGGAGAAATACCTAATGTCGATGATGGGTTGATGGGTGCAACCAACCACCATGGCCCATGTATACCTATGTAACAAACCTGCACGTTCTGCACATGTATCCCAGAACTTAAAGTATAATTAAAAAAAAAAAGAAAATACAAAGATCAGCAGCTTGAGGTATGTGCATTTACTGTCTAGGTAGACATGAATGAACTCTAGAGTTGTACATTTCTTTGTCTTCCTGGATACTTACAATGGCTAGTACATTTCCCTTTCTCTTGACCATGATAGACACTTGTGCCGAAAAATAGTCTGGCACACATAGATCTGCACTGGCTTAGAGGGTGGTCCAGATGAGTCCCTTCTCTTGGCAAGCTTCGTAGAGGTGACTTATCATTTTCAAGAAGGAAACATGAATATGTTAATATGTGTTATAAATAGAACACAAGCCATTGCATATGTAATGAAGCTTTAAATGAGGAATTGTAAGTGCTGTAGGAATTCAAAGAAATTGCTAATTGGCCAGAATGCTCAAGAGAAGGTGGCACTTGAACTGGTTCTTCAGGAAACCTGCGATTTGGACAAGGGAAGTGGAAGTGAGGGAAGATGAGATGGTGCAAGTCAAGCAAGGCTACCGTCCAATAATGGCAAAACTTCAGTGCAGTAGGTTTTGTGGCTTCTCCAGTAAGTTCCCACCTTAATCTCAAAATGAGATTATGTGTTGGTTCAGTCTATATTATGTGCAACTAAATTTAGTGCTAAACTTTTACTGATTGTTATCCTTCCTGTTGGTATAGTTCTTTTAAATGTTCTCATAGCTCCAAATATTAGGGACCAGTATCTTCTTGAGCATTTTTAACTCATTCTTACTTAGCAGGTCTTTATCTTGTGGCAAATAAGCAACTAAACTGTCATACATGCTGGTGGAATACAAAATGGTACAACCACTTTGGAAAAACAGTTTAGTAGTTCTTAAAAATAAACTGAAACATATATGTATCATTTGATCCAGCCAACCTACTCCTAGGGATTTTCCCAAGAGAAATAAAAACTTATGTTCACACAAAAGCGTATGTTAACATTTACAGTGGCTTTACTCATAATCGCCAAAACCTGGAAACCGTCCAGGTGTCCTTCAACTAGTGAATGGATAAATAGTTGCATATCCAGCTGGGTGTGGTGGCTCACGCCTGTAATCACAGCCCTTTGGGAGGCTGAGGCGGGTGGATCACAAGGTCAAGAGTTCGAGACCAGTCTGGGCAACATGGCAAAATCCCATCTCTACTAAAAATACAAAAATTAGCCGGGCGTGGTGGCGGGCACCTGTAATCCCAGCTACTTGGGAGGCTGAGGCAGGAGAATCGCTTGAACCCGAGAGGTGGAGGTTGTAGTGAGCCGAGATGGTGCCACTGCACTCTAGCCTGGGTGACGGAGTGAGACTCCCGTCTCAAAAACAAATAAATAAATAAGTTGTATATCTGTACAATGGAATATTACTCAGCAATAACAAGAATGAACTACTGATAAACTCAATAACGTGGATGAATCCCATAGGCATTGTGTTAAGTGAAAGAAGCCAGACTCAAACATCTCCATGCTGCAGATTCCATTTCATTGCATTCTGGAAAAAGCAAAACCAGGTAAAGAGAACAGATCAGTCGTTGCTAAGGGCAGGACAGGGCAGATGGATTGACTTGAGAGTACAAGGGGATTTGGGAGGAGTGATGGAACTTTTCAGTATCTCGGTTGTAGTGGTGGTGGCATGACTGTGCATTTGACAAAATTCATACACCCGTACACTAAAAAGAGTGAATTTTATTTCATGTAAATTATACTTCAGCAAGTGTGACTATAAAGAGAAGGGTCCAGCAGTCTGAGATTCACAGATCTGACGTGATGTCCTCACATTTCCTGTAGTAGAAACTTCAAGGCTTCATATGGGAGCATTTTCTGTCTCAGGAGGTTTTGTTCAGAAACTTTCCATCATCCCTTCAAGGAATCTTTAAAACTCCCTTAGTATTTTTGTGGAGATGGCCAAAGACCTTATATTTGATAATAAGAGCTCTCTGAAACACAAACATTTTGTATATGAAAAAAGCAGCACAATTTTAGAAGGTTTAATTATTTCATATTGGAACAGGTAACTCTTTTGAGACATGAATATGACATGATGTGATCCCATGTAACTTCTCTGCTATGTGAGTGATGGATCTACTGGCTTTATAGGACATGGAGATTTAAATCCTTTAAACCAATCTGTATGTCCATTTTTCCATATCCGATCAAACTCTCCAGCCCACAAACTGCCACTCAGGTCGCTTAAAAGTTATTGAAGAAAAGGCAGCTGGGTGCGGTGGCTCACGCCTGTAACCCCAGCACTTTGGGAGGCTGAGGTGGGTGGATCGCAAGGTCAGGAGATCGAGACCATACTGGCTAACACGGTGAAATCCTGTCTCTACTAAAAATACAAAAAAATTAGCCGGGCGTGGTGGTGGTCTCCTGTAGTCCCAGTTACTCATGAAGTTGAGGCAGAAGAATGGCATGAACCCGGGAGGCAGACCTTGCAGTGAGCCTGGGCGACAGAGTGAGACTCCACCTGGGTGACAGAGCAAGACTCTGCCTTAAAAAAAAAAAAAAAAAAAAAAAAAAGTTATTGAAGAAAAGTCACAAAACTGGTCATGTGGTACAGTAAAAAATCATTTGGTCCACAGTGATGCCAAATCATCTCTCTATTTATGTGGGGTTTTAAAATTTATTTGTATCTCATCTGCTTTTAAAATGAATTATCTTAGTAAAGCAGATATCCTGGAATTTGTTCATTTTCTTAGGTCACAATCCCACTGCCATATCCTTCACTTTGGTGGAGCAATCTCTGTATCACCCTGGGCAAATCACTGCCCTCTTCCTGGGTCTCAGCATCCTCTTCTTAAATGTACAATGGTCAGGCCAGGCATGGTGGCTCATGCCTGTAATCCCAACACTTTGGGAGGCCGAGGTGGGTGTATCACTTGAGGTCAGGAGTTCGAGGCCAGCCTGGCCAACATGGTGGAACCCCGTCTCTACTAAAAATACAAAAATTAGCTGGGCATGGTGGCTGGAGCCTGTAATCCCAGCTACTCGGGAGGCTGAGGCAGGATAATTACTTGGACCTGGGAGGTGGAGGTTGCAATGAGCCAGGATGGCACCAGTGCACTCCAGCCTGCGCAACAGAGCGAGACTCTGTCTCACCAAAAAAAAAAAAAAAAGTGCAATGATGATCAGAAAGATCATCTCTTCAATGGTCCCCAAGCACCTGTTATGACCACTTTCATTGCATTTGTCACACTATATTTAATTACTTACTTTTGTATTCATCCTCTACATTAGACTGTAAACTCCGTGAGAGCAGGGACAATAGTGCTCTTAATCACTCTGCACTCTTCAGCAGACAAGAGGCACTAACACAATATTTGTTAAATAAATGAATAAATACATCTGCCCTCTCTAATGGACCATGACTGTGCTGCTGACTATGTTTATCCCATTACATATTTTAAATGGAATAAAACTCCTATGGAAATGCATTAACTAAGTGTTAGCTGTGTGCAAAAAAATATTGGTATACGGAAAGGAAAAGTTATTGTCCTTTATAATTACTTTCCTCCGGGTGTATCTGAATGCTCTGTTAAAATTTCCTCTTTGGTACACCTTATACATGTCTGCCTTTTTTGGTCCTGCTGTAACCAGGTGGTAGCTCTTCCAAAGGAGTGTTTTTATAATTTGTGCTGTATCTCATCTTAATGGACATCTAAATGACACCGGGTATATTGCTGGTGATCTCTTGGTAGATGAATGAATATGGATGCTCCTTGTGATGGGAAGTCCAAAATGGCAAATACTATGGGATTTCAAATTTCAGTATATATTGGTGACTATTTGTGGATATGGATTGATTTTTTTAAATCACTTGCAATCACTGAATCAGGGACTAGCATTATAAAAAGCAAGTTTCTGAAAGAATATAAATATGTGGTTGTTACATAGAACGAATATATGTACTGCATATAGCACTATGCTGGATATGCATCCTTTAACCTTAAGCCATCTTCGATTTTTGTATTAGATATTGATGCAATTGTCAAAGCCCAGTTTCTCCATTTATGGTAGTTCTTTGTTTTTCATGGGAATTAGGTCAGCACTAAATAGTGCTAGCCCATCTCAAGATTTCCCTCTAGAAAACAAGGCTTCTAGATGTGCAGAAAAAGGTCAGCAATACTGTTTGGCAAAGTTACGTTGCCCTCCTAGGTGACAGCAGTGCCTGGTTCAGTTTGGAAAACTGACTTGCAAAAGAGTTTTCTTTTTCTCACACTTCTTTCCTTTTCTTTTTTAAAAATGACATTCCCTTCCCAGAGTAAAATTATTTTATATTCAGTTCTCTTTGAAAACAATTTGTCTATCTAGAGAAAAGTCTGAAGTTACTCTGCTGCATCTCTAAATGGGTGGTGTTCCCCAAAGTTCCTCTGAGCTCGATGGCCTGCTGAGGCTTTGAGTAGGTTGTAAATGTGTCAGTGCATGAGACTGAGGTGGGGGTGGTTACAGAACATAGAGGTTAATTGCTCCAATGAGAAAGAAATACCTGCCATATCCTAAAGCCAGTCCATTTCCCTCTCAGAGATAGTGGATTCTTAGCACTACCCATCTTGGTTTTGTTTTAATATCTACTATGACAGTTTTACTCTGATTTTCATGGCTTACGCTTCCCCAGATGCATTCATTCCTTAGTTAACAAACATTTATTCAGCATCTCCTTTGTCCCAGACACATTCTGGGTCTTAGGGATGCATTTATGTACAAAATGAGCCAAGGGCTTTCAAACCCGTGTTGCTTTCTGTTATCCTTGCTATCTTGGAAAGCCAGTAGGACTTCTATTTTTTATTCCCACTAGGAAATGAGAGCAAGTTTGTGGCTTTCCTTTGGATCATACAGGAAGTTGTTGGCAAAATTGGAACTGGAAACTAGATCTTTGTGCTCCACATGAACTGTGCCATTCATTGTACCAGGCAAGACCTGCAGGGTGGGGAGTGGAGGTGGTCAAGGTGCCCTTGGATGAATGCCTGTTGCATTTGTCTTTAGATCGTGACCTGCTAAAGGGCTACCTGACAGCTTGGCTTTGAGAAATGACCTGCCATTTCCAAACAGCATCAAGGAGAGTCAATTAGACAAAAAGATGGGAAGCAAGCTACTGAATTTCAGATGTTCTTGTTGTGTCTTTGGAAAGGAAAAATAGTCAAGGAGAAGGTATGAAATGCAAACAGTTTTCTCAAACTCATGTCTGTCAAGACGCTACAAATCAGAATGGCTTTCACTCCTCCCCCACTCAACCCAACCTCTTTTCTTTTTTATTTTATTTTATTTTTTTGGAAGGGAAGAGATGACCCTGCTGAGTTTTGGAGTATGCCTATAGCAGCTTTTAGCAAATCACGATCCCAGCAGTAGGTTCAGCTTTGAAGAAAGATTTACAAATCTCTCACTGCTTTATAAATATCTGCATTTATATCTTAAAGAAGAAGAAAAAAAAGCCCCTCACGGTTGGCCTCTGCCTCCTCACCCCTTCTCCCCCGCCCACTTCCCCTTTGCTTGCCTTCTTCTTTTAGAAATTAAAGATTGTGATGTGTGCAGGAAATGAGGGTCTATAAAATTGTGATAAAATGTTCTTGCAAAATTGCCTTTGAATTTTCGCCTTGAATTGCAGGCGAAATGAAATTGTTCGCTTTCAGCATTGCTTTGTTTTTGACCCCTTTTTGTGAATTCTCAAAGGAAAGAAACATATTCCCATCTTTTATAGTAATCAAATTTATCTGGCATCTCTCAGCCTCTTGAATTACTTATGCTAGAGTTTGCCAGCCTCAGGAAGGCTGTGGCTGGTTTATTTATTTATTGTTCTAAAGTGAGGGCTTTTGACATAAGGTTCCCACATCATCCTAGGGGGGTATGGAAGAAAAATCGAAAGTGTTTTCTGACATCCCATATGTATGTTATGTATATACGTGCATGTGTCTCGTCAAGGTAAGAGATATCCATCTAATGAGAAATAAGGGAGAAACGCTGTGACCGTGGGTCATGGATATTTAATATTTCTGCGTGAGAGAGAAAAAAAGAATCTCATGTCACAGATGTAAAATTCTGTGTATGAAGCCAAAAAAATCTGGGAAAAGGCTTTACACTTGCGCAAAAGTGCTAATAATTGGTTATAATGCTATTTAGTAACTAGTTGATTTAACAACTATTTCTGTAACAGGTGATTATATCACCTTGTAATATCAGGGTTTTAACATAACTCTCTTTCACATAATAATGCATGATCAGAGAGTGCAGCTCAGCTGTCACCTGCCACAGCATTTTATCAAGTACAGCCTGGCTTGGCAACCCTGAGTTCTTGTGTAACATGATTCTTTCTTAAAAAAAAAAAAAATTGGTCCGTTGTGTCTATCCTTAAAAAAAAAAACAAAAAAAAAAGAATGACCTACGTTATAGGTGCAAACCTGAAAAAATCAGATTTGAGTTTCTAAATGAAATCTTTCTTATGTTGAGAAAACAGAATAATATACAATCATCTGGGAGAATACATAAATAGTACTTTTTATTGTCTGTGACCTTAAACTCCATCTGGCTCAAGTTAAATTTTAGATAAGAGAAATTATTGTTTGAAACCATTACTAATACCTCACACATCCTTTTTTTTTTTTTTTTTTTTTCTGAGATGGAGTCTTGCTTTGTTGTCCAGGCTGGAGTGCAGAGGCAGGATCTCAACTCACTGCAACCTTCACCTCCCGGGTTCAAGTGATTCTCCTGCCTCAGCCTCACAAGTAGCTGGGATTACAAGCATGCACCACCACGCCTGACTAATTTTTTGTATTTTTTGTAGAGACAGGGTTTTGCCATGTTGGGCAGGATGGTCTCAAACTTCCAACCTCAACTGATCTGCCTGCCTCTGCCTCCCAAAGTGCTGGGATTATAGGCGTGAGCCAGCACACCCGGCCATACATCCTTTATTAAAAATCTGTGCTTGGAAAAGTATATGATGTATCCAACTGTTGAACTCCTTTCATGCTTATATGTTCCAAATTACAGTGAGTTAACTCTGCAAAGCTCTAAGCAGGTACTGTATTTTCTTTCTGTTTTTTGTTTGTTTTTTACAATTGAGGCAAAATGTGTTTACATCATAACCTACTCTTCATACTGATTTTTCAAAGGCTTCTTTGCTTCTGGTTTATTATTTATAAGTTTCTGAAATAGGAACTCACACAAGAAACCGGACCCTTTATTTCCTTTATTTTCAGATATTCTTATTTAAGTCAGTAAAATGTCCATAGAAGTTTAAGAAAATGTTAAATGAAGATCCTTAGGAACAGCTGTGTTATGTGCAGTTTAAGCATCTCTCATACAGTCTTCACTTTTGTGACACTGTGAGGATTTTAGAATCATTGGAGTAGATATGGGTATGCAATTCACCCTCTAACTGGTCAGTAGATACGTGTAGATCAGCATATTAGTAGAACAGATAGATCCTAGGATTAAAGCAAAAGGTCAGCAAGTTCTATGCAAGTGGGAAGGTTTGCATGAAGTTAACTAACAAAATTAGGTTTAGTTTAGAGATGTTTATTTTAACAATCATTATCTATGACTTAATTTCTGATTAACTTATGCAATAAAGGAATTAACTAACCCACCTGTCACATTTTGTTTTTGATGAAAAAGAGAAGAAAATGGGTTTTCAAGAAGATTTAAATGCAAAAGCACGTTTTCATTGTGTTTCTCGTGGGGCTACAGATTTCAAGAGGATGTAGTATCCCTTATGAGCCATATACAACAGATCAGCAACTTGCATTTCAGTTTCTCCTTTTTCCCTTTTAAAAAAATCTTTAATGTTTATATAAATGGTTTAATCCACAGAAATGCAGATTAACATGATTCTTAATTGTGGCAGAGAAGGAGCAGGAAGGATTGATATTTATTAGAAATAATTTTAAAAACCATTTTCTTCTGTGCCCTCAGAGAAGGCAGCACAAATATTTTTCTGGTTCATACACAGTAATTTAAATGTGTCCAGTTTTGCAGTTGTGTCTACAAATCAATTTAGTGTGGGTTTGTTCACATCTAAAGGAAAGTTAAATGCTGACTTTAAAAGTAGAGAAGCGTTCCATAGAAATCCTTTGCTTTTAAAAGGCACACGTTTGACTGTGATCCTTAAAAGCTTTTTATTGAACTATTTTCTTTTTCTGTTTGCAAAATTCACAAAGGGCTGTTCTGTAAGCCCTCCTTGTATTTTCCCTAGTTCGTCCTAAATTTTGCCTCGGGTGAATAAACAGCAACAGTGTTCAATTTCCCGTTCTGAATGTATATGCCAACGCAGAGGGCTTTTATTACAAGGAAAGAAATCAAATCATTGTCACCTAAAGTGCTAATTATGTCTGATGTATGTATGGCATACACTTAATGCAAAGAGAGCTTAGGAAATGATACACCTTCCGTAATTACAGTGACCAACCTCGCTCCATCAATCTAAAATTTTTTTTCAATCCATGTTCATTTGGGTGGCTCTATTTTTATTAAATGGCTTTGTTAAGCTTCAACAGACCCACTTGCTGCTAATAAGGAAACTTGAACGAAGTATTTTGGAACCGCATGCAATAAGAAGGCATGTACACGATATACGCCCAGATGAGTATACACAGATAAACCACAGAGAATGCAGTTATACTCTTCTCCCATTGGGGCACAGAACTGCAAATGGAGGATAGACTTTGCCATGCTTTGCTTGCTTAATGAATTTGTGTATCCAGTTAACTAAGAATACTGTATTTCTATTTCAGGGGAGCCTGAAAGCTCTCCATACAGCTGACAACAGAGCCTGTAGCCACCTCCCCAGGGACATTAAGACATTGTGAGTGCGCATGGTGCCCTGGGAATCTCTGAGGGTAACATTTAGGAATTACTTCTCTTCGTTTTTCTTCATGAGAGAAAGCTACCGTTCTTCTCAGAGCCAAATTGTACGTGGCTTCTAATCGAACCTGACACCCTTATATAAATGAAATAAAAGTAGGTTTTAATTAGAGTGAAGGATGCTGATGTTCTTTGAAGCTACTTCAGGGTCCTTCTCTTCCCTGAGTCCTCCAGCAGACAAGGTTGTTTTTGCACGTATGTACATTTTTGGCTGCAGAGATGTTGTGTGAATCCCTGCCTGTCATAAGGGCCAATTGGCCAAATGTGATGCTCGGTTTTGTCCTGTCACCCTTCTGTGTCTTTCTTCCATTACTTACATATCCATCCAAAGTGCATACTGCGGGAACCATATATATTTCGGTAGATTTTCTCAGCAAGAATGGAATCCAACCACATCTCCTTTCTATTGTTTTTCCTTTTTTGCCATCTCTCTCCATCTCTTTCTCCTTAATTCCTATCAACTCTTAATTTTTCCGTTTCTCTTTGGTTACCTATCTTAGAATCTGGGTGGATTTGGGGGGAAAGTTAGTGCCACCTGATTATAGTAGTTCTTGGTAAATAATGCGTCCATTATTTATGTTTATTTTTAAGTCAAAATGGTAATACCAAAATTGGAAATTTTGGTTGTTATACTGCTATGCAAATAGATAAATCTCGAACAAAGATGTAGTTTTACAGAATACCTTTTAAGAAAATCTTAGTTAATAGTTTTGTGCTAAATTTTCAAATTATCCATTTGTTTTAGCCTGCTTTTAAAAATCATTTTAAATTACAGAAGACTTGGTATTATTAAAAAATGGTAACCATATTTGGAGTTACGCAGTTGGGTTCTGACTATACAAGTGGATGATATGTCATAAAATTTCTATTTCTGGCCAGGCACGGCGGCTCATGCCTGTAATCCCAGCACTTTGGGAGACCAAGGAGGGCAGATCACCTGAGATCAGGAGTTTGAGACGAGCCTAGCCAACATGGTGAAAACCTGTCTCTATCAGAAATACAAAAATTAGCTGGGTGTGGTGGCGCATGCCTATAATCCCAGCTACTCGGGAGGCTGAGGCAGAATTGCTTGAACCCAGGAAGCAGAGGTTGTGGTGAGCTGAGTTGGTGCCACTGCGCTCCAGTCTGGGTGACAGAGCGAGACCCCATTTAAAAAAAAGTTCTATTTTTAAATAAAGAAAATTAGAAGGATTTTTATTTTAGCCTGGAGAATTCTCAATAAATGAGAAACATTTTTTAAAATTTCCATGAATTTAAAAGGCTAGTATTTCCTGAAATTCATATATTCCAGTTGAACAAATTTGATTATAGTGGTCACAAGAATAAATGTAATGTTAATTGTAATGTATTATCACAGTAAAAGCTATATGTACTTCCAAGTGATGTGATAATTAGCTTTAGAAAACTAAATAGAAATTTATTTCACAGCATCTACTCTCTATTAAAATGAAGTATTATAATTTGTCTTCTGACTTACAGTCAAATATTAAAATATTAGCATTAATTCCATTCGTCAACATATACCCAAGAGAAAAGTAAGTGTTCATAGAAAAACTGGTACACAAATCTTCATAGCATCATTTTTCATAGCAGTCAAAAGGTGGAAACAGCTCAAATGTCTGTCTGCTGATGAATGGATAAACAAAATGTGGTATATCCATACAACGGAATACTATTCAGCCATAGAAAGAAATGAGGTACTGACACATGCAACATGGATGAATCTCGAAACCTTATGCAAAGGGAAAGAAGCCAGGCAAAAAAGACCACGTGTCATATGCTTTCACTTCCATTAAATGTTCAGAATAGGCAAATCTATATAGATATAAAATAAATAGTGGGTGCTTGACTAGGACTGGGGGAGAAAGGAGATGGGGGTTTGAGAGGGTGATTGCTAAAGGGTACTAGGTTTCTTATGGAGATGATAAAATGTTCTAACATTGATTGTGGTGATGGTTGCATAACTCTGAGAGTACACGAAAATCCAATGAATTGTACATTTTACTTATTTTATTTTTGAGATGGAGTCTTGCTCTGTCACCCAGGCTGGAGTGCAATGGCGCGATCTTGGCTCGCTGCAACCTCTGCCTCCCGGATTTAGGTGATTCTCCCTGCCTCAGCCTCCCAAGTAGCTGGGATTGCAGGCATGCACCACCACGCCCGGCTAATTTTTGTATTTTTAGTAGAGACAGGGTTTTGCCGTGTTGGGCAGGCTGGTCTTGAATTCCTAACCTCAGGTGAACTTCCTGCCTTGGCCTCCCAAAGTGCTGGGATTACAGGCGTGAGCCACTACACCCAGCCAAATTGTACATTTTAAATGGGTGAATTCTACCGTATATGGACTACATTTCAGTAAAGCTGCTACTAAATAATTAGGAGCCATTTTTGTATGTTTGTATACTAAATGCTAATAAGCAAAGGAAAAATATGATTACTTTTAAAAAGGAAAACTTGTTTTCTTAAAGCTATTTTGGCAAGAGTGGAATTTCTGTGTTAACACTAGCTAATATGTTATACACACTGGCATTCTATCCCAGGATTTGCATTTCTAGAAAAGAAAAATAGTTTATTATGTGACTGAAGCTTGGCAAACAATTTTCTTTGCATTGGCTGTTCTTAACATTTTGATATAAATCATGTTTGAAATTTAGAAAGAATGAGAAAAGGGTAATCAGAACTTGAGTCTATTGTTATTTTTATGTATATAGGACTAAGTCTTTCTTGTTTAAATTTGAATATAATTGAAACATTTTACTTTACAGTTTGCTTTAAAATTATAAGCTAGATAATGGTGGAAGTACTTTATTGTGTTTTACTTTAAGTGAAAAATTTAGCATACAACCAGAAAATTATGTAAAACACAGGCACACACCCCCACACACTAAGGTTATTGGATAAAGTTCCTATGTATCTCCTGCCCAGATTAAGGAATGTCATTGTTAGCTCCCAATTCCCTTTGATTTCTTCTCCCATCCCAACCCCTTGATCCTCCCTAGAGGTAACTCAGTTCAATCCTTTTGAGATGATCATTTCCTTGTGTTGCTTTAAAATTCTACAACATATGTATGCATCCCTAAACAATATAATGTAGTTTCATCAGGTTCTTAATGCAAATGAAATAATTTGGTATGTATTCTCTTGGTTACTTTTTTGGGGGGTCAACATTATGCTTGCAAGATTCATTTAAGTTAGGAGTTGACATCTGACTCTGTTAAGGGCCACCTGGTGAAAATTTTTGGCTTTGTGGACCACATGATTTCTGTGGCAGGTACTCAGTTCTGCTATCGCAGCTTGAAAGTAGCCACAGACAACATGTAAATGGATAAGCATGGTTGTGTTCCACTAAAGCTTTGTTTACAAAAACAGATCAAATTTGGGTCTATAGTTTGCCAACCCCTGATTCAAGTGACTGAGTAGCTATAGTTTGTTCATTTTCATCATTGCATAATACTCCACTCTATAATTACACCAACATTTATTTACATATTTTATTCTTGACAGACATTTGGGTTGTTTTCAGTTAGGGATTTTGCAAAAATGCTTCTATGTATACATTATTGCATAAGTATTTTGGCGCAAATGTACAATAATTTCTCTAGAGTGGATGTACCCAGGAGTAGAAATAATGGGTCTTCATGAAGAAGTCATGACATCTTCAGCATGACTATTAAATGTCAAATGGTTTTGCAAGGTGGTTTTTTTGTTTTATACTCTCACTAGAAGTGTTTTAGAATTCCTGTCACTCAGCAGCTTCCTCAATACTTGGTAATACCAGGGTTTTTAGTTTTAGCCAATTTAGTGGAAATGGTATCACTTGCATTTTTAAATTTTACATAATCATAATTGTTTGCATAACCATAATTATTAATGAGATTGTTTGTATTTTCATGTATTCAATTTTGGAATAAATTTTTTGTTAGATTTATTTTTACTCAACCCTTTTGACGTTAATGTAATCAGTATCTTTTAAATGTTATTTTCTAACTGTCTTTTGCTGATGTATAGAAATGCAATTGATTTTCATATGTCAATTTTGCATCAGGGGACTTGGTAGAGTCTCCTATTCTAATAATTACTAGATTAGTTTGGATTTTCTACATGTACAATTATGTAAGAATAATGGCAGTTTAGTTTCCTTCTTTCTAATCCTTATATTTTATTTCTTCTGCTTTGCCTTGTACTGGCTGTGACCTCTAGAACAATGCTCAGTAGAAGTGAAAATGAATATCCTTATCTTTTCCAGTCTCAAAGATGGAAATCTCAAAGATGCGAAATGAGGAAATCTCAGTATTTCATCTTTAAATGTGATGATTACGGCCGGGTGTGGTGGCTCACGCCTGTAGTTCCAGCACTTTCAGAAGGCAAGGCGGGCAGATCACTTGAGGTCAGGAATTTGAGACCAGCCTGGCCAACATGGCAAAACCCCGTCTCTACTAAAAATACAAAAATTAGCCAGGCATGGTGGCTGGCTCCTGTAATCCCAGCTACTGGGGAAGCTGAGGCAGGGGAATTACTTGAATCCAGGAGGCGGAAGTTGCAGTGAGCAGAGATCACTCCACTGCACTCCAACCTGGGCGACACAGTGAGACTCTGTCTCAAAAAAAAAAAAAAAAAAAAAAAAGTGATTACTATCGTTTAGAAGAGAGATAACCTATTGTTTTTTTAAAAAATTATTTTAATTTCTAGTTTGCTAAGCTATCTCTTTTTTTAGTAAAAATGAGTTTACACATTTATCAATTTTTTGCCTCTTATTGAAATAATTATGTTTTCTCCTTTAATCTATCAATGTAAAATACATTATTTACTCATGTTTAATTTACCTTGCATACAACAATAATTTGGTTTACAACCAAATTATTCATGCTGTATTACCTTTTTAAATTGCTGGAATTGTTTAAGTAATAAATTTTTTAGGAATTTCATATCTATGTTCATGAATGACATTGACCTATAATTTTTCTTGTGTGTATGTCATCATTAGGGGTTGGTATCAAGGTAAAGTTGCCCTCATAAAAAGAACTGAAGAAGAGCTCCTTTGTTTTTCTATTTTGGGGGTTAATTTTTATAGGATTGTTTTGTTCTTGAATGTATAATAGAACTCACTGGTGAAGCTATCTGAACCTGAACTTCTATTTGTCGGAAAATTTTTGAGTATCATTTCAATTTTTCTCAATAGTTATTAGACTACTAAAGTATCTAGCCAATTTTGTTAAATGTCGTACTTAAATACTTAAATGTGTTGAGAGGAAGTTTTTTGTAACATTCTCTTTTTATCTTTTTTTTTTTTTTTTTGAGACTGAGTCTCGCTCTGTCACCCAGGCTGGAGTGCAGTGGCACGATCTCGGCTCACTGCAGGCTCCGCCTCCCAGGTTCATGCCATTCTCCTGCCTCAGCCTCCTGAGTAGCTGGGACTACAGGCGCCCGCCACCACGCCCGGCTAATTTTTTGTATTTTTAGTAGAGACGGGGTTTCACCATGTTGGCCAGGATGGTCTTGATCTCCTGACCTCGTGATCCACCCGCCTCGGCCTCTCAAAGTGCTGGGATTACAGGCGTGAGCCACCGTGCCCGGCCCTCTTTTTATCTTTTTAATGATGGCACCATCTGCAGTCATATTCTGTTTCATTCTTCATATTTCTTTCTTCAATGCCTTTTACCTTTTCTTTATTCTTTATCACTAAATGTTTTACAATTTTACTCCTTTCAAGGAACCACCTTTAGTTTTTCAACACATTCTGTTTTATTAAATCTAGTTTATATACTATTTTACTTTCACTCCCTTTTGTTTGTTTTGGGTGGGTTTTTTTTCTATTTTTACACAATTTAGAAATGGGAAAGTAGTCATTGCCCTTCATAACTTTTCCGAATTTTCACTAATAAATTTGTATTGCTTTAGTTATATCTCACAAGTTTTTATATGTAGTGTATTTCATTACCATGCATTTTTAGATGTGCAATTTCCATTAGATTCCTTTGTTGAGCCATAGTTATTTAGAACAATATTTCTCTAATTTCCAAACTGATGGGAGATTTTCTAGTTTTATTTTTGTTTAATGATTTCTGTTTA